>NC_000015.10:34185964-34488995 GCF_000001405.40 Homo sapiens | reverse complement strand
GGTGCCTAGGAAGAGTCCCATCTGAGCAGGAAGGTATTTCTCTTTCCTTTATGCCATTTTTTGGTTTTTGTTTTTGTTATTTGCAAAAGATCTTGTATTCCTTTTTTTTTTTTTTTTTTTTTTAATGCTAGGTTCGTAGAGGCTTAACCTTAACGGAAACGCTGGAAGTCTGCAGGGGGAGGGAGAGGGGAACTGATATCTCCCAAGATTAACCTTCACTTTAAAAAAATTATTGTACATGTGATTTTTTTTTCCTGTTCATACATTTGTGCTGCCCATCTACTCCTGGGACATTTCAATAAAATTGTTTGGAAAATAAACACAGCACTTGCTGGGAAAAAAAGAAAAGAAAAGAAAAACAATTTCCAATATTTGTTGTCTCAAAGATACTAGAATATACTGATTTATAGCTACTTATTTTTTCCAAACAAATTAGTCCACTATGAATAACCTCCACAGTCTCTTTTTGTTGTTGTTGTTATCTATCTGAATTCTGCCCATTTAAGGTAAACTGATGTCTATAATTACTCCTGCTCAAGAACTTCTAGAGCCTTCTAACATCTGGTAACCAATTCCGTCTTTAAAGTACCTACTACCATGATTTCAGTTTTCTTGACTGTATCCTAACAGAAAAAAATAGTACAAAGGGGTCACAAATGCAGAAGAAAAGCTGGAAAGATAGAATGATTAATATTCACAAATTTTAGAGTAATAGATGGATAGTTTTATTGTAATTGGAAGTGTGGAGGATTTCTGTGAATTGGTATACTTTTTTTTTATACTTTAAGTTCTAGGGTACATGTGCACAACGTGCAGGTTTGTTACATATGTATACATGTGCCATGTTGGTGTGCTGCACCCGTTAACTTGTCATTTGCATTAGGTATGTCTCCTAATGCTATCCCTCCCCCCTCCCCCGACCCCACAACAGGCCCCGGTGTGTGATGTTCCCCTTCCTGTGTCCATGTGTTCTCATTGTTCAATTCCCACCTATGAGTGAGAACATGCAGTGTTTGGTTTTTTGTCCTTGCGATAGTTTGCTGAGAATGATGGTTTCCAGCTTCATCCATGTCCCTATAAAGGACATGAACTCATCCTTTTTTATGGCTGCATAGTATTCCATGGTGTATATGTGCCACATTTTCTTCTTTTTTTTTTTTACCTAATTTCACAATTTATTATAAAACGACCATAAAAGCCTGATGGGATTTTGATTTGTATTGTGTATATATCAATTTCAGGAGAAATGATACCTTACAATCCAGCAATATGTTCTATACCTGCATTTATCTATATCTTTTTTTATATATATATATTTTTTATTATACTTTAAGTTCCAGGGTACCTGTGCACAACATGCAGGTTTGTTACATATGTATACATGTGCCATGTTGGTGTGCTGCACCCATTAACTCATCATTTACATTAGGTATATCTCCTAATGCTATCCCTCCCCCCTCCCCCCACCCCACAACAGGTGCCGGTGTGTGATGTTCCCCTTCCTGTGTCCAAGTGTTCTCATTGTTCCATTCCCACCTATGAGTGAGAACATGTGGTGTTTGGTTTTTGTCCTTGAGAAAGTTTGCGAAGAATGATGGTTTCCAGCTTCATCCATGTCCCTACAAAGGACATGAACTCATCATTTTTTATGGCTGCATAGTATTCCATGATGTATATGTGCCACATTTTCTTAATCCAGTCTATCATTGATGGATATTTGCGTGGTTTCAAGTCTTTACTATTGTGAATAGTGCCACAATAAACATATGTGTGCATGTGTCTTTATAGCAGCATGATTTATAATCCTTTGCATATATACCCAGTAATGGGATGGCTGGGTCGAATGGTATTTCTAGTTCTAGATCCTTGAGGAATAGCCACACTGTCTTCCACAATGGTTGAACTAGTTTACACTCCCACCAACAGTGTAAAAGTGTCCCTATTTCTCCACATCCTCTCCAGCGCCTGTTGTTTCCTGACTTTTTAATGATCACCATTCTAACTGGTGTGAGATGGTATCTCATTGTGGTTCTGATTTGCATTTCTCTGATGGCCAGTGATGATGAGCATTTTTTCATGTGTCTGTTGGCTGCATAAATGTTTTCTTTTGAGAAGTGTCTGTTCATATCCTCCACCCACTTTTTGATGGGGTTGTTTGTTTTTTTCTTGTAAGTTTGTTTGAGTTCTTTCTAAATTCTGGATATTAGCCCTTGTCAGATGAGTAGATTGCAAAAATTTTCTTCCATTCTGTAGGTTGCCTGTTCACTCTGTAGGTTGCCTGTTCACTCTGATGGTAGTTTCTTTTGCTGTGCAGAAGCTCTTTAGTTTAATTAGACCCCATTTGTCAATTTTGGCTTTTGTTGCCATTGCTTTTGGTGTTTTAGTCATGAAGTCCTTGCCCATGCCTATGTCCTGAATGGTATTGCCTAGGTTTTCTTCTAGGGTTTTTATGGTTTTAGGTCTAACATTTAAGTCTTTAATCGATCTTGAATTAATTTTTGTATAAGGTGTAAGGAAGGGATCCAGTTTCAGCTTTGTACATATGGCTAGCCAGTTTTCCCAGCACCATTTATTAAATAGGGAATCCTTTCTCCATTTCTTGTTTTTGTCAGGTTTGTCAAAGATCAGATGGTTGTAGATGTGTGGTATTATTTCTGAGGGCTCTGTTCTGTTCCATTGGTCTATATCTCTGTTTCGGTACCAGTAGCATGCTGTTTTGGTTACTGTAGCCTTGTAGTATAGTTTAAAGTCAGGTAGCGTGATGCCTCCAGCTTTGTTCTTTTTGCTTAGGATTGTCTTGGCAATGTGGGCTCTTTTTTGGTTCCGTATGAACTTTAAAGTAGTTTTTTCCAATTCTGTGAAGAAAGTCATTGGTAGCTTGATGGGGATGGCATTGAATCTATAAATTACCTTGGGCAATATGGCCATTTTCACAATATTGATTCTTCCTATCCATGAGCATGGAGTGCTCTTCCATTTGTTTGTGTCCTCTTTTATTTCATTGAGCAGTGGTTTGTAGTTCTCCTTGAAGAGGTCCTTCACATCCCTTGTAAGTTGGATTCCTAGGTATTTTATTCTCTTTGAAGCAATTGTGAATGGGAGTCCACTCATGATTTGGCTCTCTGTTTGTCTGTTATTGGTGGATAAGAATGCTTGTGATTTCTGCACATCGATTTTGTATCCTGAGACTTTGCTGAAGTTGCTTATCAACTTAAGGAGATTTTGGACTGAGATGATGGGGTTTTCTAGATATACAATCATGTCATCTGCAAACAGGGACAATTTGACTTCCTCTTTTCCTAGTTGAATACCCTTTATTTCCTTCTCCTGCCTGATTGCCCTGGCCAGAACTTCCAACACTATGTTGAATAGGAGTGGTGAGAGAGGGCATCCCTGTCTTGTGCCAGTTTTCAAAGGGAATGCTTCCAGTTTTTGCTCATTCAGCATAATGTTGGCTGTGGGTTTGTCATAAATAGCTCTTATTATTTTGAGATACGTCCCATCAATACCTAATTTATGGAGGGTTTTTAGCATGAAGGGCTGTTGAATTTTGTCAAAGGCCTTTTCTGCATCTATTGAGATAATCATGTGGTTTTTGTCTTTGGTTCTGTTTCTATGCTGGATTACATTTATTGATTTGCGTGTGTTGAACCAGCCTTGCATCCCAGGGATGAAGCCCACTCGATCATGGTGGATAAGCTTTTTGATGTGCTGCTGGATTTGGTTTGCCAGTATTTTATTGAGGATTTTTGCATCAATGTTCATCAAGGATATTGGTCTAAAATTCTCTTTTTTTGTTGTGTCTCTGCCAGGCTTTGGTATCAGGATGATGCTGGCCTTATAAAATGATTTCGGGAGGATTCCCTCTTTTTCTATTGATTGGAATAGTTTCAGAAGGAATAGTACCAGCTCCTCCTTGTACCTCTGGTAGAATTCGACTGTGAATCCTTCTGGTCCTGGACTTTTTTTGGTTGGTAGGCTGTTAACTATTGCCTCAATTTTAGAGCCTGTTATTGATCTGTTGAGGGATTCAACTTCTTCTTGGTTTAGTCTTGGGAGGGTGTATGTGTCCAGGAATTTATCGATTTCTTCTAGATTTTCTACTTTATTTGCGTAGAGGTGTTTATAATATTCTCTGATGGTAGTTTGTATTTCTGTGGGATTGGTGGTGATATCCCCTTTATCATTTTTTATTGTGTCTATTTGATTCTTCTCTCTTTTCTTCTCTATTAGTATACTTTTAAAGCATTATTTCAGTGAATCCATGGCTGAGCACCTACTCTAATCTAGGTGCTGCCATCAGCCATAACAAGAAGAATAAACCATGGATTACAAGGCCTCCCCCTTCAAGGTTGGTCTTGTTTATTTCTGAATGTCTTTACAGAGAACTCAGTTCTGATTTTGCAGGGTTTTATGTTACATGCTTAGGACAGAAAATAGGGACTAGGGAAGCTCTGAGATTTCTAGCATGTCTGTTGAATAAATAATACTATTTTTTCAACTTTCTTACTACTTTCATCTTAGGATCTACAGCACTCTGAAATACTAGTCAAACCTCAGAATACCCCTGTGCTATGCTTATGGGTGATCTTTTTCTGAGATTTACTAAGGGGAAAATTTGATGGATCGTAGATCGCCAGGCAAGTTCCCCGGAAGATGCAGATCAGGCCAAGGAGCAGCCTTTTTGCTGCAACAGGTAGTCACGTTACTGCTTCAGGACTGCAAGATGGAATAAATGAAAATGTGTTCATGTATGTGGCCTTAAAAATGTCACACAGAATTTGAAAAGCGAGAGCTTATCCTTAGAAAAAGGCTAAAAGCTGGTAGACACGAGATAGGACTGGACACTTGGAGAACAGGCTGATATCTTCTTAAATGCTGGGCAGACCTTAAAAAAAAATTCTATGGTCTGTTTTTGCTAACTAGACCCTAAATACTCTTCTTCGTAACATCCCCACATGGAAATAACCATCAGTCTCAGATGGAAAGAATGAGAAATCATCTAAATAGAGATGCAGAAAAGATTTAGCAGGATGAAAAGAACTGAACAGCACGGAGAGATGGGTGATATATAGTTCTGGAATTATACATTGAAAACATAAGCTGGTGAGACATTTAGAGAAAGCACTTTTGCACGCATTTGTCTTCAGCCCTCTGCCAAGGAAGTCCTCTAGCCCATGAAGAAAAGCAATGTTTCAGGACAACCACGGGTTCTTTGAATCATCTCCTGTGTTCCTGTGGGACTTCCCTACCCTTTGGATCCCTCACATTGCTCACTGCTCTGTGTCTCAAGCCTCATCTCCTTGACATCCATATGGATTAGCTTTCTGGCTCCCAATGTAGCTCCATTTCCTTGATTCTGACAACTTTACACATAGGTATGCTGCCATTTACATTCCACATGGCTCCTCACACATGTGTACAACATCCATTTAATTCATTTCGTTATAATGCTGAAATTCAGTGAGTTCCAACCATATGCTAAGGACTGTGCTAGGTGCTGGAAATTGGTAGTGAGCAACACACTGATTTTTAGAAGCGTGTATGTTGAGGAGAGGGACTAAAATATTAAAAATTATTTAAACAAAAATTATTGATATAAATGTCATGTAGAAAAACGTAGAATATGTGATGGCAAATAACAAAGCTCCTTGTCTAGGGCTTCAGGTACATTGTCCCAGAGGTGTCACCTCTAGACTAAAGCCTATGGCTATTGAATATGAGGGGACATGGGGTGGAATAGAGTGGCGAGGACTCCTGGGTACGTGCCTTGTGTGAAATTCTGAGTTAGGAAGGATCTGTTCTCTCTGAGGAATGAGGGTAGGCTAATGCCACTGGAGCAGATTAAGCATGAGGTAGGAAGGCTTCGTCTTGCTTTCCAAGAGGACAAATGCCTGGATAGCAGAAAGGAAAATGAAGGAAAGGAAATGCATTCAACTGCTGATTGGGACCTGGGGACAATTAGGTTGAGGGTGCGAGGAAAGTGAGATGGCCAGCATGGCTCCATGTTTCTAGATGAAGAAAGGCCATCTGGGCAGCATCTGCCTGATGTTGGCCAAGCCTATGATATGCAGCAAACAGGTGCCCAGTTTCATCTGTCAAGAATAATATAAATGTAGCAACACTGTTCCCCTTATCACATATTTGTGAAAGTAAGAGTGTGTGTGTGTGTGTGTGTGTGTGTAAGGTGTGGAAGTCAAGAAAAGGCTGCTATCATGCTCTCTGGGTAGTTTTTGAGAGGTGAGGAAAGACCCAGGAAATAAAATGTAAATGAGATGCATAATCATGGTGAAATTTAAAAATAGAGTAAGAAGTAACCATGAATTAGATCCTTAAGGGAGAATGTTCTGGAAGAACATGGAGAGGATAAACAGCTTAGTTGAGTTCTTGATTACATACAGAAGTGAAACCCTTGCATATATACAAAATTGTATTAATATAAGAAGTCTTTGGTATGATTAAAGTCAAGACATTAAACTTCCTGAGCATATATGGAGTCATTATTTGAAATTTTTGTACATTCAAATTATAGTTTTATTAATTTTCTGGATACAGTTTTATTGAAATGAAGACAAACTTAAAATGTGGGAATATTGCCTGGAAAGTAGAATCAAATATGCAATAAATTTCTAGAAATTAACAAATGTTTTCATTTACACTATAAGCAATTATTGATGTATAACCATGAATCTTTTCAGTTGTTTTCTGATCTTATAAACACTTCAAATAATATTTATTTTTAAACTTTTTAATTGATTCAAAATTAATCTCAATAATTATAACAATTTTTGGATAAGGTTTATGTAATCATTGCTATTATCAAAAATGTAAAAAATCCAACTCTATAAGGTTAAACCTTCACGGAAGACCACAAACTTATTCAAGCATATTTTTCCTTTGTCAAAAATATTCATCCCTTAATCTCAAACAAAAGATTATAGAGCTAAGTAGTACTTTTCTATGAAAAGAAAAATAACAATGATAACAATGAAAATAAAAATCAGGACTTAAGCTAAGAAAGAATGGAAAACCTTAAGGAATATAATAGTGACAGGCAGTTTTAGCATTAATTATGTAATCTCTTATTTAAAGTTAAACATAGCTATGAAAAAACTGAAACATTTTCTCGCTGAATGTGATATGCCAGCTGAATAGTGAGAAGGTTTGGCTTCTGAATAGCTTAAACTTAGCCTGGAAATGCAGATTGTCGGTATTTTCTCTGCCCTCCAAAATTGTGATAATGAAATCTTTCAGTCTTCCCATTTCCGTTATACATAAATATGATAAAACAAGAACATGAAAATATGTTTTCAGTGCCTTGGGATGATGCATTTGAACACAGAGTCTTCATACAATCATCATATTGTCAGAACTTCTACAATGACAGTAGTCAATACTGAGAGCAAAAGGAATCCCAAAATTCTTCCATAACGAAATGTCTTATTAGCAAAGATTTATCTAACAGTTTCAAAGTATTTTATAGTCTAAAAATCACATACATTCACACATATGTATTATTTGAATAAACGCCTAAGAAAATGAAACCAAAGTTTAAAGAAAACACATTTTTCAATTTTAAAGCAAAGATCATTTATTGCTCTAACTAAACTGTTAAATGCCTCTTAAGTGTGTCTATGATTCACAGGCAAAGCAGACATTATTCCTGACGGATTTTATTTCTTGGCAATTTTTGCTCACTTGAAATCCCTAGAAAATACACCCACCAGGTTAACAACAATTTTAGAATAACTTATGAATTGGCTTTTAGGTAAAGTTTCTGAATATTCATTGTTGAGCTACATCCTGTTCCACACATAAATTATGATATAAATTGTTCTAAATGTAATATATATTATTGTTACATGTGATCAAGTGTCACACATGTCCCCAAATACCTGCTCACCTCATCCGCATGGCTGAATGGCAGAAGTTTTAGAGCAACTACCCCAAAGCAGCAATGTCAGCCATCTTCTCCAATCTTCCCTACACTTCTCGCAGCTCTCTCATAGATGACAATATGCCCTTCGCCAAGATCCATCCTTTCTTAATTATATGGAAAACCTCAATTTCATAACCCATGAACAGAAAGGGGGAAAATCTCTCATTCTTTTACTCTCTACAGTGCCAAATATACTGTTTGATTTTTCACTTTCTGCCTCTCTGACCCTGTTTTCCTGTGTATTTTTCTTTCTCTTCTCTCTTTTTTAGTGATCGGGTAATTACCTCTGGTCCATACTGTGGCCTCTTTTCCACAGTTTTATTTTCAAAGTGCTCTCTGCATTATCAATTCCTCTCCCTCTCTAGATTACACCAATTCTGTATTTTGTAGTAGCTTCATTTTGGAAACACCAACAGTGGCATTTTTATGAACACAGTACATTTTCGTGCACACACACACACACACACACATACGTACACACCTCTGTTAAAGACCTTGAAACCCAGAAAATTCTAAAAAAGTAGATCAGAGATGTACTTTCTTTCAACAAATTCAAATTTGGCCAAAAATATCTTTTTGTGAATACTTTGTAAATGTATATCCTCATCTATTGAAAATCATGCATAATGTTTCCAATTGTGTTGAAATGCTTCAGTATAGGGTAGCATTTTTTCCCGTTTTCACTTAAGAACTGAATAGAACCCAATGCTGAGAAGGAGTAACAAATGAGATCCCTTCCAGAAGCAACTATGAGGGGAATATAAAGTCCACAATATAGCTCCTTTTTGAAATATGATTAACCATTGAATTACGCTAATCTCTTTGTAAAACCCTGCATTATGGTAGCATGTGCAGTATTGGAAATAGAGTTTTTAGTCCAAATGTCAAATGATAAATTATAAATGCTGAACACTAATGTTCTCCCTCCAAATTGCATTAAAAGTGCTCTGCAGCATAGGAAATGGAAATTTTAATTCACTAGTCTACTTATAACTTCAAGTTAATCTTCTTATAAAATTGTCTGTCTTGGATGGGGACTATCACACACCAGGGCCTGTCGTGGGGTTGGTGGGGAGGGGAGAGGGATAGCATTAGGAGATATACCTAATGTAGATGGCGAGTTAATGAGTGCAGCACACCAACATGGCACATGTATACATATGTCACAAACCTGCACGTTGTGCACATGTACCCTAGAACTTAAAGTATAATAAAAAAATTAAAAATATATTATTTACAATATCATAAAAATAAAATACCTACAAATAGAAAAAAAATTATCTGTCTTACAAAGTATATTTACACATCAGTTTACTAAACTGCAATTAGAACATTTGTAAGAATTGATATATGTATAAAAATATTGATTATGTATAATTAGCATTTTTATTATTGATAGCATTTTTTAAATTAGAAGAAAAAACAAGGTTTATTATATCATGAAAAGCCAGCAGAAACATGCAATTGCGATATTATATCCTTAAATATTCACGGATGTCTTGTTTCCATTTTATTTACCCCAGTTTCTTAACGTAGTAATCTTGAATTCAGCAAATATTTATATATGGTGGCTATGTATCATTTACAATACATAGTAAAAATCACTGATAACTTGAATGAAGTATTGCAGGAAGTATCCTAAAGAACACTAGGAAAAAAAATCTATCGTTAATATATTGAACATTACAAAAGAAAATCCATCCCTGTTATGCTAAAATAATGAAATTTGTTCTTTGTAATTTCCTAGAAGTAGATGGATAAAGTAATTTACAAGTTTTTGGGTAGTATGTTATTTAACTTATTTTTTATATTTTATTTATTCTATTTTTTTAATTTTTTTGAGATGGAGGCTCTCTCCGTTGCCAGGCTGGAGTGAAGACTATTTATGATCTTGGCTCACTGCAACCTCTGCCTCCCGGGTTCAAGCGATTCTCTTGCCTCAGCTTCCCAAGTAGCTGGGACTACAGGCGTACGTCACCACGCCCAGCTAATTTTTGTATTTTTAGTAGAGACAGGGTTTCACCATGTTAGCCAGGATAGTCTCGATCTCTTGACCTTGTGATCCGCCTGCCTCAGCCTCCCAGATTGAACTTATTTTTTCAATGTGAAGCAATCTAACATATAGAAAAGGGAAGCACATAATATTCTTTTCACTCACATTCTAGTGATGCCTTCTCATTTTCAACAGAGCAATGCTTGGAATTTTATATGATTGGGCATTTGCACTTTATAGCAACAAACTGATCAGTTGGTGGGGTGCCGAGATAATATGAGCTAATATTTCATTTATACCGTACTTAGGAGGAAAATTATTGGAGACATGTCAGCTTATCTGTGTAATACATTCAGGGTCAGAATACAAAAGTCACAAGTACACATAAGGCATTTAGCATAAGCTTCCTGACCTAGCTTTGAAGTGTTACAACATAGATTATTTGCCTCCAATTCAAAATGTCTCTTCCCTTAAGTTAGGGACATAAATGGAACCATATTTTTCAGTGCTTGAGAAAGCATCCTTTTAGAGCAATGGTACTGAATTAAGAAATTCTGGTTGAGAATACAGTGGAACTTTAGTGTCCCATGGACAACCCTTCAACATTTCTTATTTATTTATGAACTCAAAATCAGTCCCGTATATTCGGAGAAGACAGAAATAATGGCAGAGATCTTTTCCACCTCAGTTGGCTTGATTTTCTAGGCATAGATATACTATCGCTTAGGATCATAGAAAGAGCACTGGGGCAAGGGTCAGGGGAGCTGAATCCTAGTCGTTGGTTTGACACTTACAGGATGTGGGGTTAGCGTCTATGTTCCTATCTGTAAGTGCTTGTCCTTTCTTAGAGTTGTGACTCTAAGGATTTTATTTTTATTTTATTTCAACAGAATTATATAAAGTTTTAATTCCTCATCTCCTTCCACAAACATGTAAAAACTAAACACTGTCCCTCAATTATCTTGTTAATGCCCCTTTCCATTAATTTTATCGCCAAATTACTGTTGTTCTTGGGGAAAAAAATAAATGACAAGAGCAAATCTCCATCATTTTCAAGCCCCAGTGGTAAATAATGTTAGCAGTTTTGGATGGATCCTTTCAGAAATTTTCAGTGTATATATATTCTCATTAAGTGGTGATGAAATTATTCTCTACAAGCTCAATTTCTACTCTTCTTTTTGTAATGCAATATTTATTGACCACATTTATATTAACATATTCTTTATAACATCTGCATAATATTCCACGGAACGGTCATTTTATAGTATAGCTAATGAGTTTATATTAATGGACTTTTTTGCTATTATAAATAATACAGTAATAAGCATCTTCATATATATTCATCTAGATTGATTCTTAGTGTAAATTGTTAGTGGTGCCATTGCTGGATGAAAGGAAGTGAGTGTTTTACTTTGCCAGATATTTGCAATGGCTCTTCAAAAATTTGGACCTATTATAGTCTCACAGGTGGTGCATTAGCATGTTTCTTTCCTTTATCTTTGCTAAAATTGAATGTTTTACAACTAAAATTTTTGTTAATCTGATATTGTTTCAATTGACATTTTTTAAACAGTTATGATTGAGGTTGGACGTTTTTTCACATGTATTTTAATTATCAGCATGCTTTTTCTGATTAACTCAATAATTTCTAGTAAGTTGTCTATATGCTATGATTTCATTTTTACCACCTACTCCACTTTGCAAGTAAAAGAATAATATGTTGTCAATATGGATAATTTGGAAAACGTACAAAAGTTAGCAAAACAATCAAACAGGAAGCTGAAGAAGGAAGGAAAATGCTGCTATCTTGATAAAGTAAGTCAAAAAAATTCTATCAGATTTGGTGACTGGCAGGGTGATCCAAAGCCTAGAATCTTACCACAGACCCAATCAATCACCAACTACTGCCATTTCTTCTTCTAATATCTCACATTATCTCTCTTCTCAGCCCTTTGTGCTCACCATGGTATTTGATTTCTGATTATTCTTTCTCCAGACTAGCCCTACTTGCAAATTCCACATGCAGTCCTCCACAATACTGCCAGAGCAATAGCTACAACTCTATAATCAAAGGCATTGCCCTCCTGGGTTCTCCATATTGTTTGCCATCTTTGACAGATAAACTAGATGAGCTCTTTTTACAACACTCAGAGAATGTTTTGAATTCACATTTCGGCCATCTTACTCACCTGTTCGAATCAGTTCCCTCCCCCCTCTTGTATCACATATTGCCTCTGATAATAGTACGTTGAGTTATTTGTAGTTCCTGAAGAATTTCATGTTCTTATAACATTAAATTTTTCCCACACTATTTGTTATAACTAGTTTACCTATTATTTCTGCCTAAAAAAAATATCTTATCTGAATTTCAGATCAGATATTACTTTAGGGGAAGACTTTCCAGTCCGACTTCCCTTACCTGAGATAGGTATTTATTCTTTCCTCATCTCACAGGACTTTGCAAATCCCACTATTATGGTAGATAGCATATTAAAATTTAAATTGCTGGCTTGCATGTCTATTTTTCTACTCAGCGTGAGTTCATTCGCAGTAGTGATCATGTCTTTGGTTCTTAACAAAAGTGGTTTTCTTTGGATTTTCCAGAAGCAGAACCTAAGAGAAGAATTCACATAAAAATAATTTATTAAGGAAGGGCTCCAGGGTAGATAAATAAGGCAACCAGTGAAGTAGGGCAAGGAAGACAAGGAAGTCAGGCAAGAGTGTGATCGCCGTGCAAAGCCCAAGAACAGCCTTTCGCCTGATTCCATAGGGAAACTGGAGTGTAAACTAAGCTTCAGAGCTATTATAATTCAGACTATGGATGTGAGGCTTTTGTCAGTATCTTTCAGTCACTGGTTAGTGGAAATCTCAAGGGGATATAAACTCCCAGGCACTTCACACCCTTTTTAAGCAAGGGCCAGTAGTTCCAGTAGCCAGCAGTTCTCCAAAGGAAAAAAAATCATGTAGGCACTCCATAAATTTTGAATGGCTGGCTGGCAAGACAAATGGATAAATGACAAATTATGCAACTTGGGGTTGCTTACAACACAACAGGGGGACATTGAAGACTTTTGATGAAGACAGTGGTACCCTCAAAATGATAAATTGAGTAGATTAGTTTAGAAGCATTGAGTAGAATAGATTAATGGAAGGAAAGTCTAAATGCAGGAACAGTATTTAAAAGAAAATTGCCATGGTGATAAAGGCCTGTTCTAGCATGGAAGCAGCAGTATGCAAGGGAAGACATGTCTTGGATTCATATTGCGAATGAAAATTTAATCATTCTTGATGACTGTCGGCATTTGTGAGATAAAGGAAAAGCGACAAAGAGTGGGAGTTTTGTGCTCAAGTGACAATAGGATTGCTTACAGAAAAGGGAAATCTGAACACATGGGGAGTTGAGTTATTAGGATAGGCTGGGGGAAGAGATAATGTTAAAAATTGAGCTCTAGATGCGATGAGAGTCAGTAGGGACAAGCACGCATATATATATATAGCAGACATGTTGGAAAAGTGGAACTTGATCTTGGAAGACATGACAGATTGGAAATATGGATGTGAGATTTAGCATTTAAGACAGGAGAGCTGGGAGGCCGAGGTGCCGGATCACGAGGTCAGGAGATCGAGACCATCCTGGCTAACACGGTGAAACCCCGTCTCTACTGAAAAAAAAAAAAAAAAAAAAAAAAAAATTAGCCGGGCGTGGTGGCGGGCGTGTGTAGTCCCAGCTACTCGGGAGGCTGAGGCAGGAGAATGGCGTGAACCCGGGAGGCGGAGCTTGCAGTGAGCCGAGATTGCGCCACTGCACTCCAGCCTGGGTGACAGAGCGAGACTCTGTCTCAGAAAAAAAAAAAAAAGACAGGAGAGCTGAACATGGAATGGGGAGAGGGAACCTTTAAAACAGAGGTTATGGAACAAAGATATTGAAGAAGAACAGGACTATGACAAATGTCATATGGTGATACAGAAAGAGAGGAGATAGGAAAAGGTAGAGGAGAAACAGGACTTAAATTCACACTGCATTCTTATCTTACTCTAATGGCAATTCAAGCTGGTATAACTTTTCCGAAAAACAATTTGACAATAAATACCAAAAATGTTTTAATATTTGGATATTTTATTCCAGCAATCCTACTTTTATCTCAATAATCCTAAGAAATCAGCTAGAGATAATCATGTTAGCAACAGTATCAAAATAGTCGTCTAAATGTCGAGTAATAAGACAATATTATTATAGAACCAAGAGTAAAATCTTACACAGTCATTACAGTCTATGATTTTAGACACTATTTAATGCCATAAAATTATTTTATAAATATTGTTTGAAAAAATAGGCTATAAAATACATAAACTAACATTACTAAAATTTATTTTGTTTATGTGTATGTGTGTAGATATGGATAGTATGCACACAATCTCATTTAGTGTATATAATTTATACACTATGAGTGTTGACAATTGAGTCTTAATTGATTATGATTGTCTATTTTTTTTTCAAATTTTTCCAATTGAGCATTTTAGTTTTTATGTTTTTTGTGTTTTTTGAGAGAGGGTCTCGTTCTGTTGCCCAGGTCAGAGTGCAGAGGCATGATAGGTCTCACTGCAGCCTTCATCTCTCAGGCTCAAGTGATCCTCCCATCTCACCCTCCCTAATAGCTGGGAGCATAGGCGCATGCCAATACTCCCAGCTAATTATTTATATTATTATGATTAGAGATCGGATTTTACTTTGTTGCCCAGGCTGGTCTCAAACTCCTGAGTCAAACAACCCTCCTGCCTTGGCCTCCCAAAGTGCTGTGACTACAGGCATGAGCCACCATGCCTCCCCTGAGTGAGTTAGGTTTTTTTTTTTCTTTTAAGTTTAAGTGGATGGTGAAAATAGAATCATAGAAGACCTTCTATCTAATATAAAAGTTGCTACCAATGTTAACTTTGAAATAATTATAAATAAATAAAAGTAAAAATTCAATTCTTTAGTCAAGAGCTGAATAGCTATGTGTGGTTGGTTAATACTGCATTGTGCAATACTGATTTATAGAATATTTCCATCATAATAGAAAATCGTGTTAGATTGTGTAGACTAAGAGATCTGTCAGGCAGATTTTTCAGAAAAGAAAGTAATAGAAATTCTAGAACTAAAACAATGTAATATGTGAAATAGCCTAAACTAAGAATTCAATGGATAAGATGCAGAGAGATCATTAAATGGAAGAAAGGGAAGAAGAAAACATCAATAATGATGAAAAGAGAGACAAAAACAGAAAATATGTGAAAGGAGATAGAATAGTACATAATTTTATATTAGTATTATGCATGAACTTGTGTTTGCATATGTTCATGTTCATATATATATACAAATATATATACATATTGCTGTTTATTCTAGAGAAATGACGTGCATATGTGTGCCTAGATGTTTAATCATATATGATTTGTGATCACTAGAAACACAGAAACATCAAAAATGTTCATCATCAAAGCATTAGGTTCATGGATTATTGTATATTCAAACAAAGAATCCTCTCGAGCATCCAAAATGAATGAAATGTGCGACTCAAGAACACAAACAAATTGGAAAACAAAATGTACTGTAGGTAAAATCATACACAAAGACTATATGCTTTATGGTTCCATTTATATAAACTTAAAAGGAAATTCTTAAGAGTGGTAACTAAATATAATAAGGAATTATTGCCATAAATATTTGAACAGTGTAGTTACTATTCCTTCAGTGGAAGAAAGGGGGCTGAGCAGACAGAAGGCTTCTAGAGGGCTAACAGTGATGGTTTCATATACAAGCTGTGGTTCCTTGGCTTTCTTTCCACACGGGTTTCTTTCACTTTCTCTGATTCCTTCCACTCTGCCTTGCCACAGGGGTTTTGCACATGCTTGTTTCCATTCTGGTAGCCTTCCTTCCTTTCCTTTTCACTCTCATATCCCAGATCAGCTTTCACTTCCTCAGAGAACATCAGCCCCACCAGATGTGGAAAAGCTACCTTCTTAGATACTCTCTGAGAAGGACATTCATTCCTTCCATCAGAGTATGCTTCGGTTTGTAATTTTGTAATGTAATAATTACATTATTGAAGTAATTGCACCAAAAATGCAATTGGTATGACTTTCACCATTGAACCTCCAATGTCTTATACATTGGCTAATAATGGCTTATTAAATTAATGGATGAATATGGTTAGACAAATTGAATTTAAAGTGTCTGTAGAACATGCACATCTAGTAAGTGGGAGGATATAGGGGCCAGTTGTTCCCCAGAGTTTTCTGTCTAGAGATAGGGAGTCATGAATAAATAAGGACTAGCATAGCTAATAGTGTATTTAATTGCTCTGGAAGAGGCAAAAAAAAAAAAAGTCAAGCAAATGAAAAGGCAACCCAGGGAGTGAAAGAAAATATTTGCAAACCAGATGTCTGTTAAGAGGTTAATATCCAAATTATATATGAAACTACAACTCAATAGCAAAAGAAAAACCTGGTTAAAAATGGGCAAAGGACTGGAATGACATTTTTCCTTTTTTTATTTTATTTATTTTGATTACCATTATACTTTAAGTTCTAGGGTACATGTACACAAGAATGACATTTTTCTAAAAAAAACATAAAAATGGCCAATAGGTACGTGAAAAAATGGTTAACATCACAAACCTTCATGGAAATTCAAATCAAAATCATAATGAGATGTCATTTCACACATGTTAGGATGCCTATTATTTAAAAAGGACAAGAAATAACAAGCATTGGCAAGGGTGTGGAGAAAGAGGAATCTTTGTACACTATTGGTGAGAGTTTAATTGGGTATGGTCATTATGGAAAACCATACGGAGGTTCCTTAAAAATAAATAAGTAAATAAAAAGTGAACTACCAAATGATCCAGCTATCTCACTTCTTGGTATATATGCAAAGGAAAATAGATCAGTATCTTGAAGAGATATCTGCACTCCCATGTTCACCTCAGTATTATTCATAATAGCCAAGTTATGGAAACAGATTAAAGCATCTGCCAACAGATGAATGGATGAAGAAAATGTGGTATATACACAGTACAATATTAGCTATGAAACAGAGGAAATCTTGCCACTTGTGACAACACGGATGAACCTGGAGAATATTATGCTAGGTGAAATAAGGTAGACAAAGAAAGACAAATACTATATGGTCTCACTTATATGTGGAACCTAAAGAAGTCGAATTCACAGAGGCAGAGGGTAGAATGGTGTTTGCCAGGGGCTAGGAAGTTGGGAGAATGAGGAGAAATTGACCAAAGGATATAAACTTCCAGTTATAAGATTAATAGGTTCGAGTGATGTAATGTACGCATGGTGACTATAGTTAATGACACTGTGTTGTAGAGTTGAAATTTGCCGAGAGTAGATCTCAAGTGTTCTCAGCACATACAGAAAATGAGTAACTATGTGAGGTGATGGGTGTTTTAATTAGCTTGATTGTGGTAATCACTTCACAGCACATAAACATATTAACTCACTATGTTGTATACCTTAAACATATACAACTTTATTTGTCAATTATATCTCAATAAAGCAGGAAAAAAAATAGGAGCAAAACATACATCTCCTATAATTCAACCCTGATGCCTTGCTCCAGCTGTAATGCACTTGACCCCTTCCCAAGATCTACGCTCCCAGCTCTCTGGATTACATGTCTTTTCTAAAGTATTTCTTTTTTTTTTTTCCCTCATCTCTATTTTCTTACACTTTATGTCATTTTCCTGAAATGCCTATCTCTTCCTTCTTTGGATCACTGACAATGTGTTCCACAGTTTAAAATCCTGAAACAACAGCAACAACAACAATAAAACCAAAATACCAGCTCTTAAAACTAGATTTTTACATATTGTATTATTCAACAACACTTGACACAATTTGAACTCATTTGGTGGCAAAACATGATCTGGAAACATGGGAGGCAAAACGTGGTGCTGTCCAGTGCTGGAACAGGTGTGGCTTTAAAACAGCATACATGTCACATTATCATTCTCAAATCCAAATAAAGAGAACTCTAAATTTTGCAACATAGATGTCCCCAAATGCTCTCTATAAGATTGGATATACACTTTGTATTGTGTCTTGCACTTCATAGTCATTGATAAATATTGCCATGTAGAGTGCCAAGCCAATGAGTGATTATATGGTTTTAGAAGGCTCTGTCAATTTCAAACAACAGATAAAATCCCTATGTCATGTATGATGCTGGAAGCTAGCCGATATAATTATGAATATTGGAATATTTTTTACCCCAAGAAGTTTCCAGCCTCATGACTAATGCTCACACAGATGATAAGAAAGACAGTGACAATCTCATGAGGGTTGTATGTAGAATAAAAATGATAAAATTGAGGTAAATGTATAGTAAACACAGGGTAAAGTTCTGTGATATTATAAATTAGAGTAGGTAGTTTTAGAGTTTTCAAAGTAAGAAAAGTAATACATTAAGGAACATATTTGCTTAGAGAAGTATGATTCATACCAGTGTGCAGGAAAATAGAAAAGCAATTCAGGTGATCTCAACTTTGTTAGTTTTCTAGGAAACATTCAGTATGTGATATAAACTGTAGTAACAGTCTGAAAAGTTAAAAGAATGTAACCTTAGAAATAAAAAAGTGCAGAATGAAGAATCCATTTCCTGTTTTCTGCAGACTTGTCTTGGAAAATTTGAAGTATTCATTGTGCAGAGCGTGTGGTTAACATTGAGGTTACCAGTGTTGACACTACTGAAAGGATGGCCTTTAAAATTGCCCCACAGCTTCACAGGACACAGAATACACCTGTCCATACTTCAATTTTTGAATTAAAAGAAAAAACTAGAAAACTAGTAGTTCTGACTCACGCTCTTCCGTGCCAGTTGTTTCTCTAATTTAGTCATAGTTATTGGTTTTCCCCTTTTGATTATATGCAATTTGTCTCATCCTTGTACCCTGGGATCTGCATTTGGAGTAAAACACACAGGGATCCAGTGTTAGAGCAAACACTTAGAACGAAAAGACTTTAGAACTGAGAGCCAGGTTGAGGCCTAGGATCAGATCATTAAAGGGTTGCAGTTTTATTTCTGGAACAATGTTTACACTTTTTATTTACTTAGTATTTCCACAAAATTAAATATGACTTTTTCTTTTAATTTAAATAAATTTATCATACTTAACTTTAATATATATTAAAATAATAAATTGAGTTACTACTTCAAGTCATCATGTTTATTATTAGCCTGTGTCTCTGCCATCACCTGCAAAGTTCGGTTAAATATTCACCATCTAATGAGAGCAAGGAATATTCGTGAAGATTTTTAAATTTTACTTAAAATTATGTCTTTTACAATTACCTCAAATTATTTCTTTTATTTGTTAATTATGTTTTGAAAATATCTAGCTGTGTAATATCAAGAAATACTTTTTTTAAATTTTGAGACATGGTCTCTCTCTGTCACCCAGGCTAGACTGCAGTGGTGAGAGCATAGCTCACTGCAGCCTTGAACACTTGAGCTCAAGCCATCATCTGTCCTCAGCCTTTGTAATTTGGGATTACAAATGCGTAACACCAGGCATGGATACTTTTTGTTGTTGTTGTTTTGTTTTTGTAGAAACAGGGGTCTCACTATATTGCCTAGGCTGGTCTCAAACTCCTGGTCTCAAGTGATCCTCCCACTTTGGCCTGTTTTTGCTATTTTTGAAAGTTGACTGAACTTAGTTTAGTTAAATAATGAGCCAAATCAACCAAATGCTGTTCATAAATAGAGAGGAGTAGGCTAATTCATTTGAAAGAATAAAAAAAGAGTGTCTGTGAGTGGGTGGGTATATAAATAACTTGAATGTAAATAACAGAAAATCTGTTTCCTTGAATGTAGCCCATTGTACCTGCCTCTCCGTTGTGTACCTGGACCCTGCCCTTCATCTTGGGCCTCCTGCCTAGAGAAAACTGCACCATGATGCCACTAACTTCCACTAACTGGAATCTGCCTTTCCCTCCCCACTGTCTTTCCTTCCCATCTCTACCCCCAATTAAATCCCTAAACTTTGCTGATTAACCATTTAAACATCCTTGTAATCCGTCCATTTTTTCACTTTCATTTTTTCATTGCTAACTCTATGTGAAGCCACCTCACCTTTTTCTCAGAATGTCAGCTATACTGGCCTAGCTGATCTCCCAGTCATTCCAGGCTTGCATCTGCCCAAACTACCCTCCACTCTACCCCGTGCTGTTTTCTAAACAACAAATTTTATCCTGTTGCTTCCCAACTTCAAACTCCTCAACGACTTGCAAATGCCTTCAGCATATAGCTAAATATGATAGGCCTCATTTTATTTCTGTAGCCTCCTGTTTCCCTTTTCATTGTACATTTCATTGTATCTTACAGTCATACTTCAAATTCCTTGAAGTCAGGGAAATTGTCTTATTCGATGTTGTATTCCCAGAACCTAACACAGTGTTTGCTATGTAGCAGGTTTTCAAGATAATTTTTATTTTAAATTTCAGTTTGATGAGTTTAAATCATAAATGTATGACTTTTTGGCATCCTGAGTCTATTTCTATTCTTTCATTTCAGAGTTTAAGTAAGCTTAGGCTACTATGAGAGTTACTTGAAAACTGTTATCTGGATCCTCTGGAGGTTGAAATACTGGTAATAGAAGCATCTAGTCCGTTGTCAGTTCTAATTTTGCTCAACCCAAACGGGCAGATAGAAATACTTGCTAATAAGGGCCGACTCTTGATACTCCCAAAGTGGCAATTGGCTGGGCACGGTGGCTCACGCCTGTAATCCCAGCACTTTAGGAGGCCGAAGCAGGGTGGATCACTGGAGGTCAGGTGTTCGAGACCAGCCTGGCCAACATGGTGAAACCCCGTCTATACTAAAAATACAAAAATTAGCCAGGCATGGTGGAGCATGCCTGTAATCCCAGCTACTTGGGAGGCTGAGGCAGGAGAATCACTTGAACCCAGGAGGCAGAGGTTGCGGTGAGCCAAGATTGTGCCACTGCACTCCAGCCTAGGCAACAAGAGCGAGACTTCATCTCAAAAAAAAAAAAAAGAAAGTGGCAATCCACTCTTCATTTCCAGATTTAATATTCCAAAAAATGTTTGCCAGTGGATGAGAACAGATCTGGTACTGTATTTTATTCTGTATATATTTCCTTGGACTGCTGTAACAAATCACCACAAACCTGGTGACTTCAAACAACAGATATTCATTCTCTTGTGGTTCTGGAGTCTGAACATTTGAAATGAAGGTGTGAATAGGATTGGCTCCTTCTGTGGGCTCTGAGGGAAAATCGAGCTCATGCTTCTTCCCTAGTTTTTGGTGGTTGCCATCAACCTTTGGTACTCTTGCCAGTGGCAACCTAACTCCAACCTCTGTCTCCATCTACACACGCATCTCTTCTATGTGCCTGTGTCTGTCTCTAAATTCCCCTCTTCTTATAAGAACATCAGTCATACTGGATTTCAGATCTTTAGCAATCCAGTGTAAATTCATCTTAACTTCATTATCTTTGAAAATATCTTATTTTCAAATAAAGTCAAATTCACAGAGCCCAAGTAGAAATGAATTTTGGGGGGATACGTTTACTTCTACTTTTCTTTGATGAATATAAGGTAAAAAGAGTTGAGTAGAAAAAATAAAAGTAGAAAACTATCTTTAACGTGGGATGAGAATATTATTTTCAATGAATCATGTTTGTTAAAACTATTTTAATAAAAAATGACAAAATCAAAAATTGTAATAAATGTTTAACAGCTAATTAAATACAGGATCCTGAATCACTGACTGACAGAAATATTCTCTCAAGTTAGAAATATAGAAATGATCAAGTGTAATTTAATATATGTTTTTCTGATATATGGTCCTCCAATATCAGCACTAGGCAATCTCCTACATATGCCTTTCCTTAAGGTGATGGTAAATACTAATAAAATATACTTTATCAAGTGGAATTATTTTGGGTTCATGGAAGTCAAACAGTTTTTGAATAAGGACTTTATCTGGCAACTCAGGAAAACCATTTTTATTGCTTCATCGAGAAGAGGAAATGGAAATATTGAGTTACAAGAGAAGACGACTTTTTTAAAAAACCAGTCTTTACATCACGATTATTCGAAGCTGTGACACTCCCCTATGATGAAGCACTTAAACATTTTAAGGGTATTCATTCACAATATCGAGATATCAATTTGCACTTTTTGGAAGGCAAAAGTTAAACGAAGTGCAATCTTGGAATAATTTACAATGAATAGCAAAAGTATTGTGAATGGACTGAAACATTCAACAAATATCTATTTAGTACTGACTATGTATGAGGCACTGTTCTATTTGTAGGGGATAGTGCAGGAAACAGGGGGACAAAAATCAGGCTCTCTTACAACTTACATTGCCCTAGTCATGCTGAATATTCTCCACCTGCTCCTCTGGCTCCACTTCTCATACTTCAGTGAGCTTTGAGCTCTGGCCACTGACTCTTCAGTACTGCTTCACTTTCTATACTCTGACTTGTTATTGCTTTGACCAACAAAACACAAAGAGCAGATCAGAGGTTGGAGGAGAGATCAATCTGAGTGTGATTTCTCAGGATCCTTCCCTGCTGAGGCGTAGCTTGGCGGTGCCTGATTTCTGTTACTTAAAGCCACATCTAATAGGTTCAAGTGTCTGTTCCCTACCCTTGCTCCTTTAGACAATGGAAATAGCTTTAGTCCATCTAGCTTTCTTCTAACTTGTGAAATTCTTGAAAACTGCTTACATATTTATAAATAGCCATTTTGTTAAATTCTCTTTAATTATCCCCTGTGAATATGCCTTCTATTTCCTAAAGAACCTTACATGATGCATAGGGTTAAAAAGGAAATACAAATACATTAGATATTTGAAAAGAAGACATTTTAGTAGATGCTGTCAGCAACCCATCCATATCTCCTTGGCTTTCACCATTCTTGGGTATGCTCCCTATTGACAGGTCTTCAACTGAGCGCTCTCTTTGGCTGCTACAGTTTGCCAGGCTTAAAGATAAAGTAGATTGGACATGTTAGAAAGTAATGCATTCCTTCCACATCCTTCCCCAAAGCAGCCATCAACCAATAACTGCCAGATAGTGTGGACCAAATTCTCAGCTTCTTAGAACCTTGGTTGGAACTCCTCTGGGTCATATTCACCCTACCCTTCTGAGTTTCCTACTGAGCCTAGGCACCTGGTGCCCACAGCAGTATGCTGCTTGATAACAAAACTTTAATGGCTTCCTTTCTTCCCTGCCATAGTTTTCCACTCCAGTGTTGTTGATTCCTAGGATTACCTCCACAAATACACATTCTCTCTCACACACACATATACACATGCCATACAAACACTACACAAACACATTCTTGTGCAATAGTAGGCTCTGGAAGGTTCTGAGGAGAGGAGACATGCACATTTTTTAGGCTTCAATGGGCCCACTCTGGATATTGTGTTGACAGAGATTTGAAGGGTTGTGAGGGCAGACACACTGAGACTCTTTAGGGAGGTTAGTTCATCTATAACACTAGTAGACCACCGCAAGAATCTAGAGGAAAGATGGTGAGGGATTACATCTTTGCCATGATGCTATGACGAGATTGCTTTTTAGATCATCTGATCAATATTTTTAAAAATATGTTATGTATCAGTTTCTATACTAGAAGTTGGCAAGAAGGATACTGTCCTCATTTTAGACGTAAGGAAATTGAGATTAGGAAAGTAAAGCAAAATATGCAAATTCTCAGACACAGAGCCCAAATGTGCCCAGAGCTTTACCCTCTCCACCACACTGTCAGGAAGGTTGCCATACACTGGATTGAGTAGAGAGGTAAAGGCAGAAGACAGCCTGCAGTGAACTGACAGAGAAAGCTACATAGGGAAGTAGAAATAATGACCATAGACAACACCTTCAGGAAATTTGGCAGAAAAAAAATACGGGGTAACTGAAAGGCATAAGGTAGCTTTTTGTTTTATTTTGTTTTGTTATTTTCCTCTTTAACCTGGGAGAAACTTAGTCTTGTTTACGTGCCTAGCAAAAAGAAGCATTGGAGAAGACACTTGATGTTACATTAATGAAAGGGAATAATGGATTAAGGCAGACTTGGTAGCAAAAGAAGTTAAGATATATCTAAGAAAAGCATTTTAAATCATAAAGAACTTATACGTATCTACAAATACATGTTTATTATAAAATATTCAAATAAGAGAAATGTATAGAAAAAAAGGCCTATGCCCACATTCACTCCATTTTTTACAACCACCTCAATGTTACTGCTATCTTTGAAGTAACCATACTTTAGTGTGTACCTCTTCAACTATTTAGGTGTATGCATATGTGTTCACATTTTTGCATAAAGTGGGTCACAGCAATCGATGTTTTTGCAATTTGCTTTTTTTTAACATAATGTATCTTTGGCTTTCTTCCATATCAGTACATGTGAATCTAATTATATTCTTCTTATTAGTTTAATTATAGCATCAGCTGCATAATTATACGACTTTAATTATCAATCACATTTTAAATTTATTTTTAATAAGCTTTCAATTTTAAAATAGTTTTAGATTTACCAAAAAATTACTAAGATAGTAAAGAGACTTCTATACAGCCCACATCAAATTTCTCCTATTATTAACATTTCTCATTCCTATGGTACATTTTTTACAATTAACGAATCAATATTGATATAGTATTAACTAAAGCCCACAGTTTATTCAGATTTCCTTAGTTTTTCTCTAGTATCCTCTTTCTGTTCCAGGATCCCAACCACAATAATATATTCCATTTGGTTGTCCTGTCTCCATAGACTCCTCTTGTCTGTGACAGTTTTTCTGGTCTTCGTGTTATTGATGACCGTGATAGTTCTGAGAAGTCCTTGTTAGGTATTTTGTAGAATGACCCTCAACTGGGATTTGATTGATGTTTCTCTCATGATTAGACTGAGGTTATGTGTTCTGGAGAAGACCACAGTGGAAAAGTGCCATTTTCGTCACACCATTTCAATGACATATTATCAACAAGGCATATCGCTGTTCATTTTCACTTTGATTGCTTGGCTGGGGTAGTGTTTGTCAAATTTCTCCACTGCAAAGTTACTCGATTTTTTTTTCAATTTTCATATGGTGTATTGGTCAGGGTTCTCTTAGAGGGACACAACTAATAGGATAGATATACATATATATAAAGGGGAGTTTATTAAGTATTAGCTTACAGGATCACAAGGTCCCACAACAGGCTGTCTGCAAGCTGAGGAGCAAGGAGAGCCAGTCCGAGTCCCCAAACTGAAGAACTTGGAGTCCAGTGTTCGAGGCCAGGAAGCATCCAGCCCGGGAGAAAGATGCAGGCTGGGATGCTCGGCCCGTCTCTCCTTTCATGTTTCCCCGCCTGCTTTATATTCGCTGGCAGTTGATTAGATTGTGCCCACCAGATTAAGGGTGGGTCCGCCTTTCCCCGGCCCACTGACTCAAATGCTAATCTCCTTTGGTAACACCCCACAGACACACATAGGAATCAACACCCCGTATCCTTCAATTCAATCAAGTTGACACTCAGTCAACTCACATATGGCAGTCTTTGGAAAGAGGTCCCTATGCACAGCCCATACTTAAAAAACAAGGAGTTATGCCCTATCTCACTGAGGGCAGAGTATCCACATAAGCCATTTGGACTTCTTCTGACCAGAATATTTATCCATTTTTCCCATTTATTGATTTACACATCATTTATTGTTTGTATGAATTCGTAGTTATTTATACTTTGAGTTATAATCCAATACTACTGTATTTTTTTCTGTTGCTCAAATTGCTATAGCTTTTGTTGAGAACTCCTTCATTTGGTTTCTTTGTCCCTGACATATCCTCATCACTGAGCGTTTTGGGGTATTTTTGTTTGTTTTGTTTTGCTTTGCTTTGCTTTAGCACTTCCTTACTTCAGCATTCCCATCCTCCTCACCCTCAGAGAGCTTGTAATGTAGTTAGATCCTTTTGTTACATTCTGCATTCTATCTGGGGATGCCCTTGACCTCTAAATAATTTTTTAAATTTTATTTGTGTGTGTATGTGTGTGACGGAGTTTTGCTCTTTTTGCCCAGGCTGGAGTGCAATGGCGCGATCTCGCTCACTGCAACCTGTGGCTCCCAGGTTAAAACGATTCTCCTGCCTCAGCCTCCCAAATAGCTGGGATTACAGGCACCCACCACCACGCCTGGCTAATTTTTTGTATTTTTAGTAGTGACAGGGTTTCACCATGTTGGCCAGGATGGTCTCGATCTCCTGACCTCGTGATCCGCCCGCCTCAGCCTCCCAAAGTGCTGGGATTACAGGCATGAGCCACCAGTCCTGGCCAATAATTGTTTTTTTTTTAATTTGCATATACTAAGGAACACTTTTTATGTTTTATAGTTCAATTGGTTTTAACATAGTATTATGTATCAAAAATTACAATATCATATAGAACATTTTCTGCACGCTTAGCAATGCCCTGTGCTTTACCACTCTCACCCCATGTTGAAACTCTGGACACCACTGATCTGTTAACTACCTCTATAATTTTGCCTTTTTCAAACTGTCATATAAACTAAGTGATGCAGTATGAAGCCATAGCCTTTTCAGCCTGGTTTATTTATGTTTATTTATTTATTAATTTAATTTTTTTTTTTGAGATGGAGTCTCGCCCTGTTGCCCAAGTTGGAGTGCAATGGTGCTATCTTGGCTCACTGCAACCTCCACTTCCCAGGTTCAAGCGATTCTTCTGCCTCAGCCTCCAGAGTAGCTGGGATTACAGGCACATGCCACCACACCCAGCTAATTTTTTGTATCTTTAGTAGAGATGGGGTTTCACCATGTTGGCCAGGCTGATCTCGAACTCCTGACCTCATGATCCACCCGACTTGGCCTCCCAAAGTGCTGGGATTACAGGCATGAGCACCCGGCCCAGCCTGGTTTATTTCACTTGACAATATATACTTTAAGACTTAGCCATGTGCTTACATGGTTTGATAACTCCTTATTTTTTATTGTTGAATAACATTCCATTGCATCAAAGTATAATAGTGTGTTTATTTGCCTAATGAAGAACATTTTGGTTGATTCCAAATTGACTATTATGAATATAGCCACTATAAACATTTACCTGCAGGTTTTTGTGTGGTCACGTGTTTAAAAAACATTCAGTAAATACCCAGAAGCATGACTGCTGGGTCAAATGATAATACTATGTTTACCTTTGTTAGAAACTGCCAAGCTCTGTCTTCCAAAGTGACTATCATTTTACATTACTATCAGCAAGGAATGAGATTTCCTGTTGTTCCATATCATCAGCAATTGGTATTTTTGGTTTTTTGGATATTAGCCATTCTAATACGTGCATATCTGGTTGTTGTTTTAATTTGCAATTCCTTAATGACAGATTATTAGAGTGTATTTTCATGTGCTTATTTGTCATCTGTATATCATCGTGGGTAAGATGTCTGTTCAGATCTTTTGCCCACTTTAAAATTAGGATGTTTGTTATTTTAGTGTTGACTTTTAAGAGTGTTTGTATATGCTGAATACCAGTCCTTTATCAGATTTTTGCTATGCAAACATTTTTCCCCAGTTTGTGGCTTGTGTTTCCATTTTCTTCACTTGTCTTTCACAGAACAGGCACTTTTAGTCTGAATAAAGTCCAACATGAAACTTTTCTTCCACAAATTGTGCTTTTGGTATTAAAGCTAAAAGCATAACCAAACCCATGTTCACATAGATTTTTCTCATGTATTTTATTCTAGAATTTTTATAGCTTTATATTGTATAGTTAGATCTGTGATCTGTTCTGAATTGATTATTGCAACATGTATAAGGTTTGTTGCTAGGTTCTTCTTTTGCCTACAGATGTATATTTGCTTCGGCATCATTTGTTGAAAATATAATTCTTTCTCCATTGAGTTGTCTTTTCACCTTTTTCAAAGATAGCTGACTATATTTGTGTGTGCTCCTTCTAGACCGTCTCTTCTCTTCCGCTGATCTGTGTATCTTATTTTAACCAATACCATGTTGTCTTGATTATGGTAGCTTTATACTAAATACTAAAACCAGGTAGCATGAGTCTTCAAACTTTGTTTCTCTTCAGTATTATCTTGCCTATTTTAGGTCTTTTTCTTTTCAACGTAGACTTTGGAATCAATTTGCTAAGAGCTATTAAATACAATTTTTATTTTTATTGCTTTTATTTTGAATCTATATATTCAGTTGACATCAAACAATATTGAGTCTTCCAATCCATGAATATGGAATATTTCTCCATTTATTTAGATCTTCTTTTAGTCTTTTATCATGTTTTGTAGATTTCTACCTATAGACTCTCTATATATTTATACATAAGTAATTCATTTTTTGGTGCTAATGAAAAAGGTTTTTGGTGCTATTGTGATTGCATCATTCTTTTTTAAATTTCTGAAATGTTTGTTTGCGGAATATAGGAAAGCAATTTATTTTATATATTAACTTTGTATCCTATTGACCTTATTGATAGTATAGATATATAGATAGATTGACCTTATTGGTGGTATTTTTATTTTTTAACATTTCTTTGGAATTTTCTCCATGGCAAACCATGTCATCTACAAATGAAGACATTTTATTTCATTCCTTTCCAATCTATAAACATTTTCCTTCTTTTTCACATATTACATCAGCTATTTCTTCCAGTAAAATGTTGAATAGGAGTTGTAAGAGAGGGCATCCTGGACTTGCTTCTAAACCTAGCAAAAACACTTCCAGTTCCTCACCATTAAGTATAATGCAGGATTTTTTGGTAGATGTTTATCAAATCAGTTACTTTTTAAGATGATATAATGCCTAAGAAGCTATGAATTCAGATGATGGATATTATTTGCAGATATTAATTCCAGTTAATTATTCTGAAATCATTCCTGTTATCCTTTACCTCAATTTAGAAGTTATGGTTTTAGTAAAAATAGACCTTGATTTACTTATTTGTGGAAATATTAGCAAAAACAAACAAAACAACCAGGGAACTGGAGGTTGAAAAAAATAGAAGTAAAACTGGCAATAAACTAGTGGTATCAACTTTGGAAAAGAAGCATCAGGAAAAGTGAAGGAGGCTGAGATGAGATAACCCTTAGGTAGTTGATGAATGTTGATAGGAAGAGATTGGAACTACTCTAATTTGCTATAACCACAGTTGAGCTAGAGGGAGTCAATATCAGTAAATCATAAAATTAGAAATGGTCTAAGTATCGAAAGAAATATTACATGCATACAAAAGTAACTCTAAACATATATATTACTCTCAGTAAAGCAACATATCAACAAAACAATCAGGGAAGTAATCTTGAAAAGTTTCTGGAAATTAGAGGAAGGTAAATAAAAATTCACCGAAAGACAATTCTCAAAAGAAGGTATTTACATGGCCAACAAACACATGAAAAAAAGCTCAACATCACTAATCATTAGAGAAATGCAAAGCAAAACCACAGTGAGATACTATCTCACGCCAGTCAGAATTGCAATTATTAAAAAGTCAAAAAACAATAGATGCTGGCAAGGTTGTGGAGAAATAGGTACGCTTTTACACTGTTGGTGGGGAATATAAATCAGTTCAACCATTGTGGAAGACAGTATGGCGATTCCTCAAGGATCTAGAACCAGAAATACCATTTGACCCAGCAATCCCATTACTGGGTATATACCCAAAGGAATATAAATCATTCTGCTATAAAGACACATGCACATGTATGTTTACTGCGGCACTATTTACAATAGCAAAGTCATGGAACCAACAACCCAAATGCCCATCAATGATAGAATGGATAAAGGAAATGTGGTACATTTACACCATGGAATACTATGAAGCCATAAAAAGAAATGAGATCATGTCCTTTGCGGGGACATGGATGAAGCTGGAAGCCATCATCCTCAGCAAACTAACACAGGAACAGAAAACCAGACACTGCATGTTCTCACTCATAAGTGGGAGGTGAACAAGAAGAACACATGGACACGGGGAGGGGAACAACACACGTCAGGGCAAGGGGAGGAAACTTAGAGGATGGGTTAATAGATGCAGCACACCACCATGGCACACGTATACCTATGTAGCAAACCTCCACGTTCTGCACATGTACCCCAGAACTTAAAGTAAAATTTTAAAAAAATTTAAAAAAGAAAACCCTAAAAGAAAAATGTCACTGTACACCACCAATTATTATTCATAAAAGAGGTATGCTGTCTTTTTTTTAAGTCCATTAATGGGCAAAATCTCCTTAGGGACTTTCATAAATGTATGCAAATTTTAACTTATCAGGTTTATTTTTCCTAGAAGGTCTTAAACTATTCAATCATAAGCTCTAGTATTATGTGGTTTTTCAAGAATATCTGGCCTGTATATGCACTGTATTTCCAGCATAGAACCTAATACTGATTTATAATTGATGCTTTAGTGCTAGTATTCATAACACAATTATTAAAATATTAAACTTGAACTAAAATTGGTAATATGTCTAAAACATTTGGAAGCATGTTTGTATTAAGTGAGATTTTTCATTTGCAGGCCATTTGCTTCGAAAATCTCTAGAAACAGAGACATTTCTGAGAGCAGAATCCTATAGTGGGTAAAGGGAATTTCCTTATATAATTATATTTAGAAGATACCAAATGGAAAATGAGTCCTTTTGCTGTTTCATTTGTTATCCTGAAAGCCTACGGCATTGACTTCAAAAATTCCAAACCCTAAATGATCAGCATTGCTACCTGACATAATAAACAATAACAACACTGAAGAATTAGACATATTGTATACTCAGTGAAAAATGAAAAATAACAGACATAAGTAAACTCAATGATACCATGCTACATTGAAAGTAAAATCTTACAGGTGAACTTATGATGAGAAACAGCAACAAAACCCCTCAAATTGACATTGCATTTTTATACTTAGAGCTATGCATGTTTTTCTAAATACAACTAAGCCATCAATTGTGAATATTTTTAAGGCATAAAATGAGTACAATGGACATGCCTAGCCTAGCATTCTTAAATTATTCAAAGTATTACCAATAATTAAAGACAATAATCATAAAGTTATCGTTTCAAAGTTTAAGGAAATTAGGTTTTAAAAGTAATAAACTGTTTACTGATAGGGAGAATAATGAATTCAATTATTTCTCTCTTCCTTTACTGACAAGGAGAGAGACATCAATGAAGCCAAGTTTGTTTTACAAAATTACAGGCAGGTGGTTGCTTGGCCAGGAGGATAATCTAAATTTCTTGATTCTTATCAAGGATTGTTTACTTTGTTCTCTACTACAAAGTTTATTTCAAAGACGTTTTGTAGAGGGAAGGGGGGAGGGATAGCATTAGGAGATATTCCTAATGCTAAATGACGAGTTAATGGGTGCAGCACACCAACATGGCACATGTATACATATGTAACAAACCTGCACATTGTGCACATGTACCCTAAAACTTAAAGTATAATAATAATAAAATTAAATTAAATTAAATAAAAAAAGACATTTTGTTGTTCCTTGTAATTCTACTTGGAACTGAGTCCATTTAGCAGAAAAGGGAATTATCCTTATCATGGCTTTAAAATAAACAATGAGTGTCATACCATTGGCAGTTTATACAGTATGATTTGAAACTCAATGCCAATTTTAAAACACAATTTAATAGACAATCACAAATTACCAAGGATTCCAGTGGAGATATACAAATGGAGTTTTGTGTTAAATAAACATAAGGCAATGTGAATAACAAAAGCATCACTTACCATGATGGACAGATTTATTATTGGCAGGAATCAAATTATTGAAGAGAACTTATAGGGGAAACCTATAGCTATCTGAATTTCCTATAAAACTCCACAGCAACTAAACAAAAACTGATGGAAGAATTTAAGTTGAACTTGGATTAAATTTTTACATGTATCCTAATGTCAGCAACAAGATTTTGGAATTAAATGTTTGTGGTTTTCAGTGTTCTTATTAATTTAGAAGTATGCCATTGTCTGCTTTGGATTAGCGAGGAAATAGAGTGCATTTTCTGGATATTGTTGTAGTATATCAACAACATTCAGCAAAAGCTCCAGCTTTAAAGACCACTATTGCACATGAAGGCAGAAGGAAGCCTGTTGCATACTGAACGTTCTAGCTGGTGATTATACACACTTAAATCCTCTTGACTGATGAATAACCACCCTCTCCATGAGAAGGCACTCCTACCGGAAGCTCGCATGTAACAGTGTTAGAGGAAAGTTACACGTAATGAACCATTGAGAGCCACTCACTCAGTTAACTCTGTTGTCAAAAAATGACATGCCCCAGTTTGATCCTCCCTTCATCCAACAAAACTTAGTACTAGCCGGGCGCGGTGGCTCACGCCTGTAATCCTAGCACTTTGGGAGGCCAAGGCGGGCGGATCCCCTGAGCTCAGGAGTTCGAGACCAGCCTGACCAACACGGAGAAACCCCGTCTCTACTAAAAATACAAAATTAGCCGGGCGTGGAGGCGCGTGCCTGTAATCCCAGTTACTCGGGAGGCTGAGGCAGGAGAATCGCTTGAACCCAGGAGGCGGAGGTTGCGGTGAGCCAAGATCGTGCCATTGCACTCCAGCCTGGGCGAAAAGAGCGAAAACTCCGCCTAAAAACAAAACAAAACAAAAAAAAACTTAGTACTAAATAGCATGATTTTAACAGGGATTAATGTTTTAATCTATATAGCGAATAATTAGCAAAACGACAACTTGAGTTTTGTTCTGTTAAATATATTAAAGACAGAATATAACTTTCTTAATGTCTGAAATAAATCTGGAAACAACAAATCTAGACATCCGCTTGGTTTGTAACTTAAGTGAAATGAGTTTAATTCGAAATTAAATAGTTGGACAAATCAAAATAGGGCAAAAACATGGAAATAACTAATTAATTTGGAAATATTTGATAGCAGAGGGGAATGGTGGTTACTCAGATCTGCACTAGGAGAAGGCTTTGCTTTGGTGGATAAAATAGCATAAAATATGTCTAATATTGAACATCAGCAATTAAATTTCATATATTTTTATAAAATGATTAGTATGGTGCTATCAATATAAACTGAAGCATGTATCTTAAAATAACCCCAGAAGAATAGACACATTGCAAAGACTGAACATGGTGTTATTTGACAAAACAAATAATGTATAGAAATTGGCTTATTTCATTTGTAGCAACTCAGCATAATTCTATGTAATAAGAGGTGTACAGAGGATAAATAAACGCAGAAATATCACAAAGCAAAGTAACTTCCTAGAACAAAGCCAGTTTTGTATATTCTTAGTGAAAATAATAATGAAGTGAAGATATATATATAAAATCATATATGTATGTATTTTAGATTATTAGTGATTATTTAGAAAAGGTCTCACAAACGTTTTAGGATATAAAAGTACTTTATAACCTAAGAGAGGCTATCATGTTATACTCAATCAATATGTACTCTAATAAGATGAACACATTTGGCTGCAGTACCATGTAAATAATAATAATAATCTCCCCTTGGAACAAGAGACGGCTTTTCATGTTTTCCTTTCATCATATCAGAGCCTGAAAAATGCCTGGACCCCTAACAGACACATTCAATAAATATTTGTTGAATGAATGAAAAAATATATGCTCTATCATATAGTCTACTTAAATTTCAATACAGTAAGAAGAGTTTAGGAGAGTTAGCTTCCATTATTCTCAATTAAAGATAGCATGTGGCCTGTATGGCAGAAATGTCTCTTCAGAATATTTTAGCCTTTGATTCTATAATGAACTCAAAAACAACTTCGATGTTAATGTCTGAAATCAGGAACTCTATTATTATGATTGTATTTCAGATTAGAGTTCAAAATCTGCTTGAGGCTGGATTATGTGCTCGGTGTGCAGAATCAGAGCAGAACCGAGATTCCTTGTCACGTCTCCAACTGGAGAGGAGGAATTTTCTTTTTTTTTTTTTTTTTTTTTTTTTGAGACGGAGTCTTGCTCTGTCGCCCAGGCCGGACTGCGGACTGCAGTGGCGGAATCTCGGCTCACTGCAAGCTCCGCTTCCCGGGTTCACGCCATTCTCCTGCCTCAGCCTCCCGAGTAGCTGGGACTACAGGCGCCCGCCACCGCGCCCGGCTAATTTTTTGTATTTTTAGTAGAGACGGGGTTTCACTTTGTTAGCCAGGATGGTCTCGATCTCCTGAGCTCATGATCCACCCGCCTCGGCCTCCCAAAGTGCTGGGATTACAGGCGTGAGCCACCGCGCCCGGCCAGGAGGAATTTTTTAGTCCCCGTCAACTGAGGGTGCTGCATTTATTCCTGGGCCTATGTAGGCAGCTTAGATTCAGCTTTTTGTGTGAAAACACATACAAATCTTGTTGCCTGGCCCTGCAACAGGAGCACTGACATCCCAGCACCTGGAGGATCTCAATACATGCAGAAATGCACTTGATAAAATTCAACATTTGTTAGTTATGGTTATAAAGATCTTAGCAAATCAGAAAGATAAGGAACACTTTCAAGTTGACAAAACCTACAGTAAATACAATACTAAATTGTGAAAGACTGATGAGTACCCCTAAGGTTGAGAACAAGGTAAGGATGTCTTTTCTCACCATTTCTATTCAACATTAGGCTGAGGTCTTAGTGAAAAGAATAAGGGAAGAAAAAGCGATAGAGGCATGCAAACTGGGAAAAACAAAACTGTCTTTATTAACAGATGTTATAATTAGCTATTTAGAAAATCTCAGAAAGGCTACAAAAATGCTAAACTGATTTAAACGTGAAATTTCCACGGTCATAGAATGCCAGGTCAACATATATATATATGTTTATATATGTTTATATTATATATATAATATATGTTTATATATATATAATCACACCCTTGTATATGAGCTAAAAATAACTGAAAATTGAAATTAAAAAACATAATACCATTTGCAATATATCAAAAACATGAAATTATTCAGAATAGATCTAGTAAAATATAAGCAAGCTTTGTGTGCTGGAAATTAAAAATCATTGATAAAAAATCAATATAAAATAAAGCAATAGAGAGATACACTATGTTTATGGAATAAAAGACTAAATATTATTTAAATCTCAATTCTACCCAAAATTCATTTATAAATTCAGTTCAATCCCTATCAAAATCCCATCAGGTATTTTTGTTGAACTGACAAGCTGATTCAAAAACTTATATGAAAATGCAAGCCTTGAGAATAACTAAAACAATATTTTAAAAGAACAAATGTGGAGGATTCATATGGTTTGACTTAAAGTCACACTATAAAGCTATAGTAAGATAAAGTTGCATTGAGATAAAGTATAGAAATGTACAGAATAATTTGGAACAGAATATAGTGTCTAAACATAGATCTACACATATATAGTCAGCTAGTATTCTACAATGATTGATTCTCAATGGTGAAAGAAGAGAGTTTTTTACAAATGATGCTTGATTAACTTGGTGACCGTATGAAAAAAGATGAGTCTTGATCTTCACCTTTCTTGTTATAAGAAATATTAAGTTGAAATAGATCAGAAGCCTGAATGTAACATGTAAAACTCTAGAACTTCTAGAAGAAAATATTTGAGAAAATCTTTATGAACATGGTTAGGAAAAGATTTCTTAGATAAGGCAAGAAAATGAGATAAATAATAAAAATTAAAAGTAGAAAAATTGGACTTCCTAAAAATTAAGAACTCCTGCTCTTAAATATCACCATTAAGAAAATTAAAAGATAATCCACAGAATGGGAGAAAATATTTGCAAATCATATATCAGATAAGGAATTTGTATCCAGAATATACAAAGAATTCTTACAACTCAAGAAGCCAAACAATTTGGTTAAAAAAATTAGGTAAAATATTTGAAAAGACACTTCACCAAAAAACAATGACAGTGATGACAAACAAAAAGATGATCAACATTATTAATCACTAGGGGAATGCAAATTAAAATCTTAAGGAAATATCACTATTTATTGGAACATTTAAAATAAAAATAAAGATAAGAAAACCAAACCATGTTCTGGTAAGGATGAACAACCCAACGCTCATATGTTTTTGATGAGCCACTTTGGAAAACAGATTAGCACTTTATGTTATAAATTAGCACTTACGTTATAAATTCATACGTGCACTTATTGTATGACTGAGGAATTCCATTTCCAGGTTTTTACCAAGGAAAATAAAAATGTATGTCTGTACAGTATCTGTACATGAATGTTTATAGCAATTTTATATGGAACAACCCCAAACTGAAAACAACTGTAGTGTCCATTAATTGGTAAATAAATAAACTCACTGGGGCATATCCATAAAATGAAATACTATTTAACCAAAAAAAAAAAAGTAATGAAGTACTAATATATATAAAGACAAGACTTACTTTAAAATGCATGATGCTAAGTAAAAATCTTAGCTTTTTACTTACTTCTTCATGTATGATTTCCTTTATATGAAATTCTAGAAAACACAAAACTACAAGGACAAAAATTCATTTAAAGATTCCCAGTCAGGAGTTCGAGACCAGCCTGGCCAACGTGGTGAAACCCTGTCTCTACTAAAAATACAAAAATTAGCCAGGCGTGGTGGTGGGCACCTGTAGTCCCAGCTACTTGGGAGGCTGAGGCAGGAGAATCGCTGGAACCTTGGAGGTGGAGATTGCAGTGAGCTGAGATCGTGCCACTGCACTCCAGCCTGGGCACAGAAGCTGGGCATGGTAGAAATATATAGATATATTTCTATATATATATCTGTATATATTTCTATATATATATCTATATATTTCTGTATATATTTCTATATATATTTGTATATATTTCTATATATATTTATATATATTTCTATATATATTTATATATATTTCTATGTATATATTTCTCTCTATATATATATTTATATATATATAGAATAGGGGCACCAGAGGAGTTTCTGGCTGGGATTGTTTTAAGGGTTGAATGTGGTAGGGCCTATGTAACTATGCTTCTATCAAAACTTGTTGAATTGTACAAGTAGAATTAGTGAATGTCACCTTCTGAAATTCTACAGTAAAGTTGAATAAAAGGAGACTTCCAAACCTGTATTTTTGAGAGCCTATTTCTGAGTCATAAGTCCAACAAAGTTTACCTTACATGGTACTCATTTGTCATGCAATCTCACCTCTTTCTGTTTTTTCACACTATCTATGGGTTGCCATCTCCATTTATTTTCTGTGAACTCCCAACACTATGCACAAGTTTTATAATTCTCCACCATGTTAACTGTAACAGAAAGCATTTTGCATTAGCTCAACTAACCATGTTCCAAAAACAGATGTTCTGTTTTATAGTATACATGTATTAATTTATATATTAATATGTTAAAATATTAATGTAATATTAATAATTATATTACTAATATATCAATAATATAAATATAAATATAACAATAATATATTAATTATGCAAGTATTAATATAAATATATTAATAAGATAAATATTAATATAAATATATTGATATTGTGTGCATATATATAAATTCTCATGACAAAATTTTGTGTAACATAAAAGGATTGGAAGAGGAAAGTGAAGATCTGTTTTTTTCCCTCCAATCAAATCCTTCAACTGGGGGCAATTGCTGTTAATACATAGTTTTCTGAACATTTGCATAAGTAGGGCAGTTGTATAGTAGGGCAACATATTTTTTGTCACATGGCATTATGTGTAAGGGAACTTAACATGTCAGCTTATATAGATGGATTTCAATCTTGTGATTGTGACATGTACGAAATAGAGCAAATATACTGTAATTTGTTTAGTCATTTCTCTATTGTTGAACACTTACTTAGGAGTTTTCCAATGTTGATAGTTTCCATTGCAGTGCCAAAATAGATCCTATTAGATGTTTATTTCTAAAGATAACAGCTAAAGTACAGGTATTATATCTTGGGCTCACCTGCTATCTAAGTAAATAGCCTATTACGTGCTACGTAGGTGCTGTACCTGTGTATGAATAAAAACACATCATAGAAATCAGCAAGGAAATCCTTCTTCTTAAACACTAGATGAAATTGCTCCAAGCTTTCACTGAACATTTTCTTGAAAATCCTCCTCAGGATTTTTCCAAATTATCTGTAGGCTTATAATTTTGTGGTCATTCTCCTCCTGCCCCCCACATTTCCTCTGATTTAACTTCGTTTCAAAATTATGCAACTGTTCTATGTGTAGGGTTCTTTTTCTAATTATTTTGCCCTATCATGTAACAAACACAGCATTTTCCTTAGTGTTCATAAAATCAAAATTCTTACTCATGCTATGTGTGTTTTAACTGAACTTACTCAAGTTTTCAAGGGCCAGAAAAAATGTGTACAACTGACCACTGTAGCACTGCTAACACCTCCAGTTGTGTGTTACCCATCCTCCTTAAAATCATAAAGTTCCTTGGCCTGGTCTGGATTCTAGCTTCAGTCTGCTGTCATCTGTTGCAGACTGCATTTCTACTCTTTCGTATTTATTATTCACCTCTTCTCTCCCTTTTCCGTTTCTTTTGTTTCAAGAAGAGCAAAAATAACAAGAACATATTTCTCCCACTGCTCTACACAGAACATTTAAGCTTCCCTCGGCTAAATTGTCTAACTACAAATTTAACCCAACACACTTTACAAACTCAAGGGCTGGGCTAAAACATAAGTGAGTAGTAGCCCATATGTAGTGGCCTACAAATGTCGGCCATTTGTAATGGCCTCACACAATTTAGTTGAAAGAGATGGTGTCCTCTTCAATCTCTGTCTGGCTGAGGGAGCAGGGAGCTCACAGTCTGATAATGTACAGACCTGTTGAGACACCAGTGGACTACCATATAATGGAAGAAGAGTCGAGGGAACACTGAGCAGGGTAGGATGAATTCTGCTTTGAGGTAGTCCCAAAGACTGCCAAGAGAAGGCAGTACCCGAAGATAAGTCACATGAGTCAGAGGTGAGGATGGTTTTCTATGAAAGGTAGAAGCCCTGTAAATTTGAGAAGCAAAATATTCTGGGAGACATCTGCTACCCTGCTGATCAAGAGTCTACTCAGTAAAATTTCACTAGTTTTTTTGACTTCAACAATAAATCATCAGCCTAATGTAGGTGGGCTCTACCATTCACAGCAAGTGCACACTACTCTTCAGGTAGACCCAAAGCACAGGAAAAGCAGAAATAGTGCCATTGCCATTATATACCTACATTATGTTACAATCCTCAGCTTCCATTTTTTTTTTTTTTTTTTTTTTTTTTTGAGACGGAGTCTCGCTCTGTGGCCCAGGCGGGAGTGCAGTGGCGCAATCTCGGCTCACTGCAAACTCCGCCTCCCGGGTTCACGCCATTCTCCTGCCTCAGCCTCCCGAGTAGCTGGGACTACAGGCGCCCACCATCACGCCCGGCTAATTTTTTTTGTATTTTTAGTAGAGACGGGGTTTCACCGTGTTAGCCAGGATGGTCTCGATCTCCTGACCTCGTGATTCGCCCGCCTCGGCCTCCCTCAGCTTCCATTTTTGAAATATTTTTTTCTGTCAACACCAGCAGTGAAAATTAGACTATGTGCACAGGTTAAACATGCATTGAAGAGCTACAAATCTGGTAACAGAAATAATAAAACATTTCAGATCTGTGAATAATTTCAGTTGTCTATTTGATTGATCAGGAGTCATGGCACAGAAAGGAAAAAAAGAAGGTAAAATTAAGGAATATGTCCAGATGAAAGAGAAGTACCACGTGCCTACCACTCCCTTTCTGCCCAAAGTGCCAACATCTCTTATTAAATAAACTGCATTTTACTCTATTTATAGAAAAGGATACTCTAGAACTAGGAACTCCATTTCTATGATACCTGGGAACAGAATAAAAAACATAACTACAAAAACTGCAATATAAAAGCTGCTGTAGAAAACAGAAAATATGAGTCAAAACATTTCAGCTGAAGAAATTCTTCCCCCAAACCAACTAGGAAGAAAGATAAACTGCAATAAAACTCTCCAGACTGAATTAAATATCCTCAAATAAGCATCTGAAGATGGTACAATTCAAGAAATTTAACACTGAAGTAATATTTTCATCTAATCTATGTAGTCCATATTCCATGTCTAGAATCACATACTGCATTTAGTTTTTCTATCTCTTTCACCTTCTTTATTCTATCAGCATTTCTCTGCCTTTCTTTATCATGGCATTGGGAGTTTTGAAAAATTCAGGCTAGTAATTTTACAGAATGTTTCTTCATTTGAGCTTGATTGATGTGTTCTCATGATTAGACTTGGTTATACAGCTGCAAGTGGAATAATGCAGCAGTGATGTGGTGTCCTTCTCGGGGTACCATATATCCCCCAAATACAAGACATCTACATACCTCTTATTGGTGAGGTTACTTTGCAGCAAAAGGTCAAAGTGTCATTTGCATTCTTCACTGTTTAGTTAGTACTTTTCTCCTTGTAATGAATAGCAGTCTGTGAAGAGACACTTTGAGAACACGCAAGCAGCCTGCTTCTCATCCAGCTCTTCCCAAAGATAAGTATTCTCCTGATACTTCTTGCCTAAATTATTTTTTACCACCATAGTTGCAAATGGTATTCCCCGCCCTGCCTCCCTCCACCCGGCCACTCCATGACTCTTCCTTTCACATGTATCAGGTGGCACACTAATTTAAAGAAATGTTCTCTTGGCTGGGCGCGGTGGCTCACGCCTGTAATCCCAGCACTTGGGGAGGCTGAGGCGGGCGGATCACGAGGTCAGGAGATCGAGACCATCCTGGCTAACACGGTGAAACCCCGTCTCTACTAAAAATACAAAAAAATTAGCCGGGGGAGGTGGCGGGCGCCTGTAGTCCCAGCTACTCAGGAGGCTGAGGCAGGAGAATGGCGTGAACCCCGGGGGGCGGAGCCTGCAGTGAGCCGAGATCGCGCCACTGCATCCAACCTGGGCGACAGCGAGACTCCGTCTCAAAAAAATAAAATAAAATAAAGAAATGTTCTCTTTTCTCCTCTGCTTATTTATCCATTTATGTATGCGCGTATCTCTTTGTTTGCTTATTATAATAGATGAATAATTTCCTACTTTATTTAATCATCCTATTTTATTTAATCGTTGCAATCCTCATTTATTTTGATAGACAAATTGTCCCTAGATTTGGTCAGCAGGAGCCCCTTCAAGCTATTGCCTATTTCTTTTTGACATGTTCCCATTGTTTTCTTGAGCACTCCCTTTCTTTCTGGCACAAAAAGGTGTTCCAGTTTCATCATGTACCTTCTTTGTCCCAGCCCTGGAACCAGACATTTCTCCAAGAGGCTCTTGTTCCTTTCAGTAGGGACAGGTATTAAAAACCATCTGGGCACAAAATTCGCTTATGGCTCTTAAGGTATTAGTGCCTCTTTTGTGGGTAGAATTAGGAAAAAATAATACATATATGTGTGTGTGTGTATATATATATATACATGTAAATATATATGTGTATTGTGCATACATATATATCTGTCTCGTACTGAGACACTGTTTGCTTAGCTACATTTGACTTAGGTGCCAGTTTCAGCCAGAATAGGAGAGGGAAGAGATGAGGGAGGAGGGAGAGTGAGAGAGAGAGAGAGATGAGAAAGAATTCCTCAGGATCACTTATAAAGTGATTTGTAGAAGCAGTGAGTAGGAATGGTTTCATTTCACTTGTGAACTCTGAGCATTAACTTTCCCCATTCATGTCTATGAATGTTTTCTGTTCAAATGCCAACCTTCAACTGGGCTTTGACGTGGAGAGGGAAGAGTTTTCAATTCATCTGCACCCATTTGCTCTTCAATGTATCCTGCATTTTACTGTATCCTAGAAAACCACTACCCAGGTACAGGTATCTGGTCTGTGCTCACTTCGCTTTAGAAATAAAAATTATAAGGTGGAATTGAGAAGATAATGTTTGAATAAATGGTTGAAGAATGCCCAGACCACCTAAGAGAAAAATGAACACTGTATAGATTATGTTATCATGCCCACAGATCACTGTGATAAATAAGACTCCATGAACAAACCTTGAATAGTGTGCACTGTTCTGTGGCCAATTCATTTGCCATTTCAAGATATCCAGCCACTCAAAGGATTTAAAGCAGGAAGGATTTCACAGGATCTATGATACAGTCTTTTGTAAAACAACTTTAGATAGTCATTTATTTTCTCATTATATTTTTAGCAAGCACAGAACAGGTGGGAAACACAGCTTAGCTGGAATGGAACAAAGGAAGATTTGATACTTTTTTAGAAGCTTTTACAATAGAATCTATACTTTAATGGATAGCGTTATGAGAGAAAATAAGATTATAATGGAATAAAAAGTGGTCTAATGTTCATCATTCAATTTAGTGGATATGTTATAAGATTATTTCTAAAATCTTTTGTAGATAAAACTAGATGCCTTTCTTGATTCTATGACTGGTATTACCCTGTCATAATTTCTGAGCCCTTTACTAAAAGTGTTTTACTGAACATACTAAAGCGTATTATGTAAAAGATAGTGAGCTATGGTGCAAGATACTATGCAACATGCCCCCCAATATTGTGACTACCTCTCCACCTATTTATACATAGAATTTACGTGGCATAAACAGATAGGCAAATACTATAATTATTATAAAATGATTTTTCAAAATCTATTTTTGTATCTAACATAATGCTAAAGAAGAACTCTGTCAAAATAAAATATTAGAATTTCATAAGTCTTTTGTGCCTAGAAATTGCTGAGATGTAAGCCTTTTTTCATGAATGCTTTCTCTACTGACTCCTCCTCCTCCTGAGTTGATGAGTACTCTGCCCCTTGCTCTTTGTGCTAAACACAGACAAGAGTGAGTGCTGGTGGTCCCTAAGAAATAACTAGATTACAAACATTGGCCGGGCGCGGTGGCTCACGCCTGTAATCCCAGCACTTTGGGAGGTCGAGGCGGGCGGATCACGAGGTCAGGAGATCGAGACCATCCTGGCTAACACGGTGAAACCCCGTCTCTACTAAAAAATACAACAAATTAGCCCGGCGCGGTGGCGGGCGCCTGTAGTCCCAGCTACTTGGGAGGCTGAGGCGGGAGAATGGCGTGAACCCAGGAGGCGGAGCTTGCAGTGAGCCGAGATAGTGCCGCTGCACTCCGGCCTGGCGAAAGAGCGAGACTCCGTCTCAAAAGAAAAATAAAATTATTGCATTATCTTTCGTAGAAGCCATAACATTCAGGGGATGGTAATTCATAGGTAGGTATAAAGTATATAAGGAAACAACAAAGAAGACACTTCTGTAGAGCTTAGAGAGAGACTAAGAAGATCCGAGACAGGAGGAGTATAAGAGAAAACAGGAAGCTGACTCGTGGATCCGAGGAAAAGCCCTAAAGATGGGTCTGAATTACAGGGACTGCAGCCAGGTGAGTGGGTAATCCTGTGTTAGAACCATCCTGAGGCTCACAGTCTTCTCACTCTGGACCAAGGTGACCATTCACTCCATCACTTGTGGTGAGGATTTGGCATTCTTTTCAGCCATCTCATCTGATTGACCAAGAGAAGGTTTCCTTTTCTTTACCTTTGCCTCATTTTTTTTTTCATGTAGACTTGTCTCAAAGCAGTGTTCAGGTCAGCAGAAAGTCCAAGAAAAGAAGAGACTTTTGACACTCATTAGGCTGAGGAGAGCTCAATTTATTAAATGTAATTGTTTTCAGTAACTATTCTTTCATACATTATTTCCTGAAAACTTTTTTCCCTCCTATCCTTTGGGGAATCCAGTTACCCTTATAATAGGCCACTGAAGTTATCCCACTGATGTTCTCTTCCCATTTTTATTTTTCATTTCAGATACTTTCTATTGTTAAACAATTACATTCACTGTTTTTTTACTGCAATTGATAATCTGCTTTTGATTTCATCCAGTATAGTTTTCATCTAAGACATTGTTTCCATGTTTGTTTGATTAATCCCGAGAAGATGATTTCACATTTTGCTCTCTCTTTCATGTCTCTCATTTGATGCTTTCCTCTACCTTTTCAAACATAGATACCTGTTTTAATGTCATTATCTACTAATTTTAGCAACTGTGTCATTGTGGGTCTGTTTCTCTTGATTGATTTTTTTCTCTTCAATATGTATCATTTTTCTGCCTATTTCTATGCCTGATATATTCTTATCGAATGCTGGACATAGTGAATTCTACCTTATTTTGTGCTGAATAGTTAAGCTTTATTCTGGGATGCAGTTAAATTACTTAGGAATAATTTGCTTGTGTTGAAGTTTGCTTTTAAGCTTTGCTTGGTAGAACCAGAGCACCTTTCAGTCTAGATAGAATTGTTTCCACATTAGTGAGACAATATCCTTCTGAGTACTCTAACTGATTCGAGGATTTTCTACCCTGGCTAATGGAAACACAAACTACTTATGACCTTATGTGAATTCTGGAGACTTTTTTGCCTTCCCTTTCTAGTGGTTTGTACCCTGGCCTTGACCATTTCCTCACATACTTGTGTTGATCAGTATTAATTGGAAGATTCAATAAATCTGCACATCCCCTGAAAATCTCTGAAGCTGTCTCTGTGGATAGTTTTCTGATCTCTGTTATTCTTCTTTGTGAATTCTTGCTGCCTTCTTTTTCCCAAACTCTCATCTCTAACATGGAGAACTTAATTTTGCAATCAATCAGCTAAATTTAATGATCAGATTTCTCTTCAGAAAAATTATTTTTGTCAGGAATCTGGAAAGTGAATTGGAATGGATAGGACTATTAGGAGATATTACATTCCAGACGAAGAATTGTGACGGCTGTGACCAAGACAGTGCAGTGAGAGTGGAGAGGAGGTCATGGATTAATCTGCTGTTTTTTGTGGGGGGCAGGGGGTAGACAACAGTTGGTTATCAATTAGTTGTGAGTAGTGAGGGGAAAAGAGAAAGGTTGGCTCCAAGGCTCTTGGCCTAGGTAATTGGTTGAGAATATGGGCTATTCATCAAAATAGGAAACACAGGAGGGAAAAGACAATGTTGAGCATGGAAGAAGGAAAATGAGCTCAGTTTCCCACATACTAAGTTTCAGATGCATGTGAGATATCCAAGGGAGAATAGATAATCAGTAAGTTGGTTCCATTCAATTTTCAGTAAGTACCTATCATATGTCAGGCATTTTGGTAGGAACTTGGAGGTGAAGGATGAATAAGACGCGGTACCTTCCATTGGTGTGGAATACAAGACATCTGAAGCAATATATAAAATTTTGGACAATGGTTGTAAGTATAAAAATTAGGAAGTGCAGATCAATAAAACAAAGGTTTTATACCCTTTCATCCATGAATAAAGCCCCCAGTACATTTTCAGAAACTTTTGGCCTCCACTTAATACAACGTTCAGGTTAGCTCTGACTCTCAGCCAAAGTAATTTTCTGCTTCTGCTTCAAAGTATAAGGTTAGAAGCAGGGAGGGAACTGCTAAAGGCAATTAATTATATTTTCAGTAGTGTGAAGTGATTGCTGACAACTTGACAAGAAAGGCAAAGAAACAAAATACAGAGAGCATAGCTAAGCTCAGCAATATAGGTCCTACATATATCAAAATCTCTGTGTTTACTGCTGTATTGCAACCCAAGATGATAATGATTTTTTACAGTGATACCTTTCCACCATCAAGAAGAATTTTCATTGTATCTGCTTATTTTACGCAATAAATGTTTGATGCAAAATGAATGCTTAATAGATTTTTATGATGATTTCTTACAAATGCTTTGTTGACTCGTTAAAACACAAAAATATATTTCTACAATACCACAAACTAGGAATACTGGTTGGAGATCGTCCAGACTTCAGTAGAAAGGTTAATTAATAAAAAGGCAGATGAGAGGCGCACATAGAACAGTGAATCCTTCTGGAGAAAGAAAAGTAGATGACATTTTAATGTATTCATTCTATGTATAATTCATCTCCATTTGTCTTGGCCATTATTGACCACGGTCATTGCGAAAGACCTGACTTAAAAATGGTCATGATCATTTAATTCTTCAAATTTACCGTTATCTCCTTTTATTCTGCATTGATTTGAGGCCTCGAATTCCAAGAAGTTCAATATAGGTGAAAAATTCAAGTGAATGTGGATGTGCTTTATGTTTAGGAATGTAAGCTTGGCAGAAGGAAGGCGTGAAGCCTGGTAAAGATGTGTATCACTTCTAATTATCTACAATTGATAAAGGGCTGGACCTATCAAAAAGCCTTCTGCCTGAGATCTGTTGAGAACTCTACGAATAATCAGATGGGGTTATAGTTTGAATGTGTCCCCCAAAGTTCATGTATTAGGAACTTAATCAGTCACCAATGCTACAGTGGTGAGAAGTGGGACCTTTAGGTACATACACACATACATACACGGTTTGTACATTGTCACTTTTCATCTTTTCATATTTTGCCTTCCATAACATGAAGAAATAAGATGAAGAAGTAAGAAAGCCCTCTCTACATGCTGGTGCCATGCTCTTAGTCTTCTGAATTTGTCAGAAATATGAGCCGATACATTTCTGTTTTGTAAATTAATTACCCAGTCTGTGGTATTCTGTTATAGCAGCATAAAATGAGCTGAGACAGATGGATAGAGAGGGAACCAAGATACACTTGTATACTCTGTTTATGGGATATCAAAACAATGTGTAGATCCTGCCTTATTTAATGATAAGTACATACATATATATATATATATATATATATATATATATATATACACACACAGTACATGATAATTTCAGAAATGTTTAACAATGTGATAAAACAAAACATCAGATAAAAGGTTTGTGAATAAAATAATTACAAGAAATATAAATGTATATTTCAGATAAAACATTGTGTTAAAATATATTAAAATATTTGAGTAAGATATTTTAAAATATGTAACTGTAAAGTATTTTAAAATGAAAAAACATGATATAAAATATAAAATACAGCAAATATTTTTTCTGGCCAATTACAGGGCAAGAAAAAGAGAACCGAGTGAAGGTAGCATTGTAAGGAAACTTAAAATATTAAAGGAACACTAGAGGCTGCATTAGAACGAATGAAGAAAAGAATTAAAGCTATAGAACACTAAATGATGTCAATGAAAACATAGGAGTCTTCCTTAGGATCCAAGGGAAAGGGACAAAGAGACAATAAGAGATAAGAAAAGGATATATATGGGGGGATAAAAATATATACCCCAAGTAAAAATCAGTGTTTCTAGAAAATAGAAAAAGAGAATAAATGAGGAGCTAAGAAAAAATGAAGAGATATTTGTCAAAGTGTACAAAATTTCAGTTAGGCAGGATGAATAAGTTGTGGAGATCTAAGTACAGAATGGTAACTATAGTTCTAAAAGTAAAATTGGAGAAAGAATCTAATATTCAATATAAGAAAACTCTCTCCACCTAAGGAAATACTGATTCAGGATATCAAAGCAGATTACTGAATAAAGACAAAATAAATAAAAAGAGAATATCACCAAGATACAAAAGGCCTCAGCTTTTTATTCTCATCACTTCCCCTATTCCAGTAATAGATACCAGGGTTCACCAGTATTTTGAGTAATATCTATCCAAACTTCAGGAACAGATAATTCCCTTGATAATTAAAATGTTTCAGAACATTTGAAGAGAAAGGCAATCTTGGAATTATGTTTATGAAGTCAGCATGACATTGCAATTCCAATTAAAAACCTGAAAATGTATGCCCAAAAGCACCAAATAAAATATTAGCAAACTGAATTGAGCGTTCTATTAAAAATGATAGTCCAGCCAGGTGCGGTGGCTCACGCCTGTAATCCCAGCACTTTGGGAGGCTGAGGCAGTGGATCACGAGGTCAGGAGATCAAGACCATCCTGGCTAACACGGTGAAACCCCGTCTCTACTAAAAATACAAAGAATTAGCTGGGCGTGGTGGCGGGCGCCTGTAGTCCCAGCTACTCGGGAGGCTGAGGCAGGAGAATGGCATGAACCCAGGAAGCGGAGCTTGCAGTGAGCCGAGATTGCACCACTGCACTCCAGCCTGGGTGACAGAGCGAGACTCCGTCTCAAAAAAAAAAAGATAGTCGATGACCACGAGAGATTCGTGGCAACAATGTGAGAATAGCTTTGTTAGTATTTTTCATCATATCATATTACTAAATAAATATCACAGTATTATCTCCAAAGATACCAAAATGCATCTGAATATATTAACATTTCTTAATTTCAATGAGTTTAATAAAGGATATGGTATGTCTTAACATAATAACTACACACACATATGCAACCCACGTACACAAGGGAACACGTGCACACATATATAAAACATATATGGCTGTATGAAGACAGATAAACATTATGCTTAATGGTGAGAAACTTGATGCATTCTCATTAACAAATTGTGTGTGTCTCCTATTACAGCCATTAGTAATTTTTTAAAATACTGATTAATATGGCAGAAAACATAATAGGTAAAAACTTTAAAAAGAAAAAAGCAACATCATTACTAATCGATAAATTTGGATTGAAGAAGTTGAAAATTGTGAAGATCAATAGAAAAGTATTAAAACAAAAACTTTCAGTATGTTTTGGGAAAAATTAATACACAAAAAGATGTAAATAAAAGTACATAAATTACTAGCCAATTAGAAAATATAACATTTATACTTAACACTTATACCTTTAATACCCAAATGAGCAGCAGGTTTTTACTTTTATACCTTTTTTCTATGCATAAAACTAAATATTCTTTTAAAACCCTCAGCTTTTCTTAAATTAACCTATACTTTTATAACTAGTTAAGCTAAAATGCCAGTTTATATCTTTTTTTGACTCAGATAATCTGACTCTTAACTTTTTATCACAGAGCAAATTTCAGGAAATGGATTGATATGATTTAGCTGTGTCTCCACCCAAATCTCACCTTGAATTGTAACTCCCACATTCCCACATGCTCTCATCTCATCAACGAGATCTGATGGTTTTTACAACTGGAGGTTTCTCTGCATAAGCTCTTTGTCTGCTGCCATCCACGTAAAATGTGACTTGCTCCTCCTTGCCTTTCGCCATGATTGTGAGGCCTTCCCAGCCACGTGGAACTGTGAGTCCAACTAAACCTCTTTCTTTTGTAAATTGTCCAGTCTCAGGTATGTCTTTATCAGCTGTAAGGAAACGGCCTAATACACAGATATATTTGAAAAATAAAACTAATAGAATTATTTATCTATTTTATCTGATATAAATATAGTTTACAGTCCCAGTAATTACATATTTTCTTCGTGCATACATTTATAGATTAATAGGGCAGAATCGGAATATATAAACTATATATGTAGTGTGTGTGTACATATATACATATATATATATGGAATATTTTCTCCTCCAAAAGAATAGAAAAGTTATTGGTAGTGTTACAAATAACTTGCACGTTGGAGTCATATGCAAGATTTACCAAAAAAAAAAAATTCTGGGAATTATGAAGAATAAAAATATTTTGAGATGCTCTGTTATTAGAAAATCAAATGCCAAAATGATGCTTATGAAATTTCTCTCTTCAAGTCTGTCTGAGCATAATCACCAAATATATAATTAGAATTCAGTCATTGGCTCTTGGTATTCATTGTTCAAACTGGCCAAAGAGCTACACAGAGAAAAGGGCATAATTTTATTTAATTTCAATAAGAATGTTTTTGTAGTCTTCTTTTGCCCTCACTTTTGTATGTAAATATTTATTCTTTCTCAACTCCAGCAACAGATACTACCTTTTGTTAGGCCAGTTTAATCTATCTAGAGGGAACTGCTTCCAAACAGGGACAGGTTGAGTATCTCTTAATCAAAATGCTTGGGACCTGAAAAATCCAAAATTGTGAATTTTTTTGAATTTTGGAGTATTTGCATATACATAATGAGAGATCTTGGGATGGGACCCAAGTCTAAACACAAAATTTATTTACATGTAGCCTCATGTTAATTTTAATTTTCTCTTGAAAGCACTGAATAAACTATGTGTTGTGTACCTGTGCTTTGGCTATGATACATTGCATGAGGTCAGGTGTAGAATTTTGTACTTGAGGCATCATATGGGCACCCAAAAAATTTCGAATTTGGGAGAGTTTTGGATTTCAGATTAAGGATGCTCATCCTTTGCCGGAATTCTACAGAAACTCAACCATACTTTTATTACTACCTTGGTGCAAAAGCAATTGCAATTTTTGGCAATGGCGAATACTGTAATTGTTTTTGTACTAACCTAATAACTACGGTTTTTATTATCCTCCTCCTTTGACATACAGAGAATATATTATTCTTCTGATATCATCTTCCATATGGCCCAAATATTTAGGAATTTCACATGATCATTTTTCTCAAAGCAAATGCATTTGTGGCCAAATTTTACAGTTATTACATAGCTAGCATGTTAACCTTGATATTATGTCACGTTTCAAATTTTGTTCCCTCTGATTTTAAACTGAATTGAGAAAAAAATAAACTTGGCTCTCTAGAAACGCAAAGAGTAAATGAGAAGTAATATGATATCGCACACTTAAAATATTTTAAAGCAGGCTTCTACTGTTACTGTTATTTTTTAGCACAAACCAAAAGTGACCATTTTCTTTGAATAAATAATAAAATTTTATATTTTAATAACATTGGCAAGCATTTTCTCATTTAAATATCTCAATTTTTAATGGAAAGTATTTCGTTTTATATAAGAGAAAAATATAAAAGGATCATGTGAGTTTATGAAAACGTCACAGATAGTGTATGATATGTTTTATGTTTATGTTTCATACTCCAAACCCAGTGGCTTTTGTGTTCAAAAACGACATTTGATTAGCAAGAGGAAATGGCCATTTTACTATTACTTATCTGGAATGGTAGCATATTCCAGATAAGTAAAGGAGAATCAGCCCCATCTTTAATACTGCCAACTGGATTTGTGTCATAAAGAGAAATTAGGGGACTAAAAAGGAAACATATAAGCCTTGTCTTTCCAGATTGGAGATGGATAAGTATATAAGGACTGACATACTATTGCTTTACAACAGTTTTCCCAGGACAAATTGAGACACCAGAAGCCAGCATATAGGTTGTGACTGATCTATTCAAATTGTTCCTAATAATGGCATCAGGGTTTTTTAAAAAAAAATTTTGTCATGCTTTAAGTTCTGGGATACACGTGCAAAACGTGCACGTTTGTCACCTAGGTATGCAGCTCAGTGCGCGTGCGCCATGTGGCGCGGCCCTGCGGGCTTTCCGTACTCCGCTCGCGGTAGGCTCCCGCCGCTATTCAGCTGTCGGGCTAATCAGCAGTCGAGGTGTGCGGCTAGGCGCGAGCTCTGCGGGAGCTCAGCCCCCGGGAGAGACCCGGCAGCGGCGCGGCGAGGACGGCGGCGCGGCGAGGACGGCGGCGCGGCGAGGACGGCGGCGCGGCGAGGACGGCGGCGCGGCGAGGACGGCGGCGCGGCGAGGACGGCGGCGCGGCGAGGACGGCGGCGCGGCGAGGACGGCGGCGCGGCGAGGACGGCGGCGCGGCGAGGACGGCGGCGCGGCGAGGACGGCGGCGCGGCGAGGACGGCGGCGCGGCGAGGACGGCGGCGCGGCGAGGACGGCGGCGCGGCGAGGACGGCGGCGCGGCGAGGACGGCGGCGCGGCGAGGACGGCGGCGGACCGGGGCAGCCCCGCGCCCTGGCCAGGTAAGCTGGGGAACCTCGGCTGCCTGACTCGCTGGCGGCGGCAGCCTTGGGCCGCCCGCGGCGCCGCGGGGACCCGGACGCGTGGGGGGCGGCGCGTAAGCTGCGGGCCAAGAGCTCCCGAGCGCTGCCCCCCGGACTCGGCGGGGCTGCGGGGAGGCCGCCGCTGGGATCTAGGGGTGCAGCCCGGCGGCCTTACGCCTCTCGGACCGGCCCATCCTCCTCCCACGATGGGCGGGCGGGTGCGGCGGGGACTAGGCGATGGCTTTCGCATCCCGGGAGGGGCTCACCGCGGCGAGGGGCCACTCTCGGCGCCGGCAAGTGGCGCTGTCTGGCGGGGCCGCCCGCTCGCGTCTCGCCGGGCTGGTCGGGCCGCTGGTGCGTTCCGCTGCCCGGCTTGGCGCCGGCATCAAGTCCCCGTGCCGGGCGGCAACTACTGAGTTTGGGATCGCCTCTGGGTTCACTTCCCTGGGAGAACTCGAGCCCGGATCTTCGCCCCTTCCCTTTCCCTGTATAATAAGGCCCAGAGGGAAAAACTCAAAAACCCCACACCTTGTTGCCCCTGGGCTGCAGGCGCCGGGTTGGGGGCACGGTGCGGACCTGCGCCTCTGCAGGGCCCCTTCTCCACGCCAGGCACTGCCTGGCAAGGCTGCTGGAGGGAGATCTGGCCGCAGATGGTGAAGGAGAACATCGAGGCCCCCGGTCCCCAAGCAGGGCTCCATGGGTCGGGCGGCGGGCCTTGGTAAGCCCAGGCTAGGGGCGAACTTCCTTTTCTCCGGGCCGACGCGGAGGGAGGGTGCGGGGAACGCCCGCGGAGGGGCCTGTCCTGCAGCACCCCAGTGGAGAGCAGAGCCTTAGAGGGGCCTGCTAGTCTTAACTTAGTATTTACTGGCAGAAGAAAGGCTTACTTTTTCAGATCTCTTCAGATAACGACCTGGCAGGCACCAGACGTAAATCTGTGGTTGAGTGCAGTCAGCTCCTAAACAGGCATGCGGTGGAGGAAGCGCCCCAAACTTGGCATCTTGTGTCTGGCACTTTGTTTTTGGGCTAAACTGCCTCTGGCGTCTTCAGCCTTCTGTGCCTCTTTGTTTTTGTTTGTTTTTCTATTTTCCTTCCTGTTTCAGAAAGGACAGTGGTTTTAGAAGTAATGACCTGAGAGCTTTGCAGGTTGAAGTGGGACAAGTTTTCCTAAGGTGCAGGTTGGCAGGTGCCAGGAGCCTGCCGGTGGCTTTTTCTCAGGCCTCTGGGTCAGGGTCCCTCCAGTGAGGTGAGGCAGGGGTTTCTCCCCTCCCAGAGGTGTGGCCACTACGCAGGGGGACAGGAACTGGGTTTCCCAGTCCGGGGAGTCCAGGATGCCCTGCACTCTGCGCTGATTCCTGGGTGACCGTGGGGGCTGCCTTCCCCCACAGCCTGGGCTGGAGAGGGTCTCCTGAGCTTAGGATCCGCGGGGCAGGAGGGCTGGGGTGACAAGGACACGTGGAACCTGCTGGGGCTCCGGGCAGTGTCCAGGGCGTGAGTAGATAAAGCTGGAGCTCGTAGCTGTGTGCTGGCAGCCCTCGGTGGGCTCTAGCAGTACTGGCAGGGGGGCCCTTGGAGTGGGCTCCCTCTCTGGGCTGGGACTGGGTGATGGCAGTAGCAATGGGGCACGAAGTCTTCCCTCTCATTTGTTAGGAAGTGTGGTCTGTGCTCCTCCCCACTGTCTGGCTCTTGGGCTGGGAGAAGCTGCAGGCTGAGTCCCACGGGGTGTGAGTGTGTGTGAGCAGGAGTGGGTGCTGGAAGGAGGTAAAGCTGGTGACCATCAGCTCCTCATTCTCTTGCACCTTGCATGTTTTCTCTGACACCGCAGACCCAAGTTGTGGCTTGCTGGTTAACTTGTTTACATAACCTTCTTAAGTAACTCTAAACTTTAAAAAAAAAAATGTTTTACAGGAATAATCGGTGGAGATGGATTGTGAAATGGAGGTGCATAAATATCCAGTTTGCCAACCGAGCTAAGAAATGCTGGATAAAAGTAAAAGGTAATTGTAAAAGACACTGATCACACCCCTGGAAGCTTAGAGATGGGATAAGACACTTTGATTTTTCCTAGACAAAACTGAGGAAGTCAGAGGAAAAACAGTTGATGGTGAGATTGGCATCAGGCTGGGCTTTGTTTGGATTGGGCCGCGGTGGCTGCAGTGAGGGCTGTTGGAGTGGGGAGAGTGGGGGTTGAGCCTGGCTGCAGAGGCCCCCTCCAGGCCTCAGCTCCTCTCCGGCACTCCTCCGTGTCCTCTGCCATGCATACCTGCCCCGGTGACTTAATAGGTGAGGGCCTCAGGTGACACCGTCGTCTGAAGTCTTGGAGAAACCTTTACTGTCCAGGGGAGGAGAGGACTGGCGGTCGGTGGGGATCGAGGCCCAGCACACATCACTGGGTGGCTTGAATGTCTTCGGCAGAGATCACATGCCCTGCCTTGCAGCCTGGTCCTTAGAGAAACGGAGAGAGCTCTGGGCCTGGGCAGCGGCCCTGGCTGTACCACTCACAGGCTGTGTGTCCTCAACGCAGTCTCAGTTCCTCACCCTTGCCAGGTGGCCGTGAGCACTGGGGACGTGGAGGCACAGGTAGGGTGTAAGGTAGTCCCTGGTGACCAGGCAGGCCTCCCAGATGTAGGTCAGGTTTGAGACGCTTGCTCACCAGGAGGCAGCCTGTGTGCCCATCGGGGGCTGGGGGTGCTCATTGTTCCCTTGGGTGGTGGTTGGCCCGAGCGCCCACAGGGAGACTTCTCTGGCTCCTTCCTTTCCCAGAGTTCCTCCCCACCCCCCTGCTGCCCACCGCCTGGGTTGGGTCCAGCTCATGTCTCAGAGCAGCCTGCTGGCACAGGCTGAGTCAGCTGTCATGGGCACTGTCGTTTCTCGCCTCTCCTGAAGCCAATCCTCCCCTCTCTCCCTGTCCAGACACACAAGGGAGGCCCGGGAGTTAGGTGACCTCAAGATCATGCAGCCAGGCTCTCTATGTGGAACCCTGCGTACTGGTGGGGTGCCATTGCTGTGTGCTTTATGATTTCTGTGCCGGCTGTGAGGTTTCCCAGGTTGGGCTGTGGGGTACCCCTGAGTCTGCAAGTTGGCCCAGGCCAGGTGTGTCACCATTGCCCAGGCCTTCAGTGGCTTTCCAGTGCTCCCTCCACATCCATGTGTCTCGGCCTGATTTTTCTCAAGTTCCCCCGCTCGCTCCCAAGAATGGCCCCTCCAGGCTCTCCTGGCTCCAGGCAGACAGGCTCATTGCCCAGATCTGCCCTGGGTTGTCCCCACCCCATCCCCACCTGTCATCTTGGCCCATGTCCATCCCGGAGATCCTAACTGAATGTAGGCTCTTTCATCTTATCCCTTGGTCCTCGGATTTGCCAGGCCACTCTTGCCTCCAGGCCTTTGCACCTGCTGTTCCCACCCCCTTGGCATCAGCCACCCCCAGATGCCCACCTGGCCGGCCCCTCACTTATTGCCGGCTCCCTGACAGCCCTACATAAATTAGCGTTACTTCCCCTTCTCTTGTTAACCTTGCTTTGTGTTTCTCCTTAGTACTCAACATTCAGTGTGTTATTTATATACTTGTTTGTTTATTGTCAGTCTCTTACCACTCAATTGTAAAAGACTTTGTTCACCTCTGGATCCCCAGTAGCTAGAAAAGTGCCTGGCACACAGCAGAGCCTTAGTGCTGTTGTTGGATGAGTGAGTGAATGAAACACGGGAGCAGTAGTCTCCTTGCAGCACATGTCCTGCTGCCTGTGCCTCCTTTTCCCGAGTCCCAGAGCTGGAACCTAGCTGTGTTCACATTTGGATCCTCCTGGAATGTAGCACAGACCCTCATTCAGTGGGCAGTCAAGAAAGAGCTTCAGAGTTGTACAGTGCAACGTCGGTTTCACATAGGCCAGAGGAGAACGTGTTTGGGAAGGTAACCAGCCCAAAGAATGAGCTTTCTTACTGTGCACTGAGATTCCTTTTTGGATTTTCAGTTGTTTGGGTTCTCTGCACCCGGGTGGTCCCTGCTGCCAAAGTCAGCGCTGCGTCTCCCTGCAGTCACCTCGGATGTGGATGCACTTTGGAAGGAGGCACCCCCACGCCCAGATTCCCTTCCCGCTCCATCTGGATCTTTCCAAACTTGTCCTGTACCTAATGTCAGACTCTGTCCCAGGGCTCTCAGCCACTCTGCTTTCCCTTCCAGAAGCCTCCTCCTGCCTGACTCTCTCCTGCGTGTGTCCTGGCCTGGTTGGAGAAGATGCTTTGGTTTTATGAGAAAGGGACTGGGAGGTCAGAAAAGAGGATGGGATTTGGAGTAACAGGAGCTCAGTTCCAGCCTGGCCCTGCCACTAATCCCTGGGGCCCAGGACCAGTCTTCTGGCTTGAGAGTCTTTCTCAGCATCTGCAATACCCGCGTGAGGCCTCTTGCCTGTGGTTGTTTTGAGGCACAGACGAGATGCAATATTGAACTGATGCGAGATATTTTATGACAGCAAGAGCTCCATGGTGTGGCTTCTCTTATTGTCCTGGGAGTTTTAAGGGTCAGGTTTGTGAGTTACAGCTACGGCCTAGTGAGAGAATGCAGAGGCGGCCTGTCATAAACTCTAAACTCTAAAGGGCTGTTTTAATGTAAGGTGGTGCATCTGTTGTTTTGTGTTTCAAGGATCAAAATTAAGAGAAAAAATACGTGGTTGAGGTACCTGCGTTGAGTGACTGTGAAAATATTTTCATCTCTAGTTGTCTGGAAACGGAAACACTCCAACATTTAAAGATGGTTTTGATGGCGAAACCACTGGAATGAAACACACATCATCGGGCAATTCTGTGTGTTGAGTTCCATCCCTCTTTGTTTATCATTTTAAATAATTTCCCGACAAATCTAGAAGGCAGGTCTTGTCTTAACTTTGCAACGAGGAGGCTGGGGACAGGTAGCTGAGCTGTGGGTTGCCTAAGAGCACTCGGCTGTGATGGGGCAGTGCTGGCCTTTGAGTCTGAGCTGGAGAGAGTGTGAGGTCCGTGTTCTGTCCCTGTCTCCTGCTGGGGCCCATTTTGTATCAGATTTGTTTTTAACAGGGTGGGCATGACTAGGACTCATGACCACTGGTGGGCACGTAAAGGTGCTAATTTTCAACACAAGCCGAGAGACTGATGGCTGGCATCGGAGAGTCGTGGAAATGCCACAGATGACGTGGGCCCTATACAGCGATGGGAAAAGGGTCTGGGAGCTAGCCCTCCAGGAAGGTGGCTGACGTGGTTGGTGGGACACTAAGGTGTTTTCCATTTTGCACTTGAAGCCAACATGGATTCTTAGCACTTCTTGTCCCTAGAATCAACTGTGCAGAGAGACGTTTGGTCGTGAAACTCTCAGGCAAAGACAGTTCTGAGGAAACTCTTATTAGTAAATAGTGAGTCGGAGAACACTATTGACATTTAGGATTTTCAGTTGAGATACATATGTACTGTCATGCATCACATGACATTGTTTTGGTGAATGATAGCATATATGACAGAGGTCCCATAAGAATATCATGGGGCTCAAAAATTCCTATTGCCTAGTGACATTGTGGTAAAGTTGTAGTGCAGTTACTTTATTTTAAAAAAATATATAAAATATTTAAAAAATAAAAATATATTTTTTTAAAATGTAGCCTAGGTATACAATGTCTATAAAGTCTGCACTAGTGTACGGACTGACTCACCCGAGCAACTTCCATTCATGGAAGGTCCATTCATGGAAAGTGCCCTAGACAGGGGCACCATGTTTTATCTTTTATAGCATATTTTAACGTTGTGCCTTTTCTATGTTTAGATACACACATTCAGCACAGTAACATGCTGCCTAGCTTTGCAGCCTAGGAGCAGTAGACTGTACCCTATAACCTAGTGTGTTGTAGTAGGTTTGTATAACGTATGTTCTATGATGTTCTCACAATGATGAAATTGCCTAATGATAAATTTCTCAGAATACATCCCTGTCGTTAAGTGACGCATGAGTGTGTGTGTGATATATATATACATATATATGCCTGTCGTTAAGTGACACGAGTGTGTGTGTGTGAGATATATATATATATATATATATATATATATATATGTATATATATATATATATATAATTTTTTTTCATTTGGTTGGTTTGGCATTCCTGGAATTGATTCTCCAGCAAGGCAGCTCTAAATATGAATTCCTCTGAACTGTTGTATCTGTTCTTAATTTAATAAACAAGTATCGTTTATGGTTTCCCGCAGTTGGTTTGATTATCAACTGTCTTGGAAAAATCCATTGTTTCAAAAATAGTAAAGCCACTAGTTGAGTAACCGCATGCATTTAGGGATGATGGATTTCTCAGGTCTCTCTGGAAGCAAGTGTGTGCATTGTACAATTAAAACACAGTTTCTGTTTCTCAGTCTTTTGGTGTAATAAGTGAGCCATGTGCTCTAGCATCTGTCTGAATTATCCGGAGCTGGTGGCAGCTGTCACGGGTGTGGTGCAGTGGGGCCAGGCGTGTGTTAGGAACTGGAAGCTCTGGGAAGCCAGGCTCTGCCTCCACGTGTGAGCCAGCTGTAGAGCGTCACTGCTCAGAGTTTGTCTTGACTCATCCCGAGAAGGGCACGTGGAGGTCTGTGTCCCATTCCTCACCAGCCACTGAGTTACTATGGATGGAGGAGATGAGATGTGTGCAACTGTTCTGCTACAGTAAAGCACGCAGTCAGTGCAGTCACCAGGGTTAGGATGTGTGAGTGTTTTACCAACCTGCCTGCTGGGTTTCAGACACCTGGCACTACCTCCAGCCTCTAACTGATTCTGGCTAGTACGCGTGAAAGCTGTCAGCTGAGTGATGAGTGGGCCGATTTTGGCCACAGGTCCCTGCACTTCCCACCTGGCCTGACTGCTAGATTCTGAGCCCCTGAGGCAGGACTGAGTGGGTCAGATTGATGGCTGATTGTCTCGGGAATGGCATTGGGTGAAGTCGAGATTTTCCTGACCCACAGCTCCTACTAGAAGTGCCTTTGTTTTGTGCATGTATTGTGAAGATTCTGCCTGTGAACTTTCTCTACCCTTTGAGTCCTAAGGTTCAGGTACCTGGAGAGGAGCGTGTCATCGTTTTGCAGGTGGGATGTGCGGTTGTTGGGGAAGACGTCTTTGTGCTGTGTTGGGTTGGAAGCTTTGAGAGCAGAAGCCCCTCCAGACCAAGAACTCCTGATTGTGTCTTTCCCTTGAGCTTTCACAGATTTCAGCTTCTAAATTAACTGCATTTTATTAAGTAATGGTTTTCTTCTTGATCACAGGCGTGCCTGTGCTTAATCAGCACTGAGGACTGGTGCTACTTCAGTTGATTTGATACACCTAGAGGCAGCCTCATCTCCAACTTGTCTTGGTTTCATTTGGGGAGCTGCCGTGGGGGACCCCTGGACTGGCAGCATTCCCACTCCTCACTTTGGCAACCCCGGCCTAACTCCTTGTATGTGTTGCTCCTTTTATCTGTCACATAGGGTGGCTTAATCTAATAGTGGAAACAAAGGGGTGCGGGACACTAACCTGGTAGGTCTCACCTTGCCCGTCATTCACCTCTCAGTCCTTTGACACTCAAGGACTCTGCAGTGGTACAACCGGGAGCAGGTACCCTTCACTTTTCTTACCCCCGAGTCCCTTTGCCTGGAGCACTGTCCATCTATCCAGCCGTGTACTCAGTAGGTATTTTCTGAGAAGCTACTATATTCCAGCTTTCTTGTTCCCAGTTTAGAGCTGGGTGGGATCAGGAGGAAGGGCATGGAAGGGGTTGCTGGAGAATGTGCAGTGGCATCAGAGCCCCATTCTGGCTCTGGGTCCAAGGCCCTCCTAGAGAGGCACAGTCTGGAAGATGTGAGAGCCCCACGGTAGGTTGGGGTGGATCATGGACCCCATCCTAGAAGAGTGGGTGGGTTTGCCCGTTCAGAGCCCAGGCCAGAAGAGCCCTCTCGGCAGAAGGGCCAGCCTGGAGTGTGGCACCCTGGGCATAGGGAGGGCCAAGTTTTTGGCAGCAGGATTATGTAGTTTGTGTAGGTCAGAGCTGGAGATGGGGGTTGGGGGGCAGTTCCTGACCATTAGGGGCTTGGTAGCCCTGGAGAGCCCTTGCTGTGGGTTGGGAGCAAAGTAGGTGGGCCAATAACAACACATATTTTACCAAGTGAATTCTAGGAGAGTGATTTCTGCAGCTGGCTTCCCTAGTGGACAGTTCAGAGCATGGGAGGAAGACGCGGTCAGGGGCGTGTTGAGAGGTGCATCCAGAGGCGAGAGGAGGGTGTGGGGAGGTATGAGCAGAAGATGTGACATGGGGTGGGGAGGGGTGCAGTGAGGACGCAGGAGGGTGGCGGGGGCAGGTGTCTGGCCGAGGCACTGCCAGCATCACGGGGAGGCTCTGGAGCCCACTCCCCACTGGGTTCTGTAGGAGGTGGCAGCTGATGCCAAGTCCCAGCCTTGCTAGTGCAGACGTTTTATTTTACCCTTCTTTTTTTTTTTTTTTTTTTTTAACAAGGATTTACAGGATTTGTAGATTAAATTGCCCCTGTTCTCCAAGAAGCAGCGGGAACAGCAGCGCTGCAGGGTGATGGGCTGCAGAGGCCTCTGCAGCAGGGTGGGGTCTGGGGAGACATTCGGGTGCCTCCTGTCCACGGCCTCGATAGGCCAGGGCGCCTGCAGCTTGGGCCCTCTTCCCCTTTCAGGTGGAGGGAGCTGTTCATCCTCTGGGGGCTGCTGGGCAAGAAACATTTCTTACGTGATAATGTGAAGCGTCAGAGGTCCCTGTTTGATAGGTAAGTTGCTGTATGTTTTGGAGCTGCAGGCAGTCTGTTTTTCTCACTAGCATGGTGTGGAGGTGGGGGACAGTATTCCCTCCCGTGAGGCCCACGTCCGCTTCATTATCCCTGTCTGCTGGGACTGCGCTGGATGCTGGCTGAGGCTGCCTTTGTTACTTCCATGCGCTGTAACTGGAAAGGCCTGCTGCTTGTTAGGCTCCTTAGAAATGTGATTTGAAGGCTGGGCACGGTGGTTCATGCTGTAATCCCAGCACTTTGTGAGGCTGAGGAGGGAGGATCGCTTAAGCCCAGGAGTTTGAGATCAGCCTGGGCAACACAGGGAGACCTCACCTCTACAAAAAAATAGAAAAATTAGCCAGATGTGGTGGCTCACGGGTGTGGTCCTAGCTACTTGGGAGGCTGAGGTGGGAGGATCGCTTAAGCCCAGGAGGTTGAGGCTGCAGTGAGTTGTGAGGGTGTCACTGCCCTCCCCTGGGTGACAGAGTGAGAACTTCTCTCTCTCAAAAAAAAAAAAAGAAGTCTGATTTGAAGGAGAGAAAGCTCCATTTGATGTGGGGGTTGGGAGTGGAGAGCACCTCTGCGATTAGACCTTTGTATCATCTTGATGATTTTAATCAGACATCTAATATTATGCTGTAGTTCATGTCAACTGATTTCCCAAACCTGAATTTCAGAGACTTCCCATGACACATCGGGCAGTGGGAGTGGGGATGGTGAGAGACTGTTAGTTATTCCAGGAAGAGAGGCCTTTTCTGATTGTCCTGCTCACCAGCACACTGAGGGGCTGGGCCGGTGACCTGATGGGCTGGGGAGTAGAGCCCTGGCTTATTTATGTGCACTTGTTTCTTTTGAACATGTCTTGTTTTGCTGGTGATTTGGCAAATAGGTTGAAACCAAGCCCTCCCCCAGTTCCTCAACCGCCTAGGACTCCACAGGTGCCTGGGAGTCCGATGGCTGGCAGGCTGCCTTTTGAAGCTTGGCCTAGTGTCCCACAGCTGTTGGTTGTCCTAGGAATCCAAGGAAAAGCTGCTGAATTCTGCGGCCCCAGGAGGATCTTTGTCCTCCTTTTGCAGAGCAGTAGGTGGATTTGCTCTGTTGAGCTGGAAGGAAGAATTTTTAGATTTCCTCTGGCTGAAGAAGTTAAAATGGAACCATCTACATCAAATCCCCACAATTGGACTTTAAAGCAAGTTTTCAGAAAAAACGGACTCGATTATTTTCTATGTGTGGAAGCAAATTCCTTGGGAACTTCTGGTGAATTTTTTTTTTTTTTTTTTTTTTGTGACGGAGTCTCACTCTGTCACCCAGGCTGGAGTGCAGTGGCACAATCTCGGCTTACTGTAAGCTCCACCTCCTGGGTTCACGCCATTCTCCTTCCTCAGCTTCCCGAGTAGCTGGGACTACAGGCGCCCGCCACCACTCCCGGCTAACTTTTGTATTTTTAGTACAGACGAGGTTTCACCGTGTTAGCCAGGATGGTCTTGATCTCCTGATCTCGTGATCTGCCTGCTTCAGCCTCCCAAAGTGCTGCAATTACAGGCGTGAGCCACCGTGCCCGGCCTAACTTCTGGTGAATTTTAAAGTGCTTGTCTATTTTGTTTTATTCTCCAATACTGAGAAGTCTTTAACAACTAGAGGCTGCTTGGGTAGGTCAAGGTCTGAGGGGCAGTGCTCCCCACCAGAGCTAATCATTAAATAGATCTGCCATCTGTAGTTTTTGTTTTGCGTTTTGAGATGGAGGTGTTGCTATGTTGTCTCTAGGCTGGACTTGAACTCCTGGGCTCAGGCAATCCTCCTGCCTCGGTCTCCTGAGTAGCTGGGACTACAGGTACATGCCACTGTACCTGGCTTGATGTCTCTGTTTTAAAAAAATTTTGCCTTCTCGCAATTATCTTGTATCTCTGGAGAAGAAAGGTGCCATTTTTCTGGCAGTGGAATTTGGAGTTGAGAAGGACCCTGGCTCCATCAACGGGGGTGGCGCCTAACATATGATAGAGCTATATAACATAGATCTTGAGATCCTTTAAATATCTGTTTCTGATTATGAAATTCAAATGTACTAATTATAAAGATTAGAACTTTACAGAAATGCATCATGTAGAATAGAAAATGAAAGCTTCCCCCTAACTTCACCACTGCCCCATTCAGTGCCCACAAAGATAATCATTGTTCACAGTTTGGTGGCGATTCCTCCCGTTTTCTTTTTCTGTCTGTGGACGTATTTTACTTGTCTTTTAAATACATACATATTTTAAAAGTATTTTTCAACAAAGTGGGATCCTACTGTAAATAAGATTTGCAGTTCGATCCGCTCACCAGCTGTGTGTCTTAGAGATGGTCCCTTGTCCTTTGCGCAAGCAGCGTTATTCTGACGCTTGCATAATATGTGACTGTTTATTTATTGAACTTTTGGGTTGTTCCGTTTTTCACACTCACGGAGAATGCTGACAGGTGGAGTCTCGTACATTAAACCCTTGCATCTGCATGGGGTTGTTTTCGTAGCATAGATTCCTAGAAGTGGACTTGCGGGGCTGAATGGTTTGGGCATTCAGAGTGTCAACAGATATTGCCAGATTGCTCTCTTGACAGGTGGTGACCATTCTAAATGATGCTAGTGTGTGGGGCAGCGGTGTCCCCACTGACACTCTCTGGACATCGACACTCTCTGGACATCGACGCTCTCTGGACATGATCAGTCTTTGTGTTTCATTCAGTCAAGTGGGTGTAAAGTGATAGCTTATTTCATTTTGTGTTTGTAAAAATTGTGAATTATAAGAAGCTGTTTCTTCTGTGCTTACTACTAATTTGAATTTCTCTTTCTAATTCTCTTTTTCATCCTTGCCTGTTTTTCTCTTGATTTGTGAAGCTTTTCCTTGTTGATTTCTAGGTGTTCTTGGTACACAGGGTTATTCCTCATTTTCTATATATATTGCGGATATTTTCTCTCAGATGCCACTTGTCCTTTGAATTTGTTTAAAGACATCTCTGGCAATGTAAAAATTTGGAAATTTTACATTGTTAAAACTATCAAGCTTGCTTTAATTACTCCTGAATTTTGTATCTTACTTAGAGAATGGGTTTCTGTACCCTAATGTATATAACCACCCTCCTGCATATTCTGCTAATACTTGATAGTCTCGATTTTTTTACATTTACATCTCTTCTTTGATCTAAAATGTATTTTAGATACGGTGTGATTTGTGGATGTAGTTTTTTTTTTTTTATAGGATTCCAACCTAATTTCCTAGTCAGCCACTTTGACCTCTCTGTTTTGGCAGGTTTGTCATGGGTTAAGTAGCTGCTGTGTTCTGAGTGTTTCTCCTGTGTTTCTGGATTCTCCATTCTAATTTACTGCTTTATTGTTGTGCCACTATCTACCGTGTAAGTTACGGTGGCTTTTGGTAAGACTTAGTTATCTTAAAGGGCCATTACCTCTTCATTCCTCTTCTTTTTTCATTCTCCGCCAACCTTTCTCCTATATTCCTTTGAATAGATAAGCCTTATTTTATTTATTTTATTTATTTTTTGAGACTGTCTTACTTTGTCACCCAGGCTGGATTGCAGCGGTGCGAACACGGCTCATTGCAGCCTTGACTTCCTGGTCTCAAGTGATCCTCCCACCTCAGCCTCCCAAGTAGCGGGGTCCACCACGCCTGGCTAATTTTTGTGTTTTTTGTAGAGGTGGGGTTTTTCCAAGTTTCCCAGGCTGGTCTTGAACTGCTGAGCTTAAGTGATCCTCTTGCCTTGGCCTCCCAAAGTTCTGGGATTACAGGCATGAGCCACCCTACCCGGCCGCTAGATAAACTTTAGAATAAACTAAATTCATCCCATATTCTGATTGGGATTTTGATTAAGGTTGCTCTGTGGGTTTTATGGTGGGGGTTGGGGGTGGGGAGAGGAGAGAGCTTTTGTATTTTCTTCTCATCCAGATTTTGATTTATGTAAAAAGTCCTTTGCCTCCATCACTGGAGCTTCATTGCTTTATTCATGCATGTTTGTGCGTCTCTCACTTCTGCTGCTGTTGTCACTGGGATCATCCCCTCCTCTTGCCTTGTTTTCTAGCTGATCATGGCTGGTCTGTAGAAAAGTTGTTGCCTTTTAAATTTGTGGACTGCCTGCCCACCTTGCTTCAGTCTCTCTGGTGATGTAAATGGTTTGTCATTCTTCCTCTCGTATTTTTTTATTGGAGAATCATTTGCCATCGTCGACCTTTCTTTTTTGTTATTTATGCCTTTTGTTATGGGGTCCATCGTGGAGGGGTGTTTGATACTAGTCCACTCTGCGATCCCTGGGGCCCTCCTCAGGAGGGCCTTTCTGCTTCATGGTCAGTGGGTTGGCTCTTTGACTGGGGGTCCCTGTAGCTCAGCAGTCCCCAGGGCAGCCGCTGTGTCACAGAGTGGAAGCAGGCCGGTGGACAGTTTAAGTGAGTTTTTTTCCCTGTGTGGCTGGGCAAGCTGGAGGAGAGGGGTCTTAGGGAGTGGTTTCTCCAGGCAAGGGCAGTGGTCTGGCGGGGGCTGTCACATGGGTACTCACCCATGGGGGCCTTAGAGGATGTGGCTTTCTCTGCTGCTTGGCCTCAGGCAGGGGGCTCAGAGGGTCTCCTCAGGTGCTATCAGTGGCTGTGGTGGTGGCAATGTCTGGGACCCATGCCAGCAAGCTGGCAGCCGCTGGTAGCCTCAGCTGCTTCCTCCAAACGTGAGGACCCCCAGGCAGTGGTGGTGGCCCCCTGGGTGCACAGGCAGATGAGGGGGTAGGGAGAAGAGGGTAGGGCACAGCCCTGGTTCTCAAAGCAGGTGGTGGGGCCAGCATGTGTGACTCAGTGGCCAAAGGGTCCATGGAGGTGGACCAAACTGGTTGAGGGGAGCCCCCACCCTGACTGTGCCAGGAGGTGCTGCCCGTGCCACCAAATTTCCACTGGGACCCATGGCCCCAGGGGAGGCCCTGGAGTCTGTGAAGCTCAGGGTCATCCTCAGTTGTTCCCTGTCATTTATGTTCTAGCGTTGACCTTGCAGTGTCCGCCCTGCAGGAGCTGCCAGTTGCTGTGAGTTCCTCGTGCTTCCTTGTGACAAGTGGTAGGGAGTGGCTACTGCTAGGTTAGATTTTGTTATTTTGCACATCATAGACTTTTTACACTAGTTTCCATCATTTTCATTTAGTCTTTGTTCAGGGTGTTAACAGCTATCAATACCAGCTAACAATGTGTTTATGGTGATGGGCATCATTTTCTCATCTTATGAGATAAAGCAGCCAACCTAGTGCCTTTTGCATGAAGGTACTGATGCTCGGGGCTTGGGACTGATGGGTGGGTGTTGCCAGGAATTCAGCCTCTTCCAACAGGAGCTGCAGGGTGGCGTGATGTGGCCCCATGTTGCCCTGTGGTGGTAGGGCAGGGGAGTGGCGCCCAGAGGCATGGGGGTGGTCAGCTTTCCAGGAAGGTGATCCAGGCCCAGGAAGGTTCGAAGTGTGATGGAGGGGAGAGGGAGAGGAGAGGGAGCCTACCGGGAGGCGTGGGTCCAAGGCCTGGGTGTTTGTTAGTTTGTCGTCTTCCCATCTGCTAGGCATCCGTTCTCTGTTGCGGTCCCCAAATGCCCCATTTCTGGCTTCATTCAGACGCAGTTCCTCTGCTCAGTGGAAGTGGAAGAGGTGGAACAGTTGTCTGTGCTGTCTTCAGAGCCGGTGGAGGCGGAGCTCGGCCAGCGTGTCACAGCCTAGTGGAAGAGCAACTAGCAAGAGAACCCGCTCTTCCCTGTGGCTCCTAGACACCTTGGTTGGAGGGTTGGCCAGGAGCAGGAGCAGGAAGAGCACTGTGGACAGAGCTGGCTCCTGGGACATGGGAGGCCTGTAGAATGCCTGCAGAATCAGCATGAGAGAGAGAGAGCGAGAGCGAGAGAGAGCGCACAAGCGCACGAGCGCGAGCGTACACAAGGCCAAGTAGCAGGCATGGCAGAGGGGAGATTCCAACCCCCTTCTGACTCTGGGGCCTATGAACTTAACCATCCAGTGGCAGGGCCTCTCAGCTGGAAATCAGTCACATGCTTCCCAGAAGGTATTTTTATGAGTCAATATACTTGACTTTGGGAATTGGCTATAAAGAGAAAATTTACTACGGGATTAAAGAAGTGTGTACTGGATTAATCTGGCAACCTCTTTTCTTTTTGAGACGGGATCTCACTATGTTGCTCAGACTGGAGTGCAGTGGTGTGATCTTGGCTCACTGCAGCCTTGACCACTTGAGCTCAAGTGATCCTCTCACCTCAGCCTCCAGAGTAGCTGGGATCACAGGCACGTGCCTCCATATCCAGCTGACTTATAAATGTTTCCTAGAGATGGGGTTTCACCATGTTGCCCAGGCTGATCTCGAACTCCTCTGCCTCCCAAAGTTGGCAACTTCTGAATGTGCTGCTCAGAGCTGCCTGTTTGCCAATGAACCAGGAATATGTTTTATACGTGAGGTTAATTTCATGTAGATAGAACACTGCTACAGGAGGCGGGGTGGGGTGATGTCAGAGAGCACTGGACAGATAATGAAGACGTCCCCTCGTCGCAGTCAAGCTGACCTCTTTTGGGGCTGTCGCCAGCTCAGTGGTGTCCACCTGCTGTCTGCAGTCTGAGAATCGGGGTGTCCTAAGCTCTCTCCAGCTCTGAAATCTTTAACTGTCTACTGGGTGTATTTGTCTGGAACCTTGCCTCCTGTCTCTGTGGTTCTGCATGTTGCCGGGTGTTTCTCAGGGACACCTGACTTTCCTGAGGGTCCCCAGCCCTGGTGGGAGAAGAGGTTGTGTGACGTCTGACACCCGGGAATTGGTGGGTCTCCATTATCTGAGGAGGGTGTACTTCCCAGGTTAGCTGGGCATGAGTTGAGTTTCAGTCGTATCCTTCCTTCCAGTTTGGGATGGGTTCTGAAATTTGTATTGCGAGTGATGAAAAAGGGGTAAGTGGCTTTTCATCTCAGTGGGGTTAGCTTTGTCGTGGACCCCTGAGCTGAGAGATGGCATGATTAGAAGTCCAGTGCCTCAACCCATGCAGTCTTCTTGAGGACTTACTTGTATCATTGTGTGTTGCTTGAAAACGAGTAATCTGTACGTTAACTTTTAGGATTCTTGGTGTGGGTGGGTTTAATATCAGCCCGTGTGCGTCATTTCCTGGGTATCACTGAGGAATGGCTCTTTGATTTTCAATTTTAAACCCTTATCTTGCCACAGTCAGTCTTTTATACAGAGCAGAGTGCTGGAGATGGGCTGCAATGACAGTGTTCCTAATGGGATGGGTTTTATTTCGAGTGAGTGGACTGTGACAACTTTTGGGTACCTTCATGTGACTCTTCTCACAATAGCCGATTTTCTTGTCGTTTAATGGAAAATTAGTAGCTGAAGCCTGTTTCACGTCTCTGCCCCCGTGGTGGCCTGGGCAGACCCTGGCTCATCTCCCAGAGCAAATGTCAGACAGGCCAGCCACAGCCCAAGGAAGTGGGGGCAAAGGGGGCGCCCCAGTGTGATCTCGAGGGCCCATGTGGTTTTGTATGGAGGGCAGAGTTGTTGTGCTGTTGGCTTTTCAGCAGGAGCCAGGCAGAGCAGCTGTCCGTGGGCTGCCCTGTTGGCCAGGGATGTTGACCAGGATGTGGAAGGAATCAGGCGGTTGCCCCCGGCGGGATGGTCATTGCGGTGTCTCTGCACCTAAGTGATTTGTTTTCACAGACATCAATGCTCAGTATTGATCAACCTCAGGATCATCAATGCTTGGAAAGGGTAGAGCTTGTGTCCCATCAGAGATGTGACTCCGAATCTGTGGGTACTCTCCCCAGGCTGACTCATAAAATGAATGGGCACCTGAGCCACTCCGTGTGATGCTGAAAACCGGGAGCACTCGGGTGACGCTTTCAGCCATGAAGTCTGCCTTTCCTCAGGGGAGTGGCCGCCGATGGTGTGTTTTCTATTTGAAGCAACTCTAAAGGGTCCCACCCAAGTTTCAGAAAGAAACTCAGGTTCTTGACATATGCAGGGGGAACCCTTTCATTTCTAAAATCTGTTAAAAATTTTACTATTGCTGAAAATATCCTCTTACGCATTTGCAGTGACACCTCCATCCTCACTGCAGTGACCCGTGAGTGCAGGCCTGTGCCCGTGACCTGGCTGGACCCTGGGGTTTTCCTGCGCCGCTGGCCCTGAGCTGCTTGTGCTGTCAACAGGGCAGCCCTCCGGGTCTGGATAAGAGGTTCTGCGTGCTCCTTACAGTTCAAAGCAGGCTTGGGCCATCTTCCCTGCCTGCTGCCTTGTCCTCCAGTAGTAAATCACGCCCCTGTCACTCCCTGATGAAGCCACTCCACTGAGATTGTTGATTTTACACTGAGGCTTCTCTTTGTGATACCCCAGGCTCGTGGTTACCCGATGGAGGAAAACTTCTGGGAGAATCGGCTGGTGAGATGCCTGACACCGCTCTCCTGGCATCTGACATCAAGGATATCTTAATTTTCTTAGTTTTTAAAAATTATGGTAAATACACAAAAGATGAAATTTACCATCTGAAATACTTCTACGTGTATGATTCTGTGGCATTAAATACACTCACAGTGTTGTGCAGCCATCACCACCATCCATCTCCAGAACTTTCTTCATCTTGCAATCTGAAACTCTGTGTCCGCTAACTCCCCTTTCCGCCTCCCCCAGCCCCTGGCAGCCACCATTCTACTTTCTGTCTCTGAATTTGACGACTCCAGGTGCCACATGTGAGTGAAATCATACAATCATTTGTCTTTTTCCAACTGGCTTCTTTGACTTAGCGTGACGTTCTCAAGGCCCACCTGTGTTGTAGCGTGCGTCAGAACTTCCTTCCTTCTTAGGGCTAACTACTGTCCCCATTGTATGGGTAGGCCACACTTTGTTTGCCGTTCATCCCTCAGACATCAAGAATATCTCACATAGTAGAAAGAGTCAAAGAATCCAATGAGGGCTTCATCTTGGCCACTCATGCTCTCTGTAGCTCCACCCTCTGCAAGGGCTGGGTGGACAGCCCGAAGCTACCTGCTTATCCTGCATTGAGCAGACGGGCCTGGTGCCGGGCGCAGAGGATGCAAACTGGAGCAGGAGCCAGTTCCTGCCCTCAAAGTGCACAGCAACATGCACTCCAGCCTGGGCAACAAGAGAGAAACTCCGTCTCAGAAAAAAAAGAAAGAAAGAAAGAAAGAAAGAAACGGGAGCTGGGGAGAGGGGGCCTGGAGACGGGAGTCCCACATGGCCCTGCCCTCCGTACCTGGCTGAGCAACGCTTTCCAGTTCTTTTCCAGGGTTGTGGATGAGGCCCCACTGCCTGCGAAGAGAGGCCCTGATAAACCATCTGTTGCTTTGTTAAAGAGGGGACACCTTATCAATGATTCACGTTTCCTTCATTTTAAGCATGAAGAAATTAATCCAAGGGCCGGGCGCGGTGGCTCAAGCCTGTATTCCCAGCACTTTGGGAGGCCGAGGCGGGTGGATCACCTGAGGTCAGGAGTTCGAGACCAGCCTGGCCAACATGGGGAAACCCTGTCTCTACAAAAATACAAAAATTAGCCAGGCGTGGTGGCGGACGCCTGTAATCCCTGCTACTAGGGAGGCTGAGGCCACAGAATTGCTTGAACCTGGGAGGCGGAGGTTGCAGTGAGCCAAGATCACACCATTGCACTCCAGCCTGGGCGACAAGAGTGAGACTCCGTCTCAAAAAAAAAAAAAAAAAGAGAAATGGATCTAAGAGGCTGACCTGGCAGCTGGAAATTCTTCCTCCCCACAGCACCTGTTGGGAACTGGGGCTAAACTCAACCGCCTTCTCCGTAGCCCCTGCCACCCACCCGGCTCTCACCTGAACCATGGGCACAGGCCGTCCTGCTCCCGGTTTTCCAGCCCCTTAATTCATCCCTCAAGGCCACAAGGAAGCAAGGAAGACGTTTCTTAACCACAAATGTGCCATGTGTTTGTGCCAAGCCCTGTCTTGGCTCCCGTCACCTACAGGGTGGAGTCCAGACTCCGTGGCATGACACAGGAAGTCCTCCCACATCTGGTCTCTGCCCACCTCTCTGCCTTCTTCCTATAATTTAGCCTTGCCAGCTCAAAGCTGGCCCCAAAGACCTCACACCCTTTTCCTTGGAACTTCTCATCTCTCCCTACACACTTGCAAAAGTACCTGCAGAAAAAATCTTGTAAAACAATCAAGACCATAACATTCACATACCTTCTATTTGGTCAGTGCAGAGACACAGATCTTTGTTCCGAAATTTGCATTTAAATGGAAAGCTTCAGAGCCTGAAAACATCTAAAATTATACCCAGGACTGACAACTGGCCTAGACTCAATGTCTTTGGAATTTGCTCTACTAAATTTGCTACCGTTTGAATGTGTTCCCTCCAAAACTCAGCTGTTTCTAATGTGAATATGATGCAAAAAGTGAAAACCTTATACATCTTTACAGCAGCCTAGAAGTAAAGATGAAGCAATCCTTTTTTTTTTTTTTTTTAAAGAATCTACAGTTACTACAACTAACTGAAAAAGTGGGAAATCTGGAGACCAACACATAGAAGAAGAAAAATGGCAGTCAAAGACTCACTCTCCAAATTGGACATTTATTTAAACCAGGGTTTCTCAGCCTCAGCGATGTGTATATACTGGGCCAGACAATTTGTGGAGGGTTCTCCTGTGTGTTGTAGGACGTTTAGTAACACCCCCTCTACCCAAGAGATGCCAATAGCACCTCCCATCATGACCAGTTGTGACAACCGAAAATGTCTCCAGATTATTTCCAAACATCCCATGGGGGGCAAAAATCTCCTTCAGTTGAAAATTACTGTGTAAACTAGAGCTACATCCTAGATCTTAGAAAAACATGTAAGCTTCCCAAGTCAGCCCTGCATACCATTGGTACGGAAATGAAATAAGAGCCTAGAAGGAAGGAAACAAAACTATAATCTTATTTAATATAAAAGTAAAAATGCAAAAATAAAACACTACCGTATGCATTCTAACAGTGTTTATTATAGAAATACAAGGATGATTCAAAATTAGGAAAATTTCATCAGGTAATTCACAGATTATATTTCTACATAGAATTGAAGGCACAATCATGAAAAACAAAGTAGCTCTTTATGCTTTAAGTCCATGGTCTATTCTGTGAAAAACACAGGTTGCAGGTGTCTTACAGAAGGAAAACTGAACACTGAACACGTATTTCTCCCATCTGCTCTTTTTCCTGAGGCTCCATGGGAATTACAGTGAAGAATAAAGATTGTATAAACACACACAATTACAAAAAAAAAGGGATGGGGTTACCAAGAGAAGAGAATTCACCTCCAATAGACAATGACAGTAAATGGGAAATGGTTAATTAATGAAGCAAAGCAAACAAAGGTGGAGGTTAGGGGGATACCGATAACAAGGAGGCTAATTTGTCCCACAGTACCCTGCAGAGGCACTAGACTCCGACACCAGGTACCCCGGAGAGTGGGACTGATAGGCAAGACTGAAAACAGATTAACCAAAAGCCTACATACAGAACACATTTTCCAGGCCCTGAAACACATTGTTCTCCCACATTTCCTTAAGCAGAACCCCAGCAAACATGTATCTACCTCAGGCAAGAGAACGTAGATTTCACCTCCAGAGGAATGGAGTAGTTCCTGCCATCATTTATGATTGCGCAAAGAGATAAGATAGAGGGGTGGGGATAACAATTGGGAATCAGCATAAATTCCCCCTAAAAACCCTTTCCCCTAAAAGCTATCAGTTGACAAGTCTTGGCCAGAAAGAACTCCCAAACTTCTTTTTTATTTATTTATTTATTTATTTATTTTTTGAGACAATGTCTCACTCTTTCGCCCAGGCTGGAATGCAGTGGCATGATCATAGCTCACTGCAGCCTCAATCTCCTGGGCTTAAGCAGTCCTCCCACCTCAGCCTCCTGAGTAGCTGGGACTACAGGCGGGCACCACCACATCCGGCTAATTTTTATTTTTTCTAGAGATGGGGGTCTCACTGTGTTGCCCAGGCTAGTCTTGAGCTCCTGGGCTCAAGTGATCCTCCCACCTCAGCCTCCCAAAGCACTGAGATTATAGATGTGAGCTACCACACCCAGCCTCCCAGTCAGTCTTTTAGTCCTTCTCTCAAATATGAATGAACAAAAGGGGGCATTTTAAAAAAGATGACAAATGATGAGCAACATAGAATAGATATTTTGGGAAAGGCTTTTGAAAGAAAACTAAGACCAAAATAAACTAAGAAAAAAATTATTAAAGAAAAAAGACCTGCTAGGGAGAGGACAAAAGAGTATCAAAATAGCTCCTTAAAGACACTTGTGAATATATTACATCTATAAAACAAAACATAAAATATGAATAAGGAGTAATCAGAGAAGAAAAAGTTCTCAGAACTCAGGCTTCATCTTTGGAGTTGGTCCCCAATGAGCCACAACTCCTGTCATTCAGGTCCTCGGAAGGGCCCATTCCACAGTGAATCAAGGTTGGCTCCGAGACTTCCTTTAACCTATAGAATGTGGTAGAAATGAAACTGGACCTGTTCTAGGTCTAAGCCTTAAGAACATCTGACAGCTTGCACTTTTGTGCTTCTGGAAGCCAAAAAGAAGAACTGACTATCCTCTTGGAGAAAGAGAAGCTACATGAAGAGGGCCAAGAGTATGAGATGCTATGTAGAAAGGCCACATGAAGAAACACCAAGGCAGCAGACCTGTGGGTGAAGAAGCCGTCTCAGACGTTCCACTGCAGCTGAGCATCCAGACGACCAGTCCCTGACACTGTCTAACTGCACAGTGAGAGCTGCCAAATGAGACCAGCAGAAAAACTGTCCAGCTAGCCCATTAACCCATACAATAGTGAGAGAGAGACAAATTTGCCGTTTTATGCCATTAAGTTTTGGGATAATTGGTTAAGCAACAATAAATAGCCAAAACAAAACTTAAAGTTACGACTAGCCAAATAAAATTTCCCAAAAGCTTGTATACACATGGTCACAGCAGCAGAATTCACATTAATCAAAAGGTAGAAACAACTCAAATGTCCCTCAGTGGATGAATGGATAAATGAAACTTAATATAGCCCTTCAGCTGCAGTGAGCCGAGATCACACCACTGCACTCCAGCCTGGGCGACGAGTGAAACTCCATCTCAAAAAGTAAAAATGAAAATAAAAACATAGCCATTCAGTGGAATATCATTCAGCCACAGAAATGAACGAAGTACTGACACGTGCTACAACAGGGATGAACCCTGAAAACATTATGTTGGTGAAATAAGCCAGACACTAAAGGGCACATATTGTCTGATCCCGTCTTTATGGAATATCCGGAATAGGCAAATCCAAAGTGAGAAAACAGATTTTTCATTGTGGGGGCTGCGGGGAGAGGGAAGAATGAGGAGTGACTGCTTAATAAGTACAGGGTCTCCTCTGGGGGCAGTGAAAATGTTCTGGAACTAAATATCAGAGGTGGTTGCACAACATTGTACTAAATGCCACTGAATTGTACACTTTAAAGTGGTAAACTTTATGTTACAAGTGTATTACTACAATTTAAAAATAATGGGAGAAGCAAGAGTAAGGAGAGCCCTCTAAGGGTCTCAAACATACTGCCCTGTGAGAGCCCCTTCACCTAAGCTCTACGGAGGTCACCCGCCAGCTTGTACTGCGCTAACCCTCCAGTGACTGACACCCAGGCAAAGTGGGAGATGACCCAGGAAGGGGCTGGGTCAACCAGGCAGCAGAGGCAGCTGCCCATCAACCACTGACACCCCCTTCTCCTGGTCACCTGCCTCACATACCAGGTGCCACTCTGGGTCCGTTTGTAGGGAAGGTGGAAGCTCCGCCGCTTACAGCCCCCAGAGCTGCAGAACTAGGGAGAATTCCATTTGGTTTTGTTCAGTTCTCAAATGAGAAAATCTTCACCAACCCTTTGTAATACCATTGCTTAGGGGCCAGCATGGCTGGTTCTTCATGTTTGCTGCAAACACCTGCAATTTTTCCATCCTGCTAACTTAAAAGCAAGAAGCCCTGTGTGCATAGTTTAATGACAGCAACCTAGTGGGGCTAAAAATCATTCACGTGGCTCTATCGAAGGCTCAAGCCTGCAGTTCTCGCAGGAGGCTTGACCTGTGACCTCTCCTGTATTCACCCAGTGGCCTCCACACTCGGCCTCGAGCCCTGCACACATTCTGAGAAAACTAGCTTGACATCTGAAAAATGAATGTAACGATGGTGCCCAAGCCAGAAGGAAATTAAATGACCAATAGTAAGTCAGCATTAGATTTCAGTTTCCAGAGGGCATTTTCTACAGTATTTAACTTCCACTCATTTACACAGGCCAGATCTCTGTTCTCCTAATACGGGGAGTCCACAGTTCCGGTCAATAAGATTAGTCCTAATAAGAAAAAAACTGAGTTAGTCTCAATGGAACTGCCTAAGGCTACAGACATTAAAACAAAGGCCTACAACTCATAATTTGCAAAACAAGTTTCACCAGATGATCTATAAAGAAGATACCAATGATCCAGTTAACTTCACTAAATCTACCTGTCTACTTTTAGGAATATACACAGTAGAATATCTGGGATATTTAAACTTGTGGAAAAGGTGAAAGGATAGCAGAAATCGCTGTTATTTGATAGTGGATTTAACGATATCTGTTTATTTTAATGACACTCACAAGGCATGACCACAGTCACTTTACTATAAGCCACAACCTGTAGGATCTGTGTTCCTTCCACTCCTGCCAAGGTGGGATCATGACCCATACAAGACCTAGGAGAGAAGGGGAGGCTCCCCCACTCCCACTCAGGATGTGGTTGTATTATTTACTCATGGCTCATTTTGGTCTTGAATGTCCTCCTGAAACCTCCCAGGGATGTGCCCACCCACCGCCCCACGACCACACACGCCAGGTCCGCAGGTCCACAGGCCTGAATGGGTGTAATCACAGCTCATCCCTACTGTGGCTACATCAAAATAGTTTTGATTTGGCCCAAAATGTTTTTGCTTCTTTGTGGGTGATACAGTTTGGATATTTGTCCCCACCTCAATCTCATATTGAAATGCAATCCCCAATGCTGGTGGTGGGGCCTGGTGGGAGGTAAGTGTCTGGATCATGGGGCAAATCTCTCATGAATGACTTGGGCCATCCTCTTGGTGATAGGTGAACTCTTGCTCTGAGTTCACAAGAGATCTGGCTGTTTACAAGTGTGTAGCACGCCCCCTGCACAGCCCCCTGATCAATCAATCTCTCTCTCTCTCCCCCATTCTCACCACGTGAAGTGCTAGAACAGCCTAATCCAGTATGATTCTGGCTACATGGGTTCAGCCTGGCTCAACTTAGCTTTAGAGGGTCCAAATTGGCTCGAGCCCGTTCATCATCCAAAAACCTTTTATTTCTTATTTCTTTTATTGTGGTAAATATACATAATGTAAAATTTATCATCTTAACCATTTTTAGGTGTAGAGTTCAGTGGCATTAAGTACATTCACACTGTTGTGCCGTCTTCACCACCATGCATCTCCAGAACTTTTCCATCTTCACAACGGAACCTCTGCACCCATTAAACACCAGCTCCCCACTCCCTGCTCTCTCCAGCCCCTGGCCACCCGCATTCTACTTCCTGTCTCTGTGACTCTACTGTGGGTGCCTCAGAGAAGTGGAATCACACAGTACTTGTCCTTTTGTGACTGGCTCTAGCAGGATGTCCTCAAGGTTTATCCATATTGTAGCCTGTGTCAGAATTTCCTTCCCTTTTCAGGGTGAATGAAATTCTATTGCATGTGAAATCCTTTTCTTTTGTACCGTGTTCGCTATGCCAGCGGCTCAGAAGAGCAAGAGGAGCCCTGACCCGCCACTGCTTTGTCTGTGGAGTGGGTTTTGAGGGCTGGGGAATGGCTGGATGACCCCCCTCTCTTGAAGATGAACACAAATATTTCTAAAAGTGGCTAGCATGCTATTGTTCACATATTTGGGACCCAATGAATGAATCAAGAGGGGGCAGACAGGCTCCAGAGGCAGAATCAGAGGCCACCTGCAAGCAGATGAGCCGAAGGACAGAGGCTGATGAGACGAGGGTAAATGAGTGATGCCGCCACACACAGCAACAGCCTCCACCCTGATGTCGCACCCGAGCAGCTCTTGGGGAGCGATGTCTCCCCACCTTAAGTCCAGCTCAGGCTCCCTGACGTGCACAGCCTGGCTGCACCCAGAGCAGACCCGGTGGGCCACCCATGGGGCAGACCCAGAAGTGAGTCAGCACCCAGTGTCTCTTAAAAGGCCCAGTGTCTCTTCAAGGCTGAGTGCGGTGGCTAACACCTGTAACCCCAGCATTTTGGGAGGCTGAGGTGGGTGGATCACCTGAGGTCAGGAGTTCTAGACCAGCCTGGCCAACATGGTGAGACCCTGTCTCTACAAAAATATGAAAATTAGCCGAGCATGATTGCGGGTGCCTGTAATCCCAGCTACTCGGGAGGTTGAGACAGAAGAACTGCTTGAGCCCGGGAGGCAGAGATTGCAGTGAGCTGAGATCACGCCATTGCACTCCAGCCTGGGCAACACAGCAAGACTCCATCTCAAAAAAAAAAAAAAAAAAACCCAGGACCAGACAGAAGCCTGGACCACAGGCAGCTGTTGACACTGCAGGAGTGGAACAGCTTCTATGAGCCTAGCCCAAACATCCTTCAGCTACAACAGTTTGGGCCTTGGCTTGGTCTCAGCTGGAGAGAGATCACCTTCTCTTCTCTGAAGGTTGACTGGGGAGTTGGGGGCAGACGTGGGTGTGGCAGGTCTTGGAGGCCTCTATAAGGCCAGGGGGCTCCATTTCATTCCACATCTCCTTTCTGCACATGTCTGAGTTGTGCGTAGTTTTCCTGAGCTGCTCATGGTATTATGTGACATAGGATTAGGAGTTATTCTTGGTCAGCCCCCTATTACCATAGTCCCTTGGGGTAAAATTCCCATGCCTGCCATCACCATAGGACTTCCTATGCATCCCACAGCCCCCTGTAAACACAGAATTGCTGTGAATGACAGGAACAGCCCCAAAGTGAAGTCAACTGACACAATGTGTTCTAGAGAGAAGACAAGACATTAAGATACAAGTGCTGAAAATCCAGGAGTCAATATGATTTCCATTCCAAACCCAAGCTCTCAGTACACAGACACACACACACACACACACACACACACACACACATTCATGAATTCTTCTCAGAAAAAAATAGTAGTTAAAGCTTTAAAAAATATGAAAGCAGTCCACATAATTGGCCAAATAGAAGTTCCTTCACCCGAGTCCAATAATCACATCTTCTATAATATATACTCACAGTGAGGCTTTTTTTTGGAAGGCGGCTTTTCAAATGTGTTTATTAGAATGCACGCTGACTTTGCTATAATTAAAATACAGTTATGCTGACATCCACTGCCCTCATTAGCATGCGTTTCTTCCCCGAGGTTTTGTCACACCGTCAAAAAATCCTTTTCCAAATAGGTATTCACAGCTGATTGCCCGTCAGGCCAAGGCCCCCCAGCTTTCAGACACCCGTCCATTGTGAAATGCACTCTGGCCCCGACCCCAGCCACCAGGCCACCCAACACTGGCCGCAGCAGTGGGTGAGCACCAGCACCCCCACGTCTTTGCCACTGCCCTGCTGGTCTGAGTACACCCCTGAGGATTGAGGGGCTCTCCCACACATACTGCCCCACCATGAGCAGACCCAGGGCAGTGGGCAAGAAATTGAACCTGTCTTCTAGGGTGGGAGGAGGGGTGTCTTCTGCGAGACACGAGTTGCCCCTCAGCCCTCAACCGGCTTTAGTCCTGAGTCTGAGCGGTGAGCTTAAGAGTGGCCGGAGCATCCACGCAACATGTCTCCCAACTGGACCAATGAAGAGCTCAGCCACCATTAGAACTGTAAGGCACCCAGCACCCCCCACCGCCTCGCTTCAGCATCTGCGAGGCCTGTACCCTGAGGTCCCTTGCTCTAGGGCCCCTCTGCTCCCTTCCCCGGGACAGCTAGAGTCCTACCTGCTCGTGAGGCCACTTCAGCCTCTCTTCTGGGGTCTGGTCTTGGACTTGAAGCCTCTCTGGGGGTCTCCGGGGTGCTTGGCCTCGGGAAGGAGGTTCAGCGACTTGGGCCTCGCCTCTTGCCTGCTGGGGCTGCAGCTGGCCTTGATGGGTGGGCAGCCCTCTGCAGAGTCCGCAGGCCCTGGCTCAGGTCCATGCTCGGGGATGGCCTCACTGGTGCTGGTGATGCTGGTCATACTCAAGCTTATCTTGATCTCTGCCACGATCTGGTCGATGTCCTCCTCCTGGTCCTCCAGGTCCCCGTCCCCGCACCTCAGGGGGTAGGCAGAAGCGCTGGTGTTCCCGTTAGCCTCCACAGGGTAGTAGTCCTGGTAGCCCTCTTTGCTGGGACAGTAGTGACCGTCTTCTTCCTGGTCGTGGGCCTCCAGGACGGAGGACACATCCTCCGTGATGGGCAGTTGGCCATCAGGGTAGTCCTGGCTACCTTTAGCCCCGTGACCATGGGGGTGCAGGCCCGCCCAGGCCGTCCAGTCCACTGCATCCTGGCACCCGTCAGTGTCCATAGGATGCGCGCCGTGGGCCAGGTACACCTGCCCATTGCAGTCCATGCCCTCCAGGTAGCTTTGGTCCTCAGGGCAGTAGCGGATGTAGTAGGGGATGCCCTCCTCCTCCTCAGGGAGGCCCTCATCATAGTCGTCCTCCTCAGAGGTGTCGTTCACGTAGTCGGAACTGGAGTCCCCATCGGGGCTGTGGTTGTGGCACTCCTGCTTCTTGGGCGTGGGGCTCTCTGGCCGCAGGGTGACCAGCTCCAGGCCCTCGGGCACATAGTCCTCCAAGGGCAGCTCCACGTCCTCGCTCTCGGGCTCCTGGTGGTGGGGGACAGGACCCGGCCTTGCCCTGTGGTCCAACATGCTGCTCCCCGCGCTCTGACGCTTCTGGTGGGCCATGGTAGACGCTTCCGGTGGGCCATGGTAGACTCTTCTGGTGGGGCATGGCGGGCGCTCACACAGCCATCATTCCCCAGAGGCAGCCACTGTGTGGAGGAACATTGGCAAGGACAGAGTCAGAACCCCACAAAGCCTGGCCACGTGTGGGGCCACTCCACCGCCACAGCACCTCCAACCACGTTCTCCCACAGCACTGTGAAAAATGATAGCTGAAGATTTTCATTGCCGCAATCTCTTAAAAAACTGGAAACAACCTAAGTACCCATAAATAAGAGAATGTTTAAAAAAATGACGGCAGAGTTCACGTGCTGGAAGAGTTGGTGGCATTTTTAAAGAGGCAGGGCAACACGTACTACAGTGAGGGATTTTACAGGCCTATTTTTGAGGGAAAATGGCAAGTGAGCTACAGCAAGCGCACGTGTGTAGATCCCAGTTACAGGTCCGTCAAGATGTCTAGAGAATACACACACCGCCCAGCCCATACATACACGCAAAGGCACACAGAAAGGGGAAACCCCTCAAAGGCTTGTCAGCCACGTCCTCTGGGGAGGGGAGGGGGGAGAGAGGTGGGAGGGGGGAGAGAGGTGGGAGGGGAGAGAGAGGTGGGAGCAGAGGGGGCCTGGACATTTTACTTTATTAAAGATGTATGTAGTGGTTGAGTGTTTCACCAAAACGCATTTAATATTCACCTGCATTATAATCAAATCCACCTGTGCACCTTTGAGGGTCTCCTCTTCTAGCTGGGGAGATATCAGCACTGAGACAAAACAACCTGTGGGGAAGGGCAGACAGCGAAGGGAGGAAGCAGGACTTCCCCCGTGGGCTGCTGCTCTGGGCATCAGGAGAGGTGACAAACAAGCTGGTCTCCTCTAGGAAGGCAGCCACTGGAGCAGAGGAGCCAGCCTCCCACAAGATCAGGACATGAGCACGCCACAGGGCACAGCCAGAGACACCTGAGACACAGGAGGCGGTGCTGACCCAAGGGAGGGCAGGACCGGGGGATGTGCCGGCCAGGACAGCCAGGGGTGCACAGGCAGGCAGTATTAATTTGGGGAAAACTAAATCATTCGGTTTCATTCAATGAGTAGTTTGCATGCAAATGTGTGTGGCGGGGGTGTGTGGTGTGTTCATGAGATACAGTGTGTGTGGTGTGTATGTGGTAAATGTGTAGTATGGTGTGGGTGTGTGGTGTTTGTGTGTGTATGGTGGTGGGACGTCCTGGAGGGTGTGGTGTGTGGAGTGTACTGTGTATGGTGTGTGGTATGTGGTGTGGTGTGATGTGAATGTGATATGTGCGTGTGGTGTGTGTGGAGTGTGATGTGTGGTGTGTGTGGAGTGTAATGTAGTGTGGAAGGCTTGAGCGTGTATGTATGTTTTGTGTGCGTGGTGTAGTGTTTGTGGTGTGTGATATGTATGCAGTGTGTGTAATGTGTGTGGTTGGTGTGTGGTGTGTATGGGGTATGTGTGTGGTGTGTATGAGGTGGGCATGGTATGTGTGTGGTGCATGTACGTATGCACACACATGCACACATGTGCACTGCAGGTGACAGGCAGACCGGCAGCTGGGACATGCAGCGGTGATCAGCTCAGCCAGGGCAGGGCTCAGGGTGAGAGTGGCCAGGCCCCTGGCAGCTCAGGACCCTGGATGAGAGTCCAGGAGGAAAGAACAAGCTGTGTCCCCATCTCCACCCAAGTTCATCACTAACATGAACCTATAGTCTGCACTGAAACTGTTCCACTTCTGATTAGAATCAGAAACACTTCCAGACAGGCTCAGCACAGCCAAGTGGGGACTGTCCTACAACGACACGGTGTAGCGGTGGGCAAAGGAATCATGGCAGCAGCTACCTTTTGTTTTTTAAAATGTGAAACCTTTCTGAATGGCTTAAGCAACATCTATTTAATTTAACAGCTCTACTGAGATGAAGAAAGAAAAAGAATACCTGCTCAGCTCCAGAGACACGTAAAGGGACAGAGATTGGGGGACAGAAGGAAGTGCATTAATTCCTTCCACGACCCCTGAAGAGCAGCGGTGGGTCTGAGCATCCTATCTCCAGGAAGCAGGCCAGCAGGCAAGCCAGCTGCCACCTCGTCCTGTGCAAAGCACAGGCACCGTCCCCAAAAGTAGGCAAATGACTATCTTATTTGTTCAGGGGAAGCAAAATGGTCCAGGGTTGGTAGCCGCGTTTTTTTCCCAACAAGACCTAACTGCTGTCATCTTTCTCTGGGACCCAGACTCCGTGAATAGAGGGAAAGGCGGCCAGCAGAACCCAAACTGTTCTGCCACAGGCTCCTCCCCACAGAGCACAGCTCAGTGCAACAGAGTCCCCAAATCCAAGATGCAGAATCCACAAAGAGAAAACCTTCTGCTCCAGAAGGTACTTACAGGAAGTCAAAATTAAAAACACATCTTCTTATGGTTCTTTTTTTCTAACATAATCCATTATTTCTTACTGCAAAACCTAGATGTTTACCATTTGTAACCAGAAATAGTTTCTCATAAAACAATCATAAAATGTAAGTTATTCAGTGACCCATCTCTCTGGAAAAGAATAACACAGTATGAAATTGAGGTATTGCCCCAAAAATCAAGACGATGGGCCCTGAAACTCTAAATACTTGAATTTTTAAGTAACTTCATATCAAGCCCATTTAATAGAAACTATGTCAAGCAGACACACTATTAGAACTGATACGAAAGTAAAATTTCAAACTGACACAGCTGTATCAAAAAAATATATAAATGAAAAGAGAAAAATTGCTTCATTGCCTTTTAGGATTTCCAAAGATGATGTTAAACCCAGCCACGGTTCTGATCTCCAGGAAAGCAATTGCTGTGGTACAAAAGGACAAGGGTTAAAAGAGAACAGTGGGAGCTCTCTTTCCCAGCTAACTCACGCAGTGTGACGCAGAGGCTTTCAGCACAGCCCAGGGTGCCCGGGACTGAAAACTCCTTCACCAGCCCCCTCCACAGGTGGGAAATACTCGGATCTTCATTCTTGTGACACAAGACCTTGAAAGTTGCTGAAAAATGCTAGTCCCGTCTGACTGGGGCAGCATTTTCATTTATTGCACACCATTGGGTTTTTTTGTTTGTTTGTTTTTGTGGCTTTATTTGTTTATTTTTTTTGAGATGGAGTTTTACTCTGTTGGCCAGCCTGGAGTGCAGTGGCACAATCTTTGCTCACTGCAACCTCTGCCTCCCAGGTTCAAGCAATTCTCCTGCCTCAGCCTCCCGAGTAGCTGGGATTACAGGTGCGTGCCACCACGCCCGGCTAATTTTTGTATTTTTTTAGTAGAGACAGAGTGTCACCATGTTGGCCAGGCTAGTCTTGAACTCCTGACCTCAAGTGACCCACCCACCTCGGCCTCCCAAAGTGCTGGGATTACAAGCTTGAGCCACTATGCCCAACCACCATTAAGATTTTGGCAGGAATCATTGTGCTAGACACCACTATCCCACCAATCACTGAGCACTTTTCATTTCCTGCCGCTGGTGCTGTTGGATACCTTACGGCAAGCTGCCGTCCCTGCCCACCCACCTGAGGACAGGAACCTCCAACTCTGCCTTGCCAGAACTGACCAGTGTGTCTGACAGATGGTGAGTCCTTTGCTGTACATGGCCCTCAAAAAAATGAGACAATTCTTTCACTCAGACCAAAGCAAGCAAATGCTGAAAGACCTTATAATGAAACATCACATTCCCCAATCTGGACTTCCCCACTCCGCTGGCCAACTTTGTCGTTTCTGATTTTAATTCTACTGGTGATTATTTTCCACCTCTCTAAATAATTTTTGAACTCTCTTTCTGGGTATATCAACTTCGGATACTATTGATTGGCGTCCCATTATGAGAGGTGAGCTTTGCAGACCACAACCTCCCAGGCTCTGATGCAAGTGAACAGAGGATGGCACCAGCTACTGCAGTTATGCAGAGGGGCTTTCCATTCTTAGCAAGAGCACTGGGATAAAAGAGATCCTTCCAAGAGCTCCCACCTAACTGTGGGAACACAGAAGCATCCTTTAAAAGCCCTGTGGTCACACAGCCTTCAGCATGCATACAGGCTCTTTTCTTAACTTTATAAAGCCCCAGATAGGCTGGTACTAACATGGTGCAACCCTGTCTCTACTAAAAATATACACAAATTAGCTGGGCGTGGTGATGGGTGTCTGAAATCCCAGCTACTCAGGAGACTGAGGCACGAGAATCACTTGAACCTGGGAGGCAGAGTTTGTAGTGAGCAGAGATCACCCCTGTATACGCCCACCTGGGTGACAGAGTGAGACTCTGTTTTAAAAAAGGAAATAAAAATTAAAGAAGTAAATAAATAAATGATGGCTTATTTCTTAATAGTTATGACTTTGTAAAGCTTTGAAATCTGCTTTACCCAGAGTGTAGCTTTTAAATAAAATGTAGGATATAGAAGGTGGGAGCCTCTTGAATGGAATGTGGGGGCTTTTCCTCTCTCCCCGTAGGATAGATATATTCTGTTTCTTGTCCCCCATTGAGTCAAGAATAATTTAACTTTTGGCATAAGAAACTGCTGAAGAAAAATAGGTTGAATAAGCTAACATTTTTCTTCTTTTTGCAGGATATAGAAGACTTAGATCACTACGAGATGAAAGCAGAGCCCATTAGTGGGAAAAAGTTGGAGGATGAAGGAATTGAAAAAGAAAATTTGGCAATATTAGAGAAATTAGGAAGACTGAAAGACAAGAGCATTTAACTGCGTAAGTGTGTATAAATAGCTAGAGCCTGGATTTTTGTTTAAGTAATTATAGTTAATCCCAGGCAATTCATGAACATGCCAATCTCAGCTGCTCTCCTCCATTCCTGCCTTAGTGGTAGATTCAGTCACATGTTTATTGGTTTTGAGACAGGGTCTTGCTCTGTCGCCTGGGCTAGAGTGCGGTGGCACAATCATAGTTCACTGAAGCCTTGATCTCCCGGGCTCCAGTGATCCTCCTGCCTCACCCTCCCAAGTGTCTTGGACTATGGGCATGAGCCACCACACCAGGCTGATTTTTTAGATTTTTAGTAGAGATGGGGTCTCACTATGTTGATCATGCTGGTCTTGAACACCTGAGTTCACGCGATCCTCCTACCTCAGCCTGCCAAAGTGCTGGGATTACAGGCATGAGCCACCGTCCCTAGCCACGGTCATATGTTCTCTTGCCCAAGGTTATCTTTCTCATCTATGAACAGCCACTTTTTACCCTGTTCATCTGCTGTTCACATCCTGGAACCACCTGCTGATCCCTGTATATGCCCCTTTCCAGCCTGTTTATGCTGTTTTCTCTGCTTACTTTCCTTCTGTGGCATCTGTATATTCACATTCATTCTCTCCTACAAAACACAACTCAAATTATTTCTCCTTCGTGAAGGTGACTTTGGTCCATCCTGCTCTGACCAAATCAAAACTAATTCTTCTCTTTTGACTTAACATCTCTTTTATGTGAAGTGGCAGGATGTGAAAGGAACACTGAGTGTGGTGACAAACACACCTTTTTTGGTTTCACTTTGCTCAACTCTAAAGTATGGATAGATAGTACATACCTTTTGGATGACTGCTGTGAAAAATCAATGAGAATGATGTGTGTGTATACATGAAATGCTCAGACAGAGTAGGGAAACGTCAGATGATTGTCTGAACACTTACTACTTCCTGCCTTGTATTAGAGCTATTTACCAACTCCATGAAAGCCGAGGACCAGTTACTTTGTCTTGGGCACAGGTTCTCCAAAACAGGGAATGAATTGTTAGGCAAGTAGATGCCAAGTGTTGAAACCAGATAGATTACTCTCCCTCCTTCAGTCTTAGTTATATATTAATTTAATTAGTAATTTTTCCCAGAGGAAAGAAATTTAGTCCATTTCTCATATCTTATTTAAAAAACTGAGTTTGTAGCATTTGAAATAATGTTACTGTACTTTCCGTGTCTTGTGATCGATTCCAGTTTGAGTTATCTTCAAAACAAGTATAAATTATTGAACACTTTTGCATGACCGATACTATGTTAAGTACTTTATACTTTATAGATGCTCTCATTTAGTCTTCATAGCCGCTGTGTGAAATAGGTGCTCTTCATAGTTTAGAGATAGGAGAAACTTCTCATATTTTATAGATAGGAAATGAGGTCATGGTTACATATCTAGGAAGTGAGATCTTCGTAAACTTGATTTTTTTTCTTTTTCAAAGTATAGTGCAGTCTTTAAAACCTTTAGTTTCACATGACTAAAAAGTAGTTCCATTTCTACTTAGTCTTAGGATAAGATATCGATGTGTTTTCATCTTTAGAGAAGTCCCCACACTGAAAAACTGAAACCAGTTGCATGTAGGTACACGTGTTTCTCAGTGTGTCAATGTGTGAACTAGACCATCTGTGTAATATTCTTGCTTGTAGTCTTATGAATGGAAGTCTCTCTTAGTCAGTAATGTGTCACCTTGAGTGTCTTCTAGCATTTTCAAAAATTGCTGGGGTTTGGAATAGACTCATACTAAATTCTGTGCTATCATGGAGTCCATGGTGGTCTGAACATGTTGGCTAGAGTTTTTCAGATGATAAGAAATAGGAAACGAACCAGACTTGTGTCTAGTTTTATATTCTCTTGAAACTTCATAATGCTTCATTTAATTGGACTTTTTTTTTTTTTTTTTTACTTCTTGAAATGTTGAGTGTTGGAAATGTTTTTATAGGTCCATCGAAATTTTTTTGTCATTTTCTTGATAGAGTGAACTCTTGCTTGATTTTTATCTTCTAGGAAAAAGCTCAAGCTTGAATAATATTGGTTGGAAAGTAAACAAGAGTAATATATTTCATTATACAGAGAATGATTGCCAAGTTGATTTTTATGACTTTTCCCCCAGTTTTGAAAGCAATATAATTAACTCTTATTGTAGATGTAGTTATGTTATTACTTTTAAAATACGTCGGTGTAGTACACCTGTAGTACAAGCTACTATGGATGGTGGGAGGCTGAGGCAGGAAGATCTTTTGAGCTTGGAGACGTTAAGGCTGCACATGAGCTGTGATTGCACCATTATATTCCACCCTGGGTGAGAGAGCGAGACACCTTGTCTCTTAAAACAAACAAACAAACAAACAAACGAAAAGGGAGTGGGGGATGGGAGTCATATTAGAAATCTATATATAGGACAGTTGTGGAAAAATACCGATTTTTTAGTGATTTAACTTTTCATAGTTCCGTCCATGGCAAATTGTTCTCCTTGAACTGCTTGACTAATAATACAAGTTTAGGAAAGCATATTAAACTTCTTTTGAATTCTTGAGAAAATTATATACATGTGACTGTTTTCCTTTAGAATGACTGCAAACTCTGAACCCCCTTATTAGATTAGATTTAGGCTATTATGATCTCTTTTGGACATTCATTCTAAAGGAGCTGGAAGCTATAGTGACCTCTGTTTTTCCTGAGGATATAGAGCAGCTTAAGATCTTCTCTTTCTTGAACTTACCCTAGGTGCTCTATTTTAGCTTTCAGATTGGTTCATTTTTGAGTTAGTTGAAAAAAAAATATCTTTTTGTTTGAACTGTTTTTTGTTTTGTGATTCTTCGGGTTGACCCTGCTAGTCCTTTGCACAGTGATCTTCAGATCTTAAAAGAAAAAGAAGGCATAGGAGATACTTTGCTTAACTTATCTTTTAAGGTAATAAAATTGTTACGGGACTCTGTTTTTCTAATGGGAGTGTATATTTGTACAAGTGTTTTGGAAAACAATTTGGTAAAGTGGAAGATACTCATACACTATGGTTCAGGAATCTTGTGGATATATACTCCACAAGAAATGAGTACATAGGCACCAGGAGACACCGGAATGTTCAGAGTAGCATCATGTATCATAACCCCAAACAGAAAGTAACCCAGGTGTTCATTCCAAGAAAATGAAGAATTGTGGTATTCATAAAATGGCTTACAGCTATGTGGGAAAGATGGACGAACCTTGAACACTATGTTAAGCGAAAGAGACCAGAGCCCCAAAACCTATTTTGTACAATTTCCTCTATATAGAGTTCAACAATAGGGAAAACTAATGTTGGTTAGGGCATACATTCTTAGTGGAGGCAATATCGCCTGCAGTGGAGTGAAAATTGGTCCTTAGAGTGAAAGAAAATCTTACCTATTATAATGGTCTGCTGCCCTCCAAAGGGCCGTATAACATAAACCGACATACAGTATATCTGTGGTGTTAAAATTCCATGGGGAGTGGGGATAGAATTAGGAAGAAAACTTCTAAAAAGGCTTCTTAGGGGGACAAAAGTGAAAAGAAAACAGAGAAACACTTATTTCTGGATTCATACTTGGGCAGTAAAACTATTAAGAACAAAGAGGTGATCACATAGAGGTTAGGGGAAGGAGTCCATCCAGGTGGGAGGTAGGGATGTGTGACCTGAAAGGGACATCTGTGGGCTTCTTGGATACTGGCTGGAATATATTTCAGGACCAGGTTGGTGGTTACATGGGCAAATAATTTACAATAACTTGTTAAGGTATACCTTCAGGTATATTTTATGTAACTTTCTGAATGTATGTGTTATATTTAATAAAGTATTTTTAAGATACTGAAAATAAAGGTTACAAAGGAATAACGATGGAATCTAGAAGAAATGTTAGTGATCTAGAAGAAATGTTAATGGAATCTAGATAAGATGTAATGGTTTAAAATCTATGGCTATATGCGGTATTTTGATGAAAAAAACAGACATAAAAGAATACTTTCTTGTACTTACTCTAAGGATGGTAGTAGTTTTCTAAAAGCTTCGTACTTAGCTTTTTGTGTGTATATTTTTGCTTGTGGATATATCTTATGATTGAACTTTCTTGATATGACCCTAATGTCAGTATTTTCTCTCACTTTTGTTATCATAGAAACTGTTGTCGTTGTCAACTGGGTTGTCTTCCTGAAGTATGAATCCGGTATGTATTGCCTGAATTTGCTAATGGCTACTTCTTTATGGATTCATACGGGGTAACGAATAAAGCACGCAGGCCTAAAACAAAAAAAACAAAACACAAAAAAACTAGGAAGGTATCTTCCTTTTTTAAAACATTAAATCATACATCCATATGCCCAACACCAAACTTAAGAAATAGAACCTTTGGCTGGGCGTGGTGGCTCATGCCTATAATCCTAGCACTTTGGGAGGCCAAGGCAGGCAGATCACCTGCGGTCAGGAGTTGAAGAGCAGGCTGGCCAACATGGTGAAACCCCTTCTCTACTAAAAATACAAAAATATTAGCCAGGCATGGTGGCGGGCGCCTGTAATGTAACCCCCGCTTCGTGGGAGGCTGAGCTGGGAGAATCACTTGAACCCAGGAGGCAGGGGTTGCAGTGGGCCGAGATTGTGCCATTGCACTCCAGCCTTGGTGACGAGAGAAACTCCGTCTCAAAAAATACATATATATAAAAGAAATAAAACCTTATCAGTACCTGTAGCACCCTGTGTGCCCCTCCCTCGTCATGTCCTCTTTGGGAGGTATCTTGAAGGAAATACGAAATCTTGGCCAGGAAACTGGAGGATTCGTGACTGCAGGTGGTGTTTTCATTATTTTTTCCTGCTTTAGCTAGAACTTCAGGGAAGGGACGATGTGGGAGGTAAATGGCTGAAACTCTATTGGATTTGTGTTTGTGGCCAATGGCTCCTGATACCAGAAAGAAGGGCCTTTTTCTGTGGTTGGAGTATTTCTTAAGAGTCCTGAGAAAAATGTGATGCCTTGAGCTAACTGACCTTCTGAAGAGGACCTTAAACTGAATTTCCAAGTTATTAGTGTCGGGATTCACAGACTTTGGAGAATAGCAGGTATGACTTGGAAAGATGTACAGGAAGGAGCCAGAACAATATATATTTATAGGCTCTGATGTCCACAGTGACAACTTGAGCACCATGAATACTAAGCAAAATGGTACTGGAGATAAAGTATAACACAAAGATGGGATTGAGGGCAGGAGGGAATGCGACCTGGTCAGCAACTTGGTAAATCCAACTTGCTATGTTTTTAAGGAAGTTGTTTTCTGATGTTACAGGCAGCATCGGAATTACTAAATTGAATTCTGAGGTAGTGCTTTAAAGAAATGCGTTCTTCTGCCCCTATTCTTTGGAATACTTACTAAGTATGCTTACTATTCCTATTCTTGGGAATACTTGGCTAAGTTCTTAGTTTTTGATATCATAAAAATTCAAAGTATTCTGTTCTAAGAGCCATTGCAAATAGTTGACTAGAATTTCAGAGCAATTACATGAGAGTAATACCAACAGAGTTTTTAAGTTACCCATAGTCCTGTATCCCTAACAAGTATGTTCATGCTTGCATGTTCTCTTCTCATGTTTACTGTGTGCATACTTTCTTAGTAATGGCATGTAGAAATTGTTTAAGCAGGAATAATTCTCGAGATAGTTTTGTATGTTTCCTTTTTTCTTTCTAAGGTATGTATTGTGTGGAGGAGCATTACGTATTGAACTTCTCACAAAACAGGTGATTATTTTCTTATAATACTCAATTTTCACCCTCAATAGAGTGTTTCGATTACGTAAGTTAGGTTGTAAGTAGAAGGTTCTCTTCAAGAAATTTTAGTGTTTTTTTTTTCATAGCTCCTACTTTCAAGAATGAAAAAGGTAACCCAGTAAAATGACACTGTACTTGGTGCTGCATCTATGCTGGGATAGGCATTAAGAGTGACCTTTATTTAAGGTTCTAATTTGCTCATGTAGGCCACTTGCAACATCCGTTTGTTGTTTTTGGTGAGATTCTGGAAATGGTCCAATTTTACTTTTTCCCCTTGACTCCAGACTTTTTAACACTGATGTGCTGCTGTTGAGGCATATGCCGTTTTGTTAGGCCTCCTCAAGTGGGAATCAGGAATGCTGCTGTTTTCTAGAGATGTTTTTTCCTTCCTGTAGGGCTGAAGCAGTGCCTACTCGACAGAACCGGTCATCGTACAAAGAAATGCCACGTGACTCAAAGGCAAAGCCAGAGTGCAGCTTGGAGCAAAGAAGGTATTTTATTAAGAATTTTCCATAAACCATAAGATATATTTTATATTACTTTGTGAGCCTTCTGCCTGTCTTGACTTAATTCTTTTTGAGAGAATTTGTTTCATTTTCATTTGGTTTGTTTTCTTCTTGTTACAAAGATGATCTATAGAAAATATAGAAGTATCATTTCTTTATTATTGCTTTTTTCCCGCCTCTGTGCCTATGCCTACCAAGTCTTTTTTTTACTTTTTATTAACTCTTTCAATCCTCTTAATAACTTAAAAAGAGGGTATTACTAATATCTGCATCTTGTGGATGAGGTAACTGAAGGTAGGTAACTTGTCCAAGGTCACAGGTGGCAGAGCAAGGATTAAAACCAGACCGTCTGGCTGCCCAAGGCCCAAGCAAGAGGAGCTGAGAGCAAGCCATTGGGGAGAAGGATGTTGGTCAGGCTGGTTTCCTGTTCAGTTACCATGAAACGCAGGCTTAACCTTAATTCTAGGACATTACCAAGAAAGCCTTGCAAAGCCATAGGTTTTTTACCATGACCATGACTTTTAGCAAGAATTTGTGGTTTAAAGGCAGCGTGGTGCTCTAAGAAGCTTCCGTTCACTCTTACAGAGGGACTGCTGGTTGAGCTAAATAGTGAAATCCTGGTGGAGCACACAGCCTTTAGGGCAGCTTGTGACCTATTTCTATGGTCAGGAAAGACACCTGTCTTTCCCTGCTGCCTACAGCCTCCAGTTATTCACCTTCAGAATTTCCTAGTCTGTGATCACATTCAGATGAGAGATCTGTTTTGTTTTTTCCAGGGTAGGAGGAAGTGAGTCATCACCTATACTAAGCAGTCTAGTCTTCTGTATATAAATGAGCAAGGTTGGGGAGCCAAATTTGAGAACCTTGTGTAATCCTGACATTCTCCAGGAGAATCCAAGAGAATATCAGGATTACGGACGGTGGTAAAGGGGTCTCTTGTTAGTTGTCCCCACAGCTCTCATCAGAAGCACGCACAGATACTTTTTCTAGGAAACCATCTCTAACTTAAGCCTGTAGGATTCCCAAAGATTAAAAGCAGGCAACTATGAATTCAGTGAAATCATAGCATTCAAGTAGTGAACCCAATATATTTGAGAATTATCAGAAACAATGAATGTTTCCCAAAGACTGTAGGTTTTGGAATTATCAGATACAGAATACAGACTTCAAATATTAGAATTGTGAGAAAATAGTTACATGTGAAATAAATGTATTATATAAGAAAAAGATGGACTCATAAAATTGAGCGAGCAGGAGCAGTAAGACCACCAGGAATGATGAGGAAGACCTGAAAGGAAAATGGATGAAATAGAACTTACAGAAATAAAATATATAGCTGGGTATGGTGTCTCACACCTGTAATCTCAGCACTTTTTGAGAGGCTGAGGCGGGAGGATGGCATAAGCCCAGGAGTTGGAGACAAGCCTGGGCAGCATGGTGAGAACTCGTTTCTCCAAAAAATACCCCACCACCACCAAAAAAAAAAGAAGAAGAAAAAAGCTGTGTATGGGGCACCTACCTGCCTATACTCCCAGCTAATCAGGAGGCTGAGGTGGGAGGATCACTTGAGCCCAGGAGGCCAGGGCTGCAGGTTCGTGCCACTACAGTCCAGCCTGGGTGACAGAGTGAGACTCTGTCTCAGAATAAAATGAAATAAGGAAATATAAAATGGAATTGTTGAAATAAGAAACCGAGTGGATGGATTAGACACCAGAAGAAAGGATTAATTGGTTAGACCATTATCTCCAAAAAGTAAGTCCATATGTTACACAGAGAGATATGAGGATAAATGACAGGGCAGAAGTTGGTGGGGTTGGCGGGGAGAGGGAGATCAGAATGAGGTCTAAAATACGTCTTAGTGGAATCCCAGGAGGAGATATTAAAATTATATTGGAAAGTGAGAGAAATGGAAGTTCTAAAGGTGACAGAAGGAAGTCCACATAAATGAGTCACAACAACTGTAAATGGACTAAAGTTACCAGTTAGACAGATGGAACTAATAAAACGATATCCAGCTGTTCTAATCCATCTTATTGAAACTATGAGGATGTGAAAAGATTGAAAGTTTTTATAAAGGAGAGAGAGAGAGAAAGATATGCCGGTATACATTAACCAAAACAACTGATGGAGCTTCAGTTTCAAACAAGATAGGATGTTGGAACACAAAGCATTAGTAACAGCTTGATGCCAACTGACTGTTAATTAGGAGGTTGTAGCAATTTTCATATTTTATGTACCTATCAAAATAGACTCAAAATACAGAGGAAAAACTGATAAAACCACAGGGAGAAATTGACGAGTCTGCCATTGTATTTGGAGATTTCAACATACCCTGCTTACCATAAGTAAGTTACACAGAATGCCCATATATAGATTTGAATAACCCGTGAATGGACGTGATGTAATGGACAAATATAGACCTCTGTACCCAATAATCAGATATTCTGTATTCTTCTCAAGCATATGTGGACTGTGGGAGAAACATTAATTATGTATTAATCCATTAAGCACGTCAGAAGATTGAAAAACAATTGGTACAATCCACACCATAAAATTGATAATTTAAATATGAAGCAGTTAAGGTTAGAAGTTAATAATGAAGAGATTAACCAAAGGCTTCATGAACTTGGAAATTAAACACCCTTGTAATTCATAGTTAAAAGAATCCAATGAAATTTTAGAATGCTTAGAATTGAACCATAGTTAAAATAGGAAACTTCTATCTACCCCTCTCTCTCGCCCTCTCCCTCCCTCCAAGGCCCAATTCTTATATTTCTGCTTGTTAATTTGCTATAGTTAATTCGGATATATACAAAGACTAAGAACAATTCCTTGAATACAGTGACAACCTGTACCTGGAATAGTCCAAAGCCTAATTACCCTGACTCCTCCACCAACAGTTCCCAAACTGGTGTACTAGAAAGTCTTCCGAATGCTCTTTGCAAAAAAAACAAAAACAAAAAAACAAACAAACCAGAAAACAACATCGTGGCCATATAAATTCATTGTTCTGAGAGGTCCCGTTGAATTTACCAAGCATTTCCCAAATTGATTTATTCATCAATAATCCCGAGGTGCTGGGATTACAGGCGTGAGCCACCATGCCCGGCCTTCCATAAGGCATGTAAAGGCACTTCCAAAGGTAGAATCAACAGACTTTCCAAAAGTCAGTGGCAAGGTCTCCAGACTCAGACCCGCCTTCAAGTTCCAACCCCCAGCAACCCAAAGGCAATGAATTGTCCTCCCAGAATAGCATCAGATAGCGATTAGAACGTGGTCCTCAAATTCTCCAGATCAACTCCAAAAACATATATACTATTAACAGGGGAAATATTGTGAACTGAAGTCTTTAACAGATAACATTAATCAAAAACATTTCTATGGGTAAACGATTATATATAAAATAGGTTTCTCACCAACAAAAGCCCCTATAATTTCAGGCTGATGACAATTTAACTTATGTTTTAAATGCATAATTATGTCAAATAAATGCATCTACAAAGGCCTGAATACAATCTCTGAGTCAAAGGTCGCCCCATCTTCTCAATGTCACATTTGATTATACGTGTATTTGAGAGAACATCACTCATTATTTGTTTTGGGAGTATAATGGAATATTATCTAATATTTTGGATATTATGGAAACTAGTTGATTGGAAGTCAATGGCACTGTTTCTGTTAAAAGAGTAGGATCCTCCTCAGTAGACAGAGACGTGTAAGAATAGTCATTGTACATCGACAGAGCGTCAGTATCAGGCAGTGGCTTCAAAGCCAAAGTGGTGGTTGGATGTAAAGTGGAATTTTAATTGGCAAAGGAGGCGGATAGTGAGCAATGTTGATTCAATAATAACGTAAAGTCCAGGAAAGCCTGTGGCTGTAAAGAATGTTGAGCCATAGAGCCCATGGGAAATAGGAAAGGGGGCCTCGAAATATTCAGAGACTCGTAGAAGGGTAGCGTAAATACCTAAGGTAATTGTGATGGCTAGTGCTTGAAGTATTTGCTTTCGACTACCTTCTATCAGGCTGTCTAGAAACTTGGAAGTTTCTTGAGGGCAAGAATGAAGTCTTTTACAGCTTGTGGTGTGCCTCTGTGTACCCAACAGGTCCTCAATAAATAATGTGTTACCCTACTTTGTCATACAATATAGGACATACTTAGCTGTACAGCACGATGTGATTTGATCACACCTAACCTATGAGTGGACAATCACAGCGTTCTATCTGTTTAAAAACAACACTCCCTATTCCCTTTCACCTTCGTAATATATGCGTTTGGTTTCTAGGAATGTTGGTTCTACCCATATGTTTTTAGGCAATAGCACAATCTGTGATGTGCCTAAGTAAAATTATACCAAGCATTCTATGGCGGCAAAGCTAATGCACTGCTCTTTGTTTCGATTAAGATTTTAGACGTTTGAAAATATAAATTGAGATATTGGACAGTGAGGGTTTTATTTTGGAGGTTGGAGGAGATTGAAATGTTGGGGTAAAACTGCTAGGCTCCTTTGGGACTTGTCTGTCAGGGTGGGGAGAATATACAAGTTAACCAAATCTTGTAAATTCTCACAGTGCTTAGTTTTGTGACTGTACAAAAACTGGCATTGTTTTTCCTGGGTCTCAGTGGAGAAACGTGAGCTGTGAGATTAACATCCTCTTTACTGTGTTTTGGCCAGGATTTTGCAAGCTTTTGTGGAGAAAATTATATTGCTTTTTTTTATCCTGTTGTAACATATATGTATATCAGTATGCTTCCTTGTGTTTTACTGTGGTAAAATTGTATCTTGCATATAGAGAAATAAGTCTATTAGAGTGAACTTTAAAAAATCTTTACTCTGAGGTGCCAGCCTTGTGTAATGAACCATATGTTTAAGCCTCGTAAATACATCACACTAGAGCCCAGCATGGTGGCGTGCGCCTGTAATCTCAGCCACTAGAGAGGCTGAGGCAGGAGTATCGCTTGAACCTAGGAGTTTCAGACCAGCCTGGGCTACATAATGAGATCCCATCTCAGTCAGTCAACCAGTCAATCAGTTACACAAAAAAGATCAAGGTCTTTCTTGCCCTTTTAGAATGTCTTTCCCAAACATTCTAACAAATGTCTCGGTGTCTCAAATAATGAAAAGGGTTTATGACAGAGTTACGGCAGTCATCAGAGAAAAATCCTGGACAGATTGCAAATGTATACCAGTTGTGAATTTCTATGACTGCAATTGAAATCCAACATTATTTTTGTACGGTCTTCTTGGGTGTATCTGTGTTTAATAACTTGTTTTCAAATTTAGAGGACTGTAGCTATGGTTTCTTCTTAGAGACCTTGACCTTGAGGGGCTCACAGTTTAATGGAAGAGAGAATTAGAAACCAAGAACTAAATGCAGAGAGTGAGGTTCTGCAGTACAGGGTGTATAGAGGGTGCAGAGCAGCACTGTGGCGCCGTGTTCTGGCCTCATCTTCTACTGCTCTAGACTTCCTGAAATGCCATTTCCTGACCCCACCTGGACCTCTCTCTGTAGGTGCTGTTCTATCTCCTTGCAAGCCTTTTCTACAGCTTAAGTGCCTGCTGAAGTTCTGTTTCTTCAGAAGCTTCTTGAAGACTGCCTGTAGCTCACCCAAATAATTGTTTTGTCTACATCTCTGTTATTTCTTTAATTACAGCCAATTCTTACTATTTGCAGGAGTAATATTCTACAAAGTTGCCTGGAACACTGAATTAATCAAATAGCAAACCCTTGTTTCCAGGGTAAATATGTACATAAATACATATGTCATATAGGTTATCATCTTAATTCCTAAAAACAACTCATCCTGGTAGATTGAATTTTCTTTCTTTCCAAAAGAATAAAGGAAGTACAGAATTGTAAGTGATTTGTCTGAGGCCACTCCACTAACAGGTGCCAGTGTTATGATTCAGACCCCGCCCAACTGGCCCCAGAGCCACAGCTTCTTGCGCTACCCTGCAGTGTCCTCTACTGTCTCTGTCCTCAGGTCATCTTTGTATGAGAGTTGAAACAAGCAGACCAAGGTCACTGTTTGACCTTAGCTTGGGACGTGTGCAAAGAGTGACAGAGTTTTCACTACTGCATGTCTATCCAGGAGCCACCTTGAAAGTGCCACAAGTATTAATTTGGGACTTAGAAAGACATTTTAGCAAGTAAGCTAATTTGAAAATATGGGATACTCCAATGATGAGGGTCAACTGTATTTGTAAGTGACTGCTAGGGTCTGTTTCATGGTAATCCCTTCCCGCAAGAATGTGGAATGTTTCTTTAGCTTCTTTGATAGTTTATTTATTCATTCATGTATTTATTAAGTCCTTATTATAAGCCAGACTCTGCTTTAATCTGTGTGAACAAGCTAGAGATTAAGGTCCTGCCCTGTGGATTTTATATTAGAGTAAGAAAGACAGATAGCTAAGTCTGGAGCTCGGGGGGGTGGGGGGCGGCGAGGCCCCGGTTGGAATTATAGATTCACTTGACCAAGGTGAAACCTGGTGTGCCCCCTCCTGCTTCACATCCACAGATATACTTCCAGAACATTTCTGTTCTATTCTTGTGTATAAAATCCTCCTTTTGAGCCTCTCTCCATTGATGCATGTCAACCTCTACCTGTCTTTTGTTGATTTTGAGGCCACTTGCCCATGTGGCTGGCAGGATATTGAAGAAGAATCATACTGACCTGGCTCTGCTACCTACCAGCTGAGTTACTTTGGTCAAGCTCTTGGACTTCTGAGCCTGTTTCCTGATTTCAAAAGTGGTGATATGATGTGTTAGGCACTGGTGGGTTGCAAGGAAGATGCACGCATGTATTCCCTTTGTGATGAGGGCCGAATGTTAACTTGGATGGAAAGTCATCCAAGCAGCCATATTGTCTCTGGCCCTAGTACTTTCAAAACCTCACAGAACATTAATTTCACAGTATTTAGGATAGGACTTGAGCTCTGAAGACCTATAGTGTGGTTATTTGTTCATATGGCTGTTTTCCATACTAGACCATGAGCTCCGTAAGGGCAGGATCTACAGTTTCATCTTTCTATCCTGGGCACTCAGTTCACTGCCTGATACACAGTAATAGAGGCACAAATGTTTCAAAAGTTGAGGAATTTTCAACACTTCCTGAAAGAATAGGAAGATATAAAGGCTTCTCAGAGAAGGTATTATTTAAGCTTTTCTTTTTCTTTTTCTTTTTCTTTTTCAGATGATGTCTCACTCTGTCACCCAAGATGGAGTGCAATGGCACGATCTCAGCTCACTGCAACCTCTGCCTCCCAGGTTCAAGCAATTATCCTGCCTCAGCCACCCGAGTAGCTGAGATTACAGGCCTCTGCCACCATGCTCAGCTATTTTTTGTATTTTTAGTAGAGACGGGGTTTCACCATGTTGGGCAGGCTAGTCTTGGAACTACTGACCTCAGGTGATCCGCCCACTTTGGCCTCCCGAAAGTGCTGGGATTACAGTCATGAGCCACCATGCCCAGCCTATTTATTTCTGATTCTTTAAGGGTGAGTAGAAATTTTTTCCAGGTGACTAAAACCTTGAGACATTATTCCAAGCAGAGACCAGCGGGGCAGAGACACGGGGATATAGAGATGTTGAAGTTTACCAAACACTGCTAGATTTAAAAAACAGAAAAGAAACAATCAAAATCAAAAATTAAAATTAAAAATCACCTAAAAAAAAAGAAACTGTTAATGGGCTTGTCCAAAGGTGACGTCACAATTGAGTTAACTATGACCATAGACACACAATAATGGATGGAAGTTTTGGGGAAAAAACATAACATTCTCAGGTTGTTGGCAGAGTATCTAGAACAATTTAGAAATACAGATATTGAATTCTGGGAATAATTACACTGTAGTGAAATCATTTCCTTCTCTGCGTATGAAGCATGTATGTGTGGCACACTGTTCAAGGTGCTGAAAATCAGACTCTTCTCAAGGAGCTCATGAGCAATCAAGGGAGATGGATGGGTGAGCCACTGATTATCATGTGACAAGTGGGGTAATAGAGATATGACTAAAATGCTATCCAAAGAAGAAGAAAGGAATTATTCATAGTATATGGAGTGCTGGGGAAAGAGTTCTGAAATGAAGCCGGCCGGGTGTGATGGCTCACACTTCCACTACCTGACCTCAGGTGATCCACCAGACTCGGGCTCCCCAAAGTGCTGGGATTACAGGTGTGAGCCACCGCACCCAGCCCAAAAGCTTTGTGTTTTTACGGATATTAACCATGTTTCCTGTTTAAAAAGAAAAAACAGCAACAATGTAGGAGAATAAGAGAAACATTTTTCCAAAAAAGAAATCATTTTGATTATTTTATCTCATTGGAATGTTGGATAATATAGTCTGCTTCATTAATCATCAAGCATGCTGTGGATTTCCCACTTTTATAGGATCTGTATCTCAGTTCAGGTAATACTGGTAATTTTTATACAGTATTTGAAGATGAAAAATATAGGCCAAAATGACAGACCTTGCATAGAAGCTGGTTAATGAAGACAGCTCTGGAGGAACACATGGATACACACAGAGAGACACACACATATATATAAAGTATACACACATATGATTTTTAAAGTTTTAAGGGTTTTAAAGCAAAAGCCAGCCCCTCCACTCTCCCAGAGCGGGCGGCCCCTCCCCTCTCTCAGAGTGGGTGGGGACAGCGGTTGCATGGGCAGCTTTCCTGATGAGCCACAGGTCCCTCTGGACACACTGCCGCCTGGCCACGCCCCCTTTCCCTGTCATCTTTCTCGTTGGCCAATGGGCTTGAAGCATTAAGGCCACGCCCCTATTCTGCATTCTACTGTGGCCCTGGTTACGCTGCCTCTGGGTCAGTTACGCAGCTGTCTTCCAGGTGACTGGATGTGTTGATCAGCGCTCGCTGGGATTTGGCTGACGTGGCCCCAGCCCCGCCTCCCTCCCCACCCCACAATGGCAGAAGAAACTGGACAGAGTAAATTAGCTGCAGCCAAGAAAAAGGTAAAGACGTACCGGGTCATGGCCCGCTAACCCAGCCACAGATCCCCTCCGACGACAAGACCGCTGCCACAGTCCATACTACTCCTGACGCACACCGGACTTTGCCCCCCAACCCCGGCGCTTCTGGGCTCCCCCTACAAAAGTCTTGTCAGTCAGCCCTGCCCCTTCAGCAAACAGCTCAGTCCCTGCCCTCGCCGATCACCCCGGGGTGACGTTGGGCGGGTGACTCCTGGGGCGCCCCACTCCATTACTGGGCCCTCACCTCTTGCCGCCCCAAGTTGGACCTCCCTGGGCTCTTTGGGCTCGCATATCCAAGGACCTGGGCCCCCCAGCCCCAGGCCCCGCCCTCGCCAGTTGTCCCTGGGTGACTTTGGGCTGGTGACTCCTGGGGCTCCCTGCTGCAGACTCTGCCCTCCCCTCCTGCTGCCTCAAGGTCGACCTCCCTGAGCTCTTTGTGCTGGCGTCTCCAAGGACCTGGGTCACAACCCTGTGTTTCCCTCCCGCGTTGTGGAGTGGAGACTCGGACATCGCGCTGATGTGGTCCCTCCCCCGCACTAGGAGGAGTGGAATGTAGTGATGTCACAGTCTGCCTACTAACTGTCATTACTGGAAGACTGGCCCTGGTCTTATGACCCAGTCCCCTAAACGTTGTCACCCCGTTTCTGGTTCTTCTGGTCACAGCAGAAATTTCCAGCTGGAAGGGAAATGGAGACTATGGGACCTGGGAGCAAGAGGTTTCAGGCTGCCTTACTCCCTTACCATAGACATTGACAGTGGGAAAAGCCTACACTTCCCCCGTGAGCTCAAAACGTTGACAGTGTCTCTGGGTGGCGATGGGAGAATGGGTTTGGTTTGGTTTTTCTCCCAAGCTTCTACTTTCCAAAGAGATTTTAACATTTTTTTCCGAGTTCTCCACCTCATATTCTAATTCTCCATGGTTCTGGGACCAGACTTCAGTCTGGGACCTTCAGTCAGTGGTCTCTGAAGTGAGATTTCCTCATCTTCTGTGGAATAGATCTTGGGAGACTGAACTTGACAGTTTGAATCTTCCTCATATTATCTCAAGCTGGGGTGCTTTGAGTACCACAGGATAAATGTGGGACATCTTTCTGAAGCATCAGTTTCCTTTGATTCTCTTGAGATATCTTGAGATAAGAGAAAAAACATGAATGTACTTAGGGATGGCAGTCCCATAGGTTTCTAAGAGTATACCAGACTTCTCTCTGAAATGAGGCTTGGGTTGTCCTCTTTCTGATAAATTCCCAGATTTCACAGAAAGGCTGCCTTCTGCCATGAGGACACATTGATATAAAAGTTTGAGAGGTACTGGTGCACTTCTTCCCAATAACAGACGTGTGAAGATGTACGACTCTAAACCACATGACATACAGCTCCTGCCTACTTAATGTTTACTTTTCTACCTCTGCCTCTGGGTTTGGTGCCTGGCAAAACCCCAGAGCTTAGAGTGGGAAGACTGAGTTTCCAAGTTCCAGTATCGCTTTTTTCTTTTTTCTTTTTTTCTAGCCATGATGTCGATCCCTCTCAGTCCCTAAATGATTGTGACACCTTATAGAGTTGTTGGTGTCATTAAATCAGATGGTATATAAGAGTATTTTATAAAAACTATAAAGGAGGATGTGGCTGTAGGGGCTGATAGTTCTCATGAGTATTACTGCTCTTCTTTCCCACAGTTCAAAGAATATTGGCAGAGAAACCGCCCTGGTGTTCCAGCAGCAGCGAAGAGGAACACGAAAGCAAATGGCAGTAGCCCTGAGACGGCCGCTTCTGGTGGTTGCCACTCATCTGAGGCTGTGAGTCTTGCCTGGACAGGCTTTTGGGGACAGGGGGCCCAAGGAGCAGTAGAGGGCAATCGTTAAGATTGTGGATGGACTGTTGGGTACTGGTGAAGGATTCTGGATTTGGCCGGGCACAGTGGCTCACGCCTGTAATCCCCACACTTCGGGAGACCGAGGCAGGTGGATCACAAGGTCAGGAGATCGAGACCATCCAGGCAAACACGGTGAAATACTAAAAAATACAAAAAAAAAAGCCGGGCGTGGTGGCGGGCGCCTGCAGTCCCAGCTGCTCCGGAGTCTGAGGGAGGAGAATGGCGTGAACCTAGGAGGCGGAGCTTGCAGTGAGCCAAGATCACGCCACTGCACTCCAGCCTGGAAGGCAGAGAGAGACTCCGTTTCAAAAAAGAAAAGAATTCTGGGTTTGAATCCTGCCTCTCCGTCTGCTAGGGATATGATTTAGGGCAAGTTGCTTGAGCTCTTTGGGCCTCTGTTTTCACGTCTGTATGATAGAGGTGGTATTGTTTGACTTGTATTTGTGAAGTTTCAATGAGATTGATAATTGTCGATTTTATGTTAATCCCTAGTACATGGCCTGCTGTCAACACCCAGGACACCCAGGATATGGTCTTTGCTGTTTGATTTTCCTCATCCCCAGTCTCAAGGGGAAGCCAGGACAATGAGAACAGCCACTTCCCATCAGGAGTCACTGCAAGGCCCCCAGGGTGGGATGGTGGGGAGATAAGAACCGTGAGAGAAGTTGGCACAAAGGAGTTATGGGACAAAGGGTCCAAGATAGGCAGAAAAGAAAATGTTGCCAGTTGATGGGGAAGAAAGGAAGTCGGAGGGCTCAGACACTGAGGGGGACAGAACATCTCCATGTGCAGTCTCATCTCTTATAGTCAGCAACAGGTATCCACGGGGAGGGCCCTACATCATCTGCTACCCTGAAGGATCTGGAGGTAGGAGGCTCTGGGCGGAGGTGCAGTGACCCCGCAGGCCAGCCCTCCAACCTCCTCCCGCAGCGGGGACTGGGTGCCCCTCTGCCAGCTGAGACAGCCCACACACAACCCAGCCCTAATGATCGTTCTCTCTACCTCTCCCCCAAGTCCTCCTCCGCCTCCTCCTCTCTGCATGCGCGTCAGAGCCCGTGCCAAGAACAAGCAGCAGTCCTGAACTCGAGGTCCATAAAAATCAGTCGACTGAATGACACCATCAAATCTTTGGTAAGAGTCCAGTGGGGTCCCCTGATTCCACGCTGCCAATCCTGGGCTCCGGTTTCCTCTTGGGGCCCTGAAGAAGGGGGCTGGGGGCCCCTGGTGCCAAGGGCAGATAGGGAGCTGGGGCGCCCAGGCCTCACCTGGCGGGACCCCAGAGCATGCAGCATGGCTCTTCTTTTGCTGCCCTCTTTGCCGACTCTCTCCTCTCCAGGCACCCCTACTCGAGTCCTTGCTACACACGCCCTGGGGTTGTTGCCTCTTGGGGAAGTGCTGGCCTGACTGGTTGTCAGGGGCCCCGTATTTCTGCCATGACTCAGTCCCTAATTTGCTCTTTGATTCTGGACAAGCCACCTCTCCTTTTTGGGCTCGTGTTTCCAGAGGAGGTAGTGAGTATCAAAGGTCTGTGTTAGCTCTGAGAGTCTGAGATTTAAAGGCCCCCTAGAATGGAAAGCTCAGGGCCAAGGGCTCTTGTCTGTTCTTTTCCATCCTATATCGGCTGTGAAGAACCATCCCTGGCCCGTACGTGCTCAGTAAATGTCTATTGAATGAACACACTTTTCTAAATCACAAGCTGGCAGAAGGGGGAGCCTTTCTCAAACTCCATCTCTAGAGGTTTATGTTACTGTCCTCTCAAGAGATTCCTGATTCAGACTTTGAGTTGTGAGGCTGTGGCTGAAAACCAACAAAGACCCAAATCCTCTGTCCTTGGGAGCTTGGGAACAGTTCCTGTTCCCATTGGGTCTGAGAACTTTGCCTTTAAAATCCATTCCTGGCCCCTGCCTGCCGCTTCCTGTCTGGGGAATAGAGTTGAGGGGGCCACCCTCCATCACTTTAATTTGACTCTCCCCACAGAAACAACAGAAGAAACAAGTGGAACATCAGCTGGAAGAAGTAACGTGATTTCTTTGTTTGCTGGCGACATGACTGCTGGGTTTGGGGGACACTCAGATGTAGAGGCCCCAGTCTCGTCTCACCCACTCCCAGCCTGGGGAAGGAGGCTCACCCCTCAGATTCCACCCCATCCCCACAGGGTCCCTGATAACCTGGTCCCATGGGTGGGCCTGTCCTGGGGCATTGGTGGCATTCTGGGGGCATATCTCTTGCTGTGCCTTCTCTGCCTCCCCCTGGTAAGAGCTCTGTCTTCCTCTTCCTATAGGAAAAGAAAGCAAACAATGAGAAACAGAAAGCTGAAAGGGAGCTAGAGGTGAGTGGAGGGTGTGAAGTTTCCTCCTGTCCTCCGGAGAATGTTTCTTTCCTTCTATTTCAGCACTTGCTTGGCTTTTCTCCCAAAGGGTCAAATCCAGAGATTGAACACAGAGAAAAAGAAACTAAATACGGACCTGTATCACATGAAACATTCTCTCAGATACTTTGAAGGTGGGAATCTGGGCACCCTGTCATCCTTCAACCTGGCACTTTGACAGGTCTGTAAGGCGGAGTCCTTTGAGCCCCATGTCAACTCTGTCATTACAGAAGAGTCCAAGGATCTGGCCGGCCGCCTGCAACGTTCATCGCAGCGTATAGGAGAGTTAGAGTGGTCTCTCTGTGCTGTCGCCGCCACACAGAAGAAGAAGCCGGATGGGGTGAGTCCAGTCACCTGCCCTGTCCCCTGGGAGCCCGGCTTCACAGATGGAGGAGTGAGCCTAAAGGTCCCTTCTGCAGGATGGAGTGTCCTGCCCAGAAGGCAGCATGGCCATTTCTCACTGCTTTTGTGTATGGTTGTTAGAGGCAGCCTGAGGCTGAGTCAGCTGCTGTGGGTGAGTCGGGGGGCGCGGTGGGGAGCGAGCACTGGATGCAGAGCTTGGAGGCCAAGTGCCTGCCCTGCCCTTACCTGGCTGTGGTCTTGGCCAAGTCCTAGGTGGGGTGTGGGGTATTGGGTACTTGTACTGTGAAGGTACAGAAGGGTACCTTTAGTATGTTCCCATTTCTGTAGAGAGAGGAAACGTGTGTGTGTGTGTGTGTGTGTGTACATAGTATGATAATATACATAAAACATGTCTGCAAGTGTTCGTAAACAACTCAGGAGAGAGCAGCAGGGTGGCTGGGAGATACTTCCCTTTGATACCTTCCGAGTTTTGGACTATGTGAATGTATCATCTTTTCAAAAAGTGAACAAAAGATTAATTTTCCCCTTCCTAACCGTGCCCCCACCCCCAGCAGAAAAATGGGCTTAGAGAATCTGATAGACCTGGGTGTTCAAATCCTAGCTCTGCCTAAGTGATCTTAGGCAAGCACTTAACCTCAAACACTCCATGTTTTTTCATCTACCCAAGAGAGGGCATCATAGTAACTGTCTCCTCTGGTGGTTGCGAGGATTAAATGGGATTGCTAGCAAGGTACCTGCTGAAGCACTCCACAAAGGTTCAAACAGTGGGAGTAATAACAATAGCAATATTATCTGATCTCTCTCCTTGTCCCTTCCAACTTCACTGAGTTTTTTTCAAAACCAGACCACGGGCTTGGAAATGCCTTGATCTTTACTGACCGAGTTGTATATTGAGCCTAGCCCTAGCCCTTTTAAGGGGCACTGTGTGGAATGGCCCAGGCTCCCCAGATCGAAACTTCTCACTCTTCACCATCCAGTTCTCGAGCCGCAGTAAAGCACTTCTCAAGCGGCAGTTAGAGCAGTCCATACGGGAGCAGATACTGCTGAAAGGACACGTGACACAGGTGAGGTTTTGCAGAGGGAGGGATGTGGAAGGAAGATGACCCCAGGTGGCCAGGAGCAGGTGAGGACCAGTGACGGCCCTTCCTAACTTGTGTGGCCATTCTTGCAGTTGAAGGAGTCGCTTAAAGAAGTCCAGCTGGAGAGAGATCAATATGCTGAACAAATAAAAGGAGAGAGGGCCCAGTGGCAGCAGAGGATGAGGAAAATGTCGCAGGAGGTGAGATCTGACCCTTCAGCCTCCCGCCCCACCCCCCCCCCACCAACAACTTAAGATAGGTCACTGGATCTTTCTGGGCCTCTTTAAAATGGGAATAGTGCAGCCAGAGGTGGTCCTGGGTCTGGGCTTTGTGGAGGTGGGGGCAGAGAGGGAGATGGGAGCCTGTCCAGCCACCAGCCCCTCTCTCCAGGGCCCTTTCCCCCTGTGCTTTGGGCAGGTTTGCACATTGAAGGAGGAGAAGAAGCATGATACGCATCGGGTAGAGGAGCTGGAGAGGAGCTTGTCCAGACTCAAAAACCAGATGGGTAAGATGGGGCTGGCATGACCTGGGAGCAGGACTGGCATCAGAGGGCTGTGGGGGTGGCTTAGAGTGCCCCAGGGAGGTGGGTGGATGGCAGGGCTTTGAGGCAGAGGGAAAGAGGTCTGTGCCAGGAGACAAGTCTTGTCATCTCCCTGAGCCTCAGTGTCCCCATGAGCAAAGAGGGCCCGTTGTCAGCCACCCGCAGTGCTCTCTATCTGAAAGTGGTTTGGAAGACTGGCTACCATCCGGGTGCGAGGGATCGTTAGCAGTGAAGCCAAGTTTGGGAGCCTGAGAGGAGCTGTGCGCCAACAGGAGGGTGTTTTGTTGTTTTTTCTGTTTTGATTTTTGTTTTGAGAATCCAGAGGCCCTTATGATCTGCTTCCTTTCTCAGCTGAGCCACTGCCCCCGGATGCCCCAGCAGTGTCCTCTGAGGTGGAGCTGCAAGACCTGAGGAAGGAGCTGGAGAGAGTGGCAGGAGAGCTCCAGGCTCAGGTGGAAAACAATCAGTGCATCAGTCTCCTGAACCGTGGGCAAAAGGAGAGGCTTCGCGAGCAGGAGGAGAGGCTTCAGGAGCAGCAGGAGAGGCTTCGGGAACGGGAGAAGAGGCTTCAGCAGCTGGCCGAGCCACAGAGCGACTTGGAGGAGCTGGTGGGTTGCCCCACCTGGGGAGCCTGCCCTCCTCCCTAGCCCTCCAGGCCTTTGTTTCCCCACCTGTAAAATGGGGCAGTGTAGCCCTCACATGAAATATTACTTCCAAAGGCACCTGTGAGCCAGAGCTTTGCTCTGGTGGCTGTGGGAGAGAGGAGAGTATTTTTCTAACTTGGCTCCACCCTTCCCGGTGCCATGGGAGGCAGACACCAAGTTCTGGGGTCTCCAGCTGCAGTGGGTGGCTGCTGATTGCTTCTCTCTGTCCAGAAGCACGAGAACAAGAGCGCACTGCAGTTGGAGCAGCAAGTAAAGGAGCTGCAGGAGAAGCTGGGCCAGGTGATGGAGACGCTCACCTCGGCCGAGAAGGAGCCAGAGGCAGCAGTCCCAGCCTCAGGGACTGGGGGCGAGTCTGTGAGTGGGGAGACCCTCCGGGCCCTGCAGGAAGTCATGGAGAAGCTGGAGGGGAGTGAGTCCTAGCATGGGCCAAGAAGGGCAGGGCTGGGGCAGGTCGCTGCTGAGATGTGACCCCATTATTTTGGCTCCAGAGCGGCCTTATGGACCTCCTGGAGGAGAAGGCGGACCTGAGGGAGCATGTGGAGAAACTGGAACTTGGATTCATCCAGTACCGGAGAGAGAGATGCCATCAGTGAGTGGGAGGCCAGGGCACGGCAGGGGGAGCTGCAGGGCTATGGGAGGGGCCCCAGCGTCTGAGCCCTGTCCTCCCGCAGGAAAGTACATCGCCTTCTAACAGAGCCAGGGGACAGTGCCAAAGATGCGTCACCGGGAGGAGGCCATCATCAGGCTGGCCCAGGACAAGGAGGAGAGGAAGGTAGGGTGTGCAACATCCCTGTGGGGGTGGGGGTGGGGTGGGGGTGTGGGTGGGGTGGGCATGAGGGTGGGCGCCAGCAGCGGCCTGACAGCTGAGCACCCGTCCCTTCAGGTGAAGCTGCTGGAGCTGCAGGAGATGGTGTTGCGGCTTGTGGCAGCTACAGCGAGGGGCACGGCAAATTCCTGGCCGCTGCCCGGAACCCTGCTGCTGAACCCAGTCCAGGAGCCCCAGCCCCCCAGGAGCTCGGGGCTGCCGACAAGCATGGTGGTGAGTAGAGCCCCCAGGCGGGGTGAGCAGGCAGGAGCGGGGGGCGGCTAGCACTCCACTCAGATCCCCGCCTCCCTCTCTCCAAAGATCTTTGTGAGGCGAGCCTCACCAACAGCGTGGAGCCTGCACAAGGAGAAGCCAGGGAGGGTTCTTCCCAGGACAACCCTACTGCACAGCCAGTCGTGCAGCTCCTTGGTGAGATGCAGGACCACCAGGAGCACCCAGGCTTGGGCAGCAACTGCTGTGTGCCATGCTTTTGCTGGGCTTGGCTGCCGAGAAGAAGGAGATAAACACCACCATCATCAAAGAGCTGCTCAAGAAATTTTTAAAAACGAAACAAAGTTATGGGGTTAATCTCCTACACAATTCATTTACTTCATTTGAATGTTAGAGCTACTCATGATTATTTGTGTTTCTAATTTATAGTTTAAGTTTATTTGTAAAAAGTTAAAAGAGAGTGGGTCTCTGTGGCTCTCACTGATGTTCACTCTGGCATCCTTCAGCATTTTTCTTTTTTCATTTCATAATTGTAGGTCATTAGCATGCATATCGAGTTTGCCCTTACGTGGTGGGAGTTCAAACACACAAAGACCCACTCTTTGCACAAAACTGTTCTCGCTGGTTTGGAATAGGCTCCCGTGCTTTTCTAATGTTATTGCAGCATGGATGTCCATTACAGAATTCAGATAAAATTTGCTAATGTTCTGCTATGATGTTTGATCTCATCTTAATCACAGTGAGCTCTTCTATAGCTCAATATGCGGTTTGCCCTCAAGTGTGCACTGTTTATTACTTTGTAATATGCCACTGTGAGTACTGACATTTAGAGCTGTTTAAAGGCCGAGAACTGGAAACAGCCTTTCCTCCATTTTCTGTGTATTGGTGATGGGAGTGATAACCTTTTGGGGGAGCTTTCTAAATCTCACAGAAGAGGAAAGTGGCCTGCTCTGGCAGGTATGTGCAGGATACAGTGTGTTTCATCTGTTCCGGTGCCAAGAATGAGCAGTGTACTGTGGCAGTTCCCTTTGGATTTGTATGTGCTCTGGGCTCATGAAGATATTGCATCGTGAGCTGCAGCAGTTGCACTCTTTTTCAGTGACCTAAAAAGGGCTTATTTCCGAGGAATGAAAGGCTGCCATCATTGGCTGTGGGTGTGAAAAACCTTTCCTAGCTTAGAGCATTTGTATCTACAATACATTTTAAAGTCAGAGTTCGTGTTCCCTGTTTTAATCACATGACTACCTGTCCCAGTACACGAAAGGGCGCTGGTTGGCATTCTTCTTAATGTATTTAGTGAAGATCATAAGAAATCCTTTAAGAGTTTAAATGTCTCTGAAACAGGCATACAGGCTCTAGTCAAGAATGAATTAGAGTGAAGGAAAGCTGTGTGACACCTGGCATTCCTCTCTGTTCATGGAGCTTCTTTGAGGCTTGAAGTTTGATTTTACTATCTAGACCTCTCTGGCTAATACCTATTCTTCAACCACCTCGGTTACTCTGACATAGGAATTTACTTCTTTTCCTTGAGTGGAAAACACTTTAGAAAGTAATAACAAACATTATTATAAACTAATATATGTGAGAGTACTTAGTTGAAACAAAAAGGAATTTTAGTAGACAGTATTATATTATCTTTGAAAATCAAGGAGAAGTTTATGCAACTTAAAATGTTTACACACTGTGGTGCAATCTACTGTTTGTGAATGTCTGTATTATCAGGAAACATGTCTATACGATCGCAGAGTTGTATTTCCTCACAAACTTCTTTACGAAGAGTGAAATACGTTTTTGTACCTCTCATTTTCAGTCAGGGACATACTTTGTGCAATATTTCTGTGATTGTGCCTATGCATGATGAATGAATGCATTTCAATCATACATTGCCTAAATCATAACTTGATGATGCTTGGGAAAGAATCAACAGTTAAAACTTCATGAAGTTCTAATGTCTGTGTTCCAAAACACATCACATTATTAGGTTGTAGGGAGATATGTAGGTGTGCTCCCTGGGGTGGGGAGTTTTCTAGTTACTAGACCATCTCCATTTTTAGCACTTGGCAGCCTCATGATCCTTTTATAAATGTGAGATTAACAGGAGAGCAGCAATACGATTTTGCCAATGGAATAACAGATTTGCCGGCATTCACTGAAAGAGGGCAGATATTGGGTCCTTGTAACTTCAACTGACTCTTCCAAATTGTATGAATTTATCAATGTATTACACAAATCCAGTTTCAGAATGATAAAAAATGTTAGACCAAATAATGCGGCTAATTAACAGTCGTATGATTTCTAGCCCATGGGTTTAAAACTGTATCTTAAAGAGTCATTTTAAAATAATATAAATATTAAAAAATGTAACTGCTATCTTAATGTTCTGAAATAAAACATTTTAAAATATAAATCCTGTAGTTTAAAAGGAAGAAATGGTGGGAAGGAAAAGTAGAGAAAGAAATGCCAATTCCAGGCCAAAGCGTTATTTGCCAAGTTTTCTTAGAATGAATTTTACCAATGTATGAGTTCTTGTTAACAGAATGTGTAACGGAAATACTGAAAGACTTTTGCTTAAAGTGGCATTATTGACTGCTGATGTGATGCTACTGTAATGCAATAAATTTTTAAATTGTTGCAAAGTGCTGTTTTTGCCTTAAAATTTTATTTTGCGTGTCTTGAAAACTATAGTATTAAAAGTATTGATATTGTGCAAATACTGGGCATGCTTGGCATGAGATAATCTGTTTCATTGTTACAAAAATGTAGTATAACTATGCAAGTGTTTATTGAAAGAACACAACATAAAAAAGGTATGGGATTAAAAAAGTTTTGGGGTGAAAAAGTTATCGGATAAAAATGTAAAAAAGTTGTGGCAAAAAGTAGAAAAAAGTTTTCTGAAAAGTTATCATGGAGCACGGTGGCTCAAGCCTGTAATCCCAGCACTTTGGGAGGCCGAGGTGGGCAGATCACCTGAGGTCAGGAGTTCGAGACCAGCCTGGCCAACAGAGTGAAACTCCGTCTCTACTAAAAATACAAAAATTAGCTGGGTGTGGTGGTGGGTGCCTGTAATTCCAGCTACTCAGGAGGCCGAGGCAGGAGAATTGCTTGAACCTGGGAGGTGGAGGTTGCAATGAGTCAAGAGTGCCACTGCACTCCAGCCTGGGTGACAAAAGCAAAAACTCCGTCTCAAAAAAGAAAAAAAAAAGTAAAGGAGTAAAGAATGGCTACTCCAAAGACAAAGCAGCGGCATCAGCTGCTCAACTGATTATACTTAGTTACTTCTTGATTATATGCTAAAAAGAAAAGTGGGGTACAATGATCTTCCAACCAGGAGTTTCAACATGTGGTCTCTGGGCAAGATGAAACAGCAGACAGTTGGCTCTGAGTAACAGAAAAGATAGAAAAGAGAAAGGAGAAAAGGGGAGAAAAGCATTGTCTGTGGCAGGGTACATAGCTCCGGGAGGCCAGAGAAAGACCCACCCATTGCAGCGACGCTGAATCAAAAGTTCAGGCACCTGCTTTTCAGTAATGAAGGGAGCTCTTCCAACAGTCCCATCAGCTCTCATCTTTCCCACTTTAGGGAGAAAAATGCTCCCACATCTGGTGATCCTGTACATGCCTAATCCTGTCACCCACAGCCATCAGCAAACAGTGCAAGGCAGATTAATCCAAAGAGAATAGCAGATAACATCCCATAATTCCAAATCCATTTTTAACCAAGAGGGACTTTACTGAGAGGGACCTCTAACCTGTAACCCCCTGAATCTTAGGAAGGGCTCTAACCTTCCTAAGTTGGGCCTCTAACCCAAGTTTGGTCAAGTGTCCTTGCCTTTTATTAAGGAGGCCTTTAACTCTGTCTTAGTAGGGACTCTAACCCTCCTAAGTTGGGCCTCTAACCCAATTCCATCCTTTACCCACGTTAAATGTACCCCTCCTCTTACTCAAAGTCGGCCAATTGGTATTGCTGTTTTCTTTGGGTCAGAGGTTTCCTCAATATTGTCCCTTCGTGGTTCAACCAGAAGACATTACCAGAAAGGGATCCTGATCCAGACCCCAAGAGAGGGCTTTTGGATCTCACCCAAGCAAGAATTCAGGGTGAGTCCATAGACTAAAGTGAAAGCAAGTTTATTAAGAAAGTAAAGGAATGAAGAATGGCTACTCCATAGACAGAGCAGCAGCATGGGCTGCTCAACTGATTATACTTATAGTTACTTCTTGATTATATGTTAAACAAGGGGTGGATTATAAGTTTTCTGGGGAAGAGGTGGGCAATTTGTGGAAATGAGGGTTCCTCCCGTTTTTAGACCATATAGGATAACTTCCTGACATTGCCATGGCATCTGTAAACTGTCATGTGCTGGTGAGTGTCTCTTTTAGCATGCTAATCCATTGTAATTAGTGTATAATGAGCAGTGAGGACAACCAGAGGTCACTTTTGTTGCCACCTTGGTTTTGGTGGGTTTTGTCCATCTTCTTTACCATACCCTTTTGTCAACAAGGTCTTTGTGACGTGTACCTTATGCTGACCTTCTATCTCATCCTGTGACCAAGAATACCTATCCACCTGGGAATGCAGCCCAGTAGTTGTTAGCCTTATTTTACCCAGCCCCTATTCAAGATGGAGTCACTCTGGTTCAAACTCCTCTGATAATACAATGAAGTAACAACCAGGGAAGGAGTGGCAAGAAGCAAGGACATTGCAGGACACACAAAAGATGAGGAAAACAAATGATAAAAGAATAGAGGTTATTGATGAAAAGGTCAAACTCTATAAAATATTTGAAGAGATTTATTCTGAGCCAGATATGAGTGACCAATGGCCCATGAGACAGCCGCAGTAGATCTAGAGAACATGTGCCCAGGATAGTTGGGCTACAGCTGGGTTTTATACATTTCAGGGAAACATAAGACATCACTCAATACATGTAAGATGTACATTGGTTCGGTCAGGAAAGGTGGGACAACTAGAGGGGGCGAGGGGTGGTTCCTTCCAGGTCATAGGTGGATTCAAAGATTTTCTAACTGACAATTGGTTGAAAGAAGTTTTTTGGAGTGTGTGTTTTTTAAGCTATCTTCTACCAAAAAGAGAAAGAGTTTATTATCTAAAGACCTGGAATCAGTACAAAGGAAGGTCTGGGTTAAGATAAGGGGTTGTGGAGATCAAGGCTTTATCATGCATATGAAACCTTCAGGTAGCAGGCCTCAGAGCTCTTATTGTCTCTCGTGTCCATATGAAGAGACCACCAAACAGGCTTTGTGTGAGCAACAAGGCTGTTTATTTCACCTGGGTGTAGGCGGGCTGAGTCCAAAAAAGTAGTCAGCAAAGGGTGGTGGATTATCATTAGTTCTTACAGGTTTTGGGATAGGCGGTGGAGTTAGGAGCAATGTTTTGCGGGCAGGGGTGGATCTCACAAAGTACATTCTTAAGGGTGGGGAGAATTACAAAGAACCTTCTCAAGGGTGGGGGAGACTACAAAGTACATTGATCAGTTAGGGTGGGGCAGAAACAAATCACAATGATGGAATGTCATCAGTTAAGGCTATTTTCACTTCTTTCGTGGATCTTCAGTTGCTTCAGGCCATCTGGATGTATACGTGCAGGTCACTGGGGATATGATGGCTTAGCTTGGGCTCACAGGCCTGACATTTATCAGACCCAAAAAGGTGTCAGACTCAGTTAATTCCTTCCTGGATCAGGAAAGAATCAAGGATTCTCTATAGAATATACATTTTCCCAATGAGAGAAAGCTTTGCAGGACCATTTCAAAATATATCAAAGAAGGCTGGGCATGGTAGCTCTTGTCTGTAATCCCAGCATTTTGGGAGGCCAAGGTGGGTGGATCACTTGAGGCCAGGAGTTCAAGACCAGCCTCGCAAACAGGGCAAAACCTCATCTCTACTAAAAATACAAAAATTAGTTGGGCATGGTGATACACGCCTGTAATCCCAGCTACTTGGGAAACTAAAGTACTAGAATTGCTTGAACTCAGGAGGCAGAGGTGGCAATGAGCCAAGATCACATCACTGCACTCCAGCCTGGGTAACAGACTCTGTATCAAAAAATATACACACACACACACACACACACACACACACATTATATAATATATAATATATATATATATATATATATATATATATCTCTGAAAGAAATATATTTTGGGGCTGGGCACGGTGGCTTATGCCTGTAATCCCAGTACTTTGGGAGGCCAAAGTGGGCAGATCATGAGGTCAGGAGATCAAGGCCATCCTGGCCAACATGGTGAAACCCCATCTCTACTAAAAATACAAAAATTAGCTGGGCGTGGTGGTGTGTGCTTGTAATCCCAGCTACTTGGTCGGCTGAGGCAGGAAAATAGCTTGAACCATGGAGTCAGAGGTTGCAGTGAGCTGAGATCGCACCACTGCACTCCGAACTGGCAACAGAGTGAGACTTCATCTCAAAAAAATAACAAAATATATATAATAATAATATATATGTAAGAAATCAAAGTGTTTTACATATATGTATATATATATATATTCGATTTATTTTAGTCAGGCTGGAATTTGGTGTCTTATTGCTACAGGAAGTCTGTTTTATTCTTAAGATCTCTATTTTAATGTTAATGCTGGTCACCCATGCCTGCATTCCAAAGACAGGAGAGTGTAAATAAGTCATGCCCCATCTCCTGCATCTCATCATGGTCTGAACTAGTTTTTCAGGTTAATTTTGGAATGCCCTTGGCTGAGAGGATAGGTCTATTCAGTTGATTGGGAAGCCTAGAATATTATTTTTGGTTTACAAAATCCCACACCAGGCACACTGCCTAAGAATTTTTCATCAGCTTCATAGAGATAAAGAATTGAAAATTAGTATCAAAACTTTCTCTGTATATCGTTGAGGGTTAGGTGTATGTGATTGTGTTTAATTTAATTATAGTATTAAATTATTACTCCATAGGTTTGAGTCCTAAGTTTAATAACTCTTTCTGATATGGTTAATTTATGTTAAAATATTAGACCAAGACTGTATCTGCCCCAAGCACAGACCCTCACGCTCGACACTCCTCCACCAGTCCAAACTTGGTGCCAGCTCCCCATGAATGATGATATCTTCACACTTGCAGTGACAATGCCCCCCAGGGTATCTTGCCTTCCATCACGGGGTGCCCACGGAACCAGTACATGACAGCAGGCATGGCTCAGAAGGACTCTTATGTGGGTGACAAGGCCCAGAGCAAGAAAGGCATCCTGATCCTGAAATACCACATCCAGCACAGCATCATCACCAACTAGGACGACATGGAGATCTGGAACCACACCTTCTACAACAAGCTGCACATGGCTCCTGAGGAACATCCCATGCTGCTGACTGAGGCTCTTCTGAACCCCAAGGCCAACTGCGAGAAGATGACCCAGATCATGTTTGAGACCTTCAACACCCCTGCCATATATGTGCCATCCATGCTGTGCTGTTGCTGTATGCCTCTGGTTGTACCACTGGCATTGCGATGGACTCCAGTGATGGGGTCACCCACACTACCAAACTACAAGGGGTACACCCTCCCCAGTGCCATCCTATGTCTGGACCTGGCTGGCTGGGACCTGACTGACTACTTCACGAAGATCCTCACCGAGCGTGGCTACAGCTTCACCACCACGGCCCAGCAGGAAATCATGCGTGACATCAAGAAGAAGCTGCGCTACATTGCCCTGGACTTCAAGTAGGAGATGGCCACCATGTCCTCCAGCTTCTCCCTGGAGAAGAGCTACAAGCTGCTCCAGAGCCAGGTCATCGACATCTGCAACAAGTAGTTCCACTGCCCTGGCCTCTCCTCCAGCCTTCCTTCCTGGGCATGGAACCCGTGACATCCATGAAACTACCTTCAACTCCATCATGAAGTGTGACGTGGACATCCATAAAGGCCTGTACGCCAATGCAGTGCTGTCCAGCGGCACCACCATGTACCCTGGCATCGCCCAACAGGATGCAAAAGGAGATCACTGCCCTGGCTCCCAGCATGATGAAGATCAAGATTATTGCTCCTGCTGAGTGCAAATACTCCATGTGTATCATTGGCTCCATCCTGGCCTCGCTGTCCACCTTCCAGCAGATGTGGATCAGCAGGCAGGAATACGAGTCCCACTTCTCTCGCCCCCATCTTCTACTGCAAATGCTTCTAAGCAGACTGTTACTTAGTTGTGTTATACCCTTTCTTAACAAAAACCTAACTTGCATAGAAAACAAGATGAGATTGGCATGGCTTTATTTGTTTTTTGGGGAGTGTTTGTTTGTTTGATTGGTTTCGGGTTCTGTTTTGGTTTGGGGTTTCTTTTTTTTTTGGTTTTTTTTTTTTTGGCTTGATGATTCAGGATTTACAAACTGGAACAGTGAAAGTGACAACAGTCTGTTGGAATGAGCATCCCCCAAAGTTCTACAATGTGGCCAAGAACTTGGATTGTACATAGTTATTTTTAATTTTTATTTTATTTATTTATTTTGAGACAGGGCCTCACTCTGAGGGTCTCACTCTGTCACCAAGGCTGTAGTGCAGTGGCCCAATCACAGCTCGCTGCAACCTCAACCTCCAGGGCTCAGGTGATCCTCCCACCTCAGCTTCCCAAATAACTGGGACTACAGTGCACACCACCGTGCCTTGCTAATTTTTCTATCTTTTGTAGAAAAGGGGTCTCACTATGTTGCCCAGGCTGGTCTGAAACTCCTGGGCTCAGGTGATGTGTCTGCCTCAGCCTTACAAAATGCTAGGATTACAGGCATGAGCCACGACGCCAGGCCTGTTCTTTTTTTTTTAATAGTCATTGCAAATATCATGAAATGTATTGTTACAGGAAGTTCCTTTGCCCTCCCAAAAGCCACTCCACTTCTATCTAAGGAAAATGGCCCAGTCCTCTCCTAAGTCCACACAGGGGAGGTGATAGCATTGCTTTCATGCAAATTACATAATGCAAAATGTTTTAAATCTTAGCCTTAATAACTTTGTATTTTGTTTTTGTTTTGTTTTTACTCTTTTTTGAGACAGGGTCTCACTCTGTCACCCAGGCTGGAATGCAGTGAGGCGATCTCAGCTCACTGCAACCTCCAGCTCCCCAGCTCAAGTAATCCTCCCACCTTAGCCTCCCGAGTAGCTGAGACCACAGAAGTGCACCACCCTGCTTGGCTAGTTTTTTGTATTTTTGGTAAAGATGGGTTTTCACCATATTGCCTATGCTGGTCTCAAATTCCTGAGCTCAAGTGATCAGCCTGCCTTGGCCTCCCAAAGTGCTGGGATTACAGGCATGAGCCACTGCGTCTGGCCTATTTTGTTTTATTTTGAATGAGCCATTGTGGCCACACTTTTTGTCCCTAAACTTGAGGTGTATGAAGGCTTTTGGTCTCCCTGGGATTGGATGGAGGTGTGAAAGTAGCAAGGGGTTACCTGTACACTGACTTGAGACCAGTTCAATAAAAGTGCACATTAAAAAAATACAATATTAAAGTCATAAAAGTAAAATTATGTGTAACTATGCATGTATGAATTGCCTTAATTGAAAAAAAATGAAATTATAAAATTATTGGAACTATCTTGGAAAACACAAGATGTACAGAAACCTGCCCTCCTTTAAATAAGAGATAAAAGAAAGCTATGGAATCGTCTCTAAGAACCTTTAAGAAATTGTCTTAATCTTCTCAGGCTGCTGTAATAAGATGCCATCAACTGGGTGGCTTAAACAACAGAAATTTATTTATCACAGTTCTAGGGGCTGGGAAGTCCAAGATCAAGATGCCTGCAGATTCGTTGTCTGGTGAGAGCCAACTTTCTGATATGTAGACAGCTGTCTTCTCACTGTGTGCTCACATGTCGTTTCCTCCATATGTACTCATGGAAAGAAAGATCTCTTTCTTTCTTTCTTTCTCTCTCTCTCTCTCTCTCTCCCTCCCTCCCTCTCTCCCTCTCTCCCTCTCCCTCTCTCTCTTCTTTTAAGGGCACTAATCCCATCATAAGGGTCCTACCCTCATGATCTAATCTAGACCCAATTATCTCCCAAAGACTCCACCTTCAAATAGCCATCACATTGGGGTCTAGGGCTTCAACATATGAACTGGGGGAAGAGAGACACAAACATTCAGTTCATAACAGAAATAAATCTTGTCCTAGTGTGGTGGCTCACACCTGTAATCCTAGCACTTTGGGAGGCTGAGGCAGAAGGACTGCTTGAGACCAGGAGTTCCAGACCAGTCTGGTCAACATAGTGAGACCCTATCTCTATTAAAAAGAAATGAAAATAAGATTAATAAAATTAAAAATTTAAAAAGGACGGGCCACCAGTAGTGGCTCACACCTGTAATCCCAGCACTTTGGGAGGCTGAGGCAGAATGATTGCTTGAGCCCAGGAGTTTAAGACGAACAAAGCAAGACCCTGCCTCTATTTAAAAGAAGAAGGAGGAGGAGAAGGAGGTGGGGGGAGGAGAAGGAGATGGGAGGGGGAGGAGAGGGGGAGAAGGAGAAGGAAGAGGAGATGGGGGAAGAGGAGTAGGAGAGGTAGGAAGTGGGGGAAGAGAAGGAGGAGGAAGGGAAGGGGAGAAGAGGAAGAGGAGGAGGGGAGGAGGGGAGGAGAGGGAGGATGAGGAGGAGGAAGAGGAGGAGGGGAGGAGAGGGAGGATGAGGAGGAGAAGAGGAGGAAAAGGAGGAGGAGAGAAAGGAGAGAGGGGACGGAGAGGAGGAGGAGGAGAAGAAGAAAAGACGGAAGAAGGAAGAAGAGGAGGGAGGGGGAGGGGGAGGAGGAGAAGGGAAGTGAGGAAGGAGAGGAGGGGAGGAGAGGGAGGATGAGGAGAAGAGGAGGAAAAGGAGGAGGGGGAAAGGAGGAGGGAGGGGATGAAGAGGAGGAGGAGAAGAAAGAAGGAAGAAGGAAGAAGAGGGAGGGGGAAGGGGAGGAGGAGAAGGGAAAGGAGGAGGAAGAAGGGGAGGAGGAGGTGAAGGAGGAAGAGAAGAAGAAAAAGAAGAAAAGAATGCTGAGAATGCTGACTGCCTTCTTTGAGGCTATAAAACATGGGAGGTTGGGAGGGAGTCTAGACAGAAGTAACTTCTGGCTTCTGTCTGGTTCCCCCTTCCAACAGAAGATTAATGGTATCCAATAATCCAGAATTCCATTGATATGTCATTGTCTCCAGTACTCCCAGGTAATGGTGACTGATACAGATACAGGGGTCAGGTGGAGGAGAAACCTGTCTAGCCTGGTGGATATTTTCAAGGGAGTGACAGATGCTACCAGAGATGATCAATTTCTCAACGTTATTCTTTACAACTGGGTTGCCCCTTCTCAGACTGCCTGCAGAAAGGCCATCATAATAGTTTGGTGAGGGGCTAGAAAAAGGGGAAATGTGGATGCTTTCATGACTCATTCATAGAAATGAACTTCTTAGTTCATCCTGGATGACTGACACCGGCAAATATTTGATTATCAAAACTCTACCCCTGTAGTTGGGTTTTCATAGTATTTATTGCTCTTGAAGAGCACCAAAAATTTTCATTCTGAATTTGATGTATTTTGAGATGACTGTTCAGAAAGCCTGCAAAGCTGTCTTTTGTGGGGGAGATCTGCATCTGCAGAGAATCTGCATCGATGCAGAAAGGCTTTCTCTGGTGCTCTCCCTTGTCCAGATTTAGGAAAGATTAACTGAGAGTCTGACATCTTAAAAGGTCTAACAGAAACCTTTACCACCTATTCCTTCTAAAGGCTACTGTCTGTGAGATTTCATTTGTTCACCAAGACCGTCTTTGCTGGCCAGGCCTCTTCTTCTCCCCCTCCCATAACCTGTCTTGCCACCATAACCTGTTTTGCCCAGATGCAAGCTCTCATTCTTTCTGTAACCTCAAGGTGGTATAAAAGCAACCATTGGGCATTTCTTTGAGTTTTTATATTTTGTATGACTCCCACACACATGCGTGCATCAAATAAAATTTGTAGGAGACCGGACCCAGTGGCTCACACCTGTAATCCCAGCACTTTGGGAGGCCGAGGCGGGCGGATCACCTGAGGTCAGGAGTTCAAGACCAGCCTGCCTAACATGGCGAAACTCTGTCTCTACTAGAAATACCAAAAAAAAAAAAAAAAAATTAGCCAGGCATGGCGACGTGCACCTGCAGTCCCAGCTACTCAGGAGGCTGAGGCAGGAGAATCGCGTGACCCGGGAAGTGGAGGTTGCAGTGAGCTGAGATCGTGCCACTGCACTCCAGCCTGAGCGACAGAGCGAGACTCCGTCTCAAAAAAAAAAAAAAAAAAAAAAATGCGTAGGCCTCTTTTCCCTTTAATCTATGTAATCAGTTTGTTTTATAGACTCAAATTATCAAACATTCAAGGGAAAAATTTAAACTTCCCTACACTCTCATCTTTCCCTGTCTCCCACCTTATGAACATTATCTTAGTCCTTAAACCTCCTTCTAGGCTGGGCGTGGTGGCTCACGCCTGTAATCCCAGCACTTTGGCAGAGGCAAGTGGATCACCTGAGGTCATGAGTTCGAAACCAGCCTGGCCAACATGGTGAAACCCCATCTCTACTAAAAATACAAAAAAAAAAAAAAAAAAAATTAGCCAGGCATGGTGGCAGGCACCTGTAATCCCAGCTGCTCAGGTGGCTGAGGCAGGAGAATCGCTTGACCCGGGAGGCGGAGGATACAGTGAACCGAGATTGTGCCATTGCACTCCAGCCTGTGCAACAAAAGTGAAACTCCATCTCAAAAAGAAAAAAAAAAAACCGCCAGGTGCGGTGGCTCACGCCTGTAATCCCAGCACTTTGGGAGGCTGAGGCGAGTGGATCATGAGGTGAGGAGTTCGAGACCAGCCTAACCAATATGATGAAACCCCGTCTCTACTAAAAATACAAAAATTAGCCGGGTGTGGTGGTGCCCGCCTATAATCCTAGCTACTCAGGAGGCTGAGGCAGGAGAATTGCTTGGAGCCGGGAGACGGAGGTTGCAGCGAGCTGAGATCACGCCATTGCACTCCAGCCTGGGCAACAGAGCAAGAGCGCGACTCCGTCCCAAAACAACAACAACAAAAGACAAACACACACACACACACACACACACACACACACACACACACACACACAAACTTCTCCCCAAAGGCAAGGCAAGGGAGACTAATACATGCAGTTGTACTTTCTCGGTTCTGGTGAGAAAGCTGAAATCATCTGCTTAAAAAAAAAAGGTTTGGGTTGTACATGGCGGCTCACTACCTGTAGTCCCAACAGTTTGGAAGGCCGAGGTGGGAGGCTCACTTGAGGCTAGGAGTTCGAGACCAGCCTGGGCAATATAGCGAGACCCTATCTATACAAAAATAAAATGTGGAAATGATGTATTTGTGTTGGGACCTCTGTGTTATATACAAAAACATCCCAGTGCAGCTCCTTGGTCTCAGTAGGATGCATGAGCCTTCAACCCTCTCAGCCTGGGCTCAGAAAATTTCCTGGAGCAGATTAATTTGGAGTTTGGTTTAAAGGAGAAGCCAGTGGCGGCAAACACTCTTGGTTATGAGAGGTCTCTTTTTCTTTCACTTTCTTCCTTCAGCTCCCCTAACTGCCATGCAATGGGCAGAAGACATAAAGTGAACTTAAGGCGTATTCTTTCCTCAAGCAATGAGACTCTTACCCCTTTTGTCATGGCAATGGATCTCAGAGTCCACTTAATTCCCTGGTCCCTGATCTCAAACGATGGCCTGAGGCTAAACAATTTGTTTTCTAGGGTAGCTTGGAGCTTGTGGGTGAGGGGAATTACTACTGTGTCCTCTGCGTTCACCCAGAGAGTGACAGAGATCAGGAACCACTGCCTCTCCCCTGCCAGACCTTGTCGGGCTCATGGGAAGCACATGCGTCAGTGTACTAGGGATTCCTGGCGCCTCAAGGGTTCAAGCAACCCTCACACCAGTAAAGGCGGCCCTGCCTAGCACAGGCAGGACGCGGAGGTGGAGAGTTGCGGGGCGCCATGCAGCCGCCAGAGGACGCAAGTGCCTCAAGTCCCCGCGCGATGGCGCCCCACGGACCGGGAAGGAAAGGTGGTCCGCCTGCGAGGAGGCGCGGACCGGGCCAAGGAGCCCATAGGAAGAGCGGGGCGCCGCCTCACCCGCGAGCTGCCGGCCTCTGCATCCGGCCCACCTGTCCCTCCCTGCCTACCAACCCAAGAGCCTCACCCCGATCTGCGCTTGCTGGGTGACCTCGACGCCCGGGCGGGGACAGAGGGCGCTCTGAGCTCTGCGCTCAGCTCCCAGACCCACTCCCACTCCGAGGCGGAGGCCAGGTCTTCAGAGAGGAACGACGGAGGCGCAGAAGCCCAGGGGCAGCCCGCTCCAGCCCTGGCAGCCGCGGAACAATGGCCCGAGCGGCTGCGGGCGCCGCGGCGGGCGCGGAGGAGCAGGGGCGCCAGGGCGCTGGAAGCCCCGCCCCTCGGCCGGCGCCCTGACAACGCGGGCGGGCTGGGCTGCGCCGCCTGCTCCCCGCCCCTCGGCCGCCTGCACCGGGCGGGGCCCGGGCCAGAGCGCCGCCGCCGCCGCTGCTGCAGCAGCAGCTGCTCTGCAGAGTGGTGGCCGGGGCCAGGGCCGGGGTGCCCTCCCTCCCACCTTCTCCCGCCATGAGCCAGGGAAGTCCGGGGGACTGGGCCCCCCTAGATCCCACCCCCGGACCCCCAGCATCCCCCAACCCCTTCGTGCATGAGTTACATCTCTCTCGCCTCCAGAGGGTTAAGGTAATGTGTGGGGAGCGGGCGTCGGAAGGACCCGTGAGGATAGGAAAATGGGGCCATTTGAGCCCTGGCAAAGGTGGGCTTGGGGATCCACGAGAAGGAGATGGCTGAGAGGCTTGCGGAGCGGGAGTCCGGGGGTGCGCACGTGGGGGCGGCCGCGGTTGGGCAAGGAGTCCTGGAGAGGACGCTGCGGGCTTGGGCGATAGACAAGCTCGAAGATGTGGAAAAACTGAGTAGGTGGGGATGGAGGGCTGCAGGGGACCCTGGGGTTGGAGAGATGAAGGACGCTGGGGAATGCGGATTACATTCTGCAGAGCCTGATGGCTAGGATGGAGTTAGAGTCTACGGGAAGCCGGGGGTGGGGGCGGGGGCGGGGGCGTGCCGAGTATTCCTCCGAGGCATGACTTAGAGGGAAGACGTTTCTGGGCCGGGAGCCTGCGACCCTGTGCCCTTCCTACACTCCCTCTTCCCACTCCCTCCAACCCCCCTCCACCCCGCACTGCAGCACCTCCCGGTGGGGGCAGGGAGGCTGAGAGGGAGGTTGGCTACAGGAAGTGGAGGGCCGCGCCAGCCTAGGGGAGCTGGGAGGTGGTGTGGGGAGGGAGTGTCCAAGGTTTCTGCTGTCATCACCTCCCCGGAGGCAGGCTCCAGGGGCTAGGTTTGCTTACCTGCTTCTTCCCCAAGGCAGCCTATGGAGTCATCCTGGCTCCTGGCAGCCTCTCTCCCTTGCAGAGTGGGGCCGAGCTCTTGTCTCCCATATCCCCCGGTACTCTAAGATTGCTGTTGAGCAGTGTCAGAAAATGACCTCGGGTCTGAAAACTGGACCTCTGGCTGTTTACAGCCCTCTGCCTCCTAGGCCCAAAGTGGAAAGATCTGTGCACCTGGTTTCTGTTGGGCATAGGAGCTATTTATGGAATAAGATGTGGGGGAGGAGGACCTGTCTCTAACCTACTGTACATCAAGCACAGCGCCCTGCACTTTCGCATGCATTCTTATTAAATCCTCTAAGTGCTAGATGCTTTTTATGGCTTTCGGTTTTATAAATGGGGTAGGGACCAACTGAAAGACAGGAAAATAAGGCCCTTGATGCCATTAATCTTTTATCCTCTTGCCCTCATTGGTATCTTCATCCCACCTTGGGTCCCAGTCCCCTCTCCTGTTCCCACACCACCTGTCACATGCAAGGGATGATGGCTGTCTGCTCCTGGGTCTATGCTTTGTGGAAGAAGGATGCTGTGGAGGGAGCATATCCAAGCTCTAAAGTGGCATTCTCTCCCACCCTTTGCAGTTCTGCCTCCTGGGGGCATTGCTGGCCCCCATCCGAGTGCTTCTGGCCTTTATCGTCCTCTTTCTCCTCTGGCCCTTTGCCTGGCTTCAAGTGGCCGGTCTTAGTGAGGAGCAGCTTCAGGAGCCAATTACAGGATGGAGGAAGTAAGTGAGGGATCAGCCCCCAGAGACCCTACTTCTCTTCCCTGCTGTCTATTCGGCTCCCTCTTTGAGAAGAAGAAAAGAGAGCATTCTGAAACTATTCTGTCTAGCTTGGGTAGATGAGATGAGTCAGCCAAGCTCAGACGTGGTTCCCAGACCTCACCTCTAAGTAATGTGCCCTGATAGGTCCCAAAGTGGCCAGAGACCTTGGCCCCTTGGTCACATCCTATTTAAGGGTAAAAGAGGGGTGCCCTACTTTCCCGGTGTCTGAACCTGGGGGCGGGTGAGGGTTAGAACCACTGCTTCCGCTGATACCCAGCCTTGCCCTGGCAGGACTGTGTGCCACAACGGGGTGCTAGGCCTGAGCCGCCTGCTGTTTTTCCTGCTGGGCTTCCTCCGGATTCGCGTTCGTGGCCAGCGAGCCTCTCGCCTTCAAGCCCCTGTCCTTGTTGCTGCCCCACACTCCACTTTCTTTGACCCCATTGTTCTGCTGCCCTGTGACCTGCCCAAAGTTGTGTCCCGAGCTGAGAACCTTTCCGTTCCTGTCATTGGAGGTGAGAGAGTTCAAAGGGGGTGAAGGGCAGGGTGACAACTCTGGGCAAAAAAAGTCAGGAATGGAGACACTGGAGTGAAGAACTGGCCTCAAAGTGGGGAGGGACTGTTGGCAAGTGAAATATAAATTAACACCATTAGTCAACCAGTCTTAGATTCTGAGGGCTGGGACAGAGAGAAGGTGTTGGAGGGAGTTCTGGTCAGTTCTCTAAAAGGACAACTACTATAAAGGGATTGTCCCAGGGCAAAGATAACAGGCCAGGCACGGTGGCTCGCGCCTATAATCCCAGCACGTTGGGAGGCCAAGGCGGGCGGATCACCTGAGGTCGGGAGTTCGAGACCAGCCTGACCAACATGGAGAAACCCTGTCTCTACTAAAAATACAAAAAAAGTAGCCGGGCGTAAAAAAAAAAAAAAAATTAGCCGGGCGTGGTGGCCCATGCTTGTAATCCCAGCTACTCGGGAGGCTGAGGCAGGAGAATCACTTGAACCCAGGAGGTGGAGTTTGCGGTGAGCTGAGATCGAGCCATTGCACTCCAGCCTGGGCAACAAAAGCGAAACTCTGTCTCAAACAACAACAACAGAAAAAAAAAAAAAAGAGATAACAGAAACTTCTCATGCTGTTGAGGAAGTGGAGGCTGCAGATGTTACTGCCCCTGGGTAGGAAAGAAGTGATTCCTCTTTGTATCCTTCCCAACCCCAGCCCTTCTTCGATTCAACCAAGCCATCCTGGTATCCCGGCATGACCCGGCTTCTCGACGCAGAGTGGTGGAGGAGGTCCGAAGGCGGGCCACCTCAGGAGGCAAGTGGCCGCAGGTGGGTAAGGGTCTCAAGACCATCTTCTCACTTTCCATGTGCTCCTGAAGAGGCTTCCCTTTCCTCTCTCCACAGCCTTCTTCAGTCTTCTTCACCTCATTCTGCTCTTTTTTACCCCAGGTGCTATTCTTTCCTGAGGGCACCTGTTCCAACAAGAAGGCTTTGCTTAAGTTCAAACCAGGTGAATAAAATGATAGTGGGTGGTGGGCTGTAGGAAAAAGAAGTTCCAGATTTGGGGAGGGACTCTGAAATAACCCAAGAAGTAGAAGAGGGGGAGGGATGGGAGAGGAAGGGAGACCAGGAACCTCCTAGCTAATGCTGTCAAGTCGAGGAGTCAGAGAGAAAATTATCAATGAGTGGAACAAAACCATATCTCATTTGAGAACTGTCCCAGACTGCCATACCTCATGCCCTCTAGCTACTTCTGTGTACTAACCTCTGCCTTGTGGGGGTGGGGGTGGAAATGGGATTTAGGAGCCTTCATCGCAGGGGTGCCTGTGCAGCCTGTCCTCATCCGCTACCCCAACAGTCTGGTGAGTCTTAGTCCAAGAAAGAGTGGAAAGGGGGAGCACAAATCCACCCCAAATGGAAATAAGTGAAAACTGTTGGTGCTTTAATGGGATGTGCATTGGGGGCTGTGACCAGAGGTGGGATCAGGCCCTCTGTTCAAAGGTGATTGGCCAGTTCCAGGGGGAAAAAGTAATGCTCTTATGCCCTCACCTGTGTTTCTCCCATAGGACACCACCAGCTGGGCATGGAGGGGTCCTGGAGTGTGAGTTCTGGTATTCCTGGGGGTGAGGGTGGGGAGCAGGGTCCATCAGAGAATTCCTGGCCCATCTTCCAATCTCCCGACAAGGTGAATGGCCCTTCTTCATCTGAGGACTGAGAGAACTCTAGAGGAGACACCACTTTCCCCCTGATGTCCCCATATAATCTGGCTGTGCTTAGATTAGCTATCCCACCTAAACTGTTCCTGCTGTGATTATGGCTGCTATGCATTTATCTTCCCATGTTTCTGTGATTTTCTCCCTCAATTATCCCTTCCTGAGAACCATCACCATCAGGCATGCCTCTCGCCTTTTTCTTCCATTACTCAAACCTCCTCTTGCCTACAGTTCTTCCTCTGGCATATCCATGCAGCTCTGCTCTCTTTCCCTACCGCGTTTCTGGCCGTTCCTTGTGTCTCCCAACTGCATATTCACCCACCTGACTGTATGGCTAGGAGTCTGTCCCTATTATCAATGGGCAGAACTTTTCCCACTCCCCACCTGGGTTGGGGAAGGGGAGTGGGGTGTGGGAGCCAGGGAAGGAGCCCATAGTTAGAGATTGGTGAGTATCGAAATCTCTCTTCTCTTAGACTCAAAGTCCTCTGGCTCACAGCCTCTCAGCCCTGCAGCATTGTGGATGTGGAGGTATGGCTCCCGTGGGGGCGGTGGGAGAAGTACATCTCAGACTCCTGAAACCTTGGGAAAAGAGGGTGGGAGTGGTCATACCTCACTTTGAGGTTCTGATAAGAATTGTGTGTGTCTGTGTTTCAGTTCCTTCCTGTGTATCACCCCAGCCCTGAGGAGAGCAGGGACCCCACCCTCTATGCCAACAATGTTCAGAGGGTCATGGCACAGTGAGTGCCCCACAAACTATTTCCTGGAGCAGTTGCACAGGGCAAAGGAACCACAGGGGCGTGGAGGGGGCGAGGTTTTCAGGCAAAGATCGAGGAGCAGGCAGTGGGAAGGGCTCTTGAACAGCTGAGACAGAGGCAGGGAGATTTAAAGGGGCCTGATCTACTCCAGTCAGCGGGCCAGGGTCAGGAACCAACCCTCAGAAGTTTCTTCTGCTTCCTTACCCTCCATCCCATCCCTCTTCATCCTGTAGGGCTCTGGGCATTCCAGCCACCGAATGTGAGTTTGTAGGGAGCTTACCTGTGATTGTGGTGGGCCGGCTGAAGGTGGCGTTGGAACCACAGCTCTGGGAACTGGGAAAAGTGCTTCGGAAGGCTGGGTAAGTGGTCTTGGAAATGAGGGTATGAGCAGTGTCACAGAGAGAGAGAGAGAGAGAATAAGAAGGGGAGAAATGAGAAGGAAGAAGGAAAATCTTAAAAATGAAAAAAACTGGGAAGAAAGATAATAGAATAAATAAAAGGAAGTGGGGAATAAATGGAAGGATATGTAATAATGCAGGTGAAAAAAGTAAGAAGGGGCCGGGCACGGTGGCTCACACCTGTAATCCCAGCACTTTGGGAGGCCAAGGCGGGTGGATCACCTGAGGTCAGGAGTTCAAGACCAGCCTGACCAACATGGCAAAACCCCATCTCTGCTAAAAATACAAAATTTGCCGGGTTTGGTGGCACATGCCTGTAATCCCAGCTACTTGGGAGGCTGAGGCAGGAGAATTGCTTGAACCTGGGAGGTGGAGGTTGCAGTGAGCCAAGGTCGTGCCACTGCACTCCAGCCTGGGTGACAGAGCAAGACTCCGTCAAAAAAAAAAAGAAAAGAAAAGAAAAAAGTAAGAAGTGCTCTCAAGGGACTGTGAGTCAGTACATCTTAGAAAAACAGCAGCTAAACCTGTACTGATAGAACTCTTGGTACTGGGGCTGAAGTCCTGCTGATGGTGTGTCCAGAAGGAAACTGAGACAGCTCTCTGCCTTCAACAATTCCATCGTAGGCTGTCCGCTGGCTATGTGGACGCTGGGGCAGAGCCAGGCCGGAGTCGAATGATCAGCCAGGAAGAGTTTGCCAGGCAGCTACAGCTCTCTGATCCTCAGACGGTGGCTGGTGCCTTTGGCTACTTCCAGCAGGTAAAGGAGCTGGAACAAAGAGCAGAGCAGAACCCAGGCTTCCCTCCAGGCTGACATGTTCCTAGTGGCCGTATCAGTCACTCACAGTTTGGAGTCCTCAGTGGATGTTCTCACAGCTGTTGTTAGATGGCCATCCCCTGAGATCCACTGAAGATTCATTTTTTAATCAGGCATCCAGTGCATTGAAGAGCAATGTTATCATCATGAGGAGGAACAAGGGAGAAATAATCAGTAAGGACTATAAATTTCTGAAACCACTTTAGAGAGTGGCGAAGGTGGGGAATCATAAGACCTTTTGGGGTGCTGGGTGAGGGTCTTTGAAGGAGAGTCATGAAGGTTACGTGGGAAGATGACATGTAGAAGAAACAACACCGGACAGTTAGATGGTTGAGAGCTTGAGACCCAGCTATATCTGTAGGACTTGGGCAGATTATTTTAAATATCCTATAGCTTCTCTAGAGGAATTTTCTCAAGATTCTTAGCAAGCCATGTATTTCTCAAGATTTAACCAAGTTCCCTGGTCAACTTCCAAAAATCCTAAAAGATTCTTAATGCTTATGAACAACCAACAGTGGTCCCAAGGAGCTTTTTGATCTGAGATGCAGAATGTGACCCTCAACATCCTCTGAAGGGACAGAGTGACCAGGTATCTAGATTCCTTAGATTGAGGCGGACTGTCCCCGAAAAGAGCTTCCCCCACTTGGCCTGTAGCAGAGCAGAAACAAAAATTCAAATGCCATGGTCTCCCATGGAGCTGGTACAGCAGGCATCCTCCTTGTGTTTTTCATAAGAAATTATGCCTGTGTCCCCCTTTCAATCTGTTGGACCAGTTCTTCTACATAGGCTGAGTCAGAGAGAACCAGTTTGTCTAGCCTGGGGACCAGGACTGCCCTCCGCTGGCATGTCAGAGACTTCATAGTAGCTTCAGCATTCCTGAGGGATTCCCTTACATTCCTAGGAGATCCCTTTATGGGAGGGCTTTGTCACCAGGTGACCTGATATAGCTTGAGAAAGCCTATGACCTGAGAGAAATTCCAGGGATCCTAAAGAGTTTGGAGCTCACAGTTCTGAGGGGAGCAGTCACAGGGATCACCCCCATTATTTGCTGAGAAGAGGGAGGAGTCAAAATCCAAAGAGCAGGAAGGGAGGCGCAGGGTCCCCGCATTGCCCTGGTTTCTTTTTCACACCAGGATACCAAGGGTTTGGTGGACTTCCGAGATGTGGCCCTTGCACTAGCAGCTCTGGATGGGGGCAGGAGCCTGGAAGAGCTAACTCGTCTGGCCTTTGAGGTAATGGGGGGTGGCGGTGGTGGGGGGTGCTTAGTGGCTATGCTCACCCCGCTCCAGGAGGCCTATTTTGGTATGCTGTTTCCAGTAGCTTCTAGATACTAGGCATTTGGTATCCAACCTAGTGCCACAGTGCCTAAAACTGCAGACCCCCGGCCTCTATGTTGAGACCTAGCTGGGCACAAGAAGAAGGAAGAAGAAGGAAAAAGCTATAAAGTCTACAGTTCTGCAGAAAGGGCACTGGAGGGTCAGGGAAGGCTTGTGCACCACCCTTTTGGAAGAGGAGGAGCCTGTCAGGCCAGTCTGTGGGGCAGGGTGAGGCCATGGCATGAGGAGAGAACTTGACTCTTATCCCTTTCTCTCCCAAGCTCTTTGCTGAAGAGCAAGCAGAGGGTCCCAACCGCCTGCTGTACAAAGACGGCTTCAGCACCATCCTGCACCTGCTGCTGGGTTCACCCCACCCTGCTGCCACAGCTTTGCATGCTGAGCTGTGCCAGGCAGGATCCAGCCAAGGCCTCTCCCTCTGTGAGTCACTGCCTTCTCAGCCCCACACGGGCACTTGGGGCACCATCAGCATCCAGGAAAGCACTGGGCTGGGAGGGAACAAGGGTTAGTGGCCAGTGCTGGAGATCAGAACCTATGAGAAGTAAGGCTGGGAGGAACAGGCTAGAAAGGAAGAGAGGACCTGAACCTGGATTTGAGAAGTTAAACAGAGTAGAGGCACAAGGTGTTTTAGTTCTGAGAAAAAAGCAGGGAGATTCTCTTCTCGTTCTTAGATCTTTTCACTTTTCCCCATCTCTTATTTGTCCAGGTCAGTTCCAGAACTTCTCCCTCCATGACCCACTCTATGGGAAACTCTTCAGCACCTACCTGCGCCCCCCACACACCTCTCGAGGCACCTCCCAGACACCAAATGCCTCATCCCCAGGCAACCCCACTGCTCTGGCCAATGGGACTGTGCAAGCACCCAAGCAGAAGGGAGACTGAGTGCCTCAGCCTCTCACCCCCTCCTCCTCAGGGCAGCGCTAGGGGCCTCCCCTATGCCTCAGCCCCATCTCTGCTCCTGTTTGAATTTTGTTATTGTTGTTTGGTTGTTGTTTTTTTAAGTTGATTTTAATTTTTTGTTTGGTTGATTTTTTTGTAAAAAACTATTTTATATATAAATATAAATCTATATCTATATCTATTAAAAAAAATGAAGTCCAGTCATATTGATGTTACCATTACTTGGGAAGGAAAGGGATGAATGGTTGTAGGACGCCCGTTGGAAAATCACAAATGTTTCCAAGGTTCGTCCTCTTGGCCATAGCTGGATGAATCTTCCTCTTCGGACAGGGCTCTTTCCTGCACAGAAATCATACTGAGGTTCCATATCCTCCCTCCTGCTGTCATCTCCTATATGTACATTTTAACAGACTTCCTCGTGAACCTCTTTTCAGCCCATTCCCTCTTGCTCTGTCCTCATTAAAGATTAAAAAATAGCTTGCTACCATTCCATATTTAATAATCCTACTGAGACTTGATTCCATCGCCCCTAGTGGAAGCAAGGAGCTGTGTCAGTAAGGAACCGGCCTCCTCCCTGCAGGTCAGACCAGCTACACAGGAGGGTTTCTCTGACACAAGATGAGTAAGGACACTGAAGTCCTTTCTGTTCAGCCTCTTTTCAAGGAAGAAAACAAGGCCCCCTAGAGACACAATTATGGACAATTAGAAAATTAGGCTGGGCATGGTAGCTCATGCCTGTAATCCCAGCACTTGGGGAGGTTGGGGCAGGCAGATGGCTTGAGGCCAGGAGTTCAAGACCAGCCTGGATGCTGTGGTGAAACCCCACCTCTACAAAAAAAAAAAAAAAATAGAAAAATTAGCTGGACATGCTGGTGCACACCTGTAGTCCCAGCTACTTGGGAGGCTAAGCTGGGAGGATTGTCTAAGCCCAGGAGGTTGAGGCTGCAATAAGCCATCGTTATGCCACTGCACTCTGTAGCTTAGGCTACAGAACGAGACCCTGTCTCAAAAAAAGAAGAAAGAAAATTAGATCTCTATCTCAGAGATCTAACAGGTAGAAAAGCATCTTTCTATCTATAGACTTCAAGGGAGGCAGATAATTATAAGATGCCCAGATAAGCCTTCCTGACACCAAGTCCAGGCTTGTGAAGAGGGGATGTATAATGTGATCATTGGAGATTCCTCAGTTTGGAGACTTATCACAGCCTGAGAGCCAGTCTGTTGCCAGGAGGAGGCTGCAGGGAGCCAAGATAAGGCTGGAGACAAGATTTATGGATTTGTAGAATCTAAGACTACCCCTACAGCCTTTCTTCATAGCATCTTAACCCTATCTAGCAGCAAAGACACGAGTACAGAAAAAGGGCACTCTGAGAGCATTTTCCAACAAAACACTTTATTCATTTTTTTTCTATATAGCTCCTTCCAAAGGTAATTCCCCCTGCAGCCTAGCCAGTCTGACCTCTCTCTCCATGCTTGCCACTTTTGCAGAACAACAAAACAACATTGGGATGAGATTCAACATTGGGATTCTCCATTGGTGGGCAGCAGGGGTGGAATCTACTCTGGGGCACCCACCTTTAGGGACTGGCAAGTGGGGTCAGATGGTCCCGCTGCTCCCTACTGGCTACGACGTCGTTTCTTCCTTCTGCCCGTGACAAAACTGTCACACCGCCTTTTACGAGGCTGTGAGGGTCGAACTACTCCCAGAGCTAGGGGTTTCTCCCTGGGGACCCCAAGTTGAGCTCCTGAGTGGGGTGTCTTTTCAGTAGGGGCTGGACCTCCAGCTAGAGCTCGCTTCCCAGACTTGGCAACAGGATATGGAAGTTTGCTGGGGCCTTTTGCTCCAGCAGGGAGCAGGTGGGATGCTCTCTGGCTGCCCTGACCTCCTGAGGCATGGTGAGGACTGAGGGGATGCTCCCTTGGTGAGAGGCTAAGTTTAGAGGCCAAGAGGTAAGCAAAGTTGGAGAGTTCCTCATCCTCTTCCTCTGCTTCCTTTTTCTTTTTCTCCTTTCCTTTGGCCCTGTCTGCTGACCTGTGTGTTTTACTAACAGAAGTTTCTCTCGGAACTATGGCATTCCTGGTTCCCCTTCTAGGCAAAGTGCTTCCAAGGCCCTGGTGAGAAGATGTTGCTTTGGGAGTCCCAGTTGTGTAAGACTCCTGACTCTCTTGTAAAGGAGCAAGGTTTTTAGGCTTGGACAGATCAGGATCCACCCTGCCTTCTCCTTGGGGGTCATAAGAATGAACATTCAGTGGGCAGGTGTCCTCGCTGACCCTTAGTTGGAGGCCACAGTCATCTTTAACATCTAGTATGTTGACAGGTTCTATGGTTTCCAACAGAGGAGAAAAGGAATTGCCTCTGCTCCCTGCCTCTTGACTGGCTTCAGGCAAGGAGGAGGCATCCTCAGTCCCCATGATAAGGAGATTGCCTTGGCATGTGGGTGGAAGGGTTTCTTTGGAAGACCCCAGTGTGGAATCACCACTTTCTAGCAATGGGAAGCAACCTTCTGCCCACAGATCACTGGGATGCCCTACGGTTTCACAGCTCTGTTCTTGATTTTCTTTGGACCTCAAGGGTGGGCTGTTGGCCCTCAAAGGTCCTGGCAAGCTGCAATAGTTTCTCTTTTCTAGGGCAGCTGCCGCAACTGTGCCTCCACAGGGAATCACACTGCTCTCCGTATCCCCAGGTACTAGGGTTTCTCCAGGACCCAGGGAAATGTTGCCCCTGGAGCCCAGTCCCTGGCAGCCTTCCTGATACTCAGTTACACACTTCTCAACTTGGAAGCTCTCTATGACCTCCTCTATTTGTACAGGCAGCTCCAAGCCTACAGCATCCATCTCACTGCTCAGCCAAACTCCTGGGCTGAGACAGACATCGTCCCTCTCCCCAGCTGCTCTAGGGGAAGGATTCTGATCATAACTCTGAGCCATGGGGGTACCTCTGTCATCTCCCCACATGGCTCCTGAAGAGCCTTCCCAGGGCACTGCTAAAGGCTCCTTCCCTTGAGGAAGCACTCCACGACCCCCTGTTTGTTGTCCTTTCTGCAATCCCAGGACTTGCTTTTCTAACCCTTGTCCTTGCAGAGGAGCCAGCTCTGCAAGTCCAGCATCCAAACTGGGAGTGCTCTCAGGCTGGAAGCCTCCCTGCCAACAAAGGGGCAGAGCCTCTGAAGTCCTATCAGCCACCAGGCAGTGCCCAGGAGGCCCAGCGCCTCCTAGATGGCCATCCTGATGTAGAGATACCTGGTTTATAACCTTCCCAGACCCTCTCCTCTCCACACCCAAGGGTCCCGGAGTTCCCTGTGGAGCTGCAAGTTCTGGCTGCAGGTCCCAGCTGCTGGGGGATGGCAGAGTGTTCCCATCCCTGTGCATCCCTCTGGGGCTATCTAGGGCTTGCTCCTGCCCACCATGCACTTCTCTTGCCCGTTTTCCTGAAGAAGAAACCTTTCCAAGGCAAGCGGCGCCCCCAGCCCCCTGAAGCCCAGGTGAGGGCCGAAGCCGCCCATCCCCATCTTCATCCTCAACAGAACCAGAAGGACTTGAGTCCAACTGAGCGCCACTGAAACTTGGAGGCGCCTCTGCATCTTCCTCCTCTTCCAAGGCCATGAGTCGCTTCTGGACCAGCTGAAAGAAATGAACAAATAGTCAGTTCTATACGTGGTTGTGAAAGAGGTGGCTGAGTGGGTGGCACAAGACGGTATTTGGGCAGGGCAAGGAAGGCAAGCAAGTAGTTTAAGCGATGGTAGCAAAGACAGATACTGCAGCTCTTTCCCACCTTCTTGTGCCTTATTCCCATGCTTTGAGCCCTTACATTCTCATTTCCTGTGTTTCCATAGCCCTCTACCTACTCGTTCTGCACCTGAAGCCCAATCCTGAAGCTGTTCATCTCTAGAGCCATATCACCCACGACAGTGTAGGGTTAGATAAAATCTTGCAAGCTTCTCGTTCTCATATTTCCTATACCCCAGTTTTACCTGGGCAAGAGTGAGTCCTTCTTCTTGCTCTAGCTCCTCAATTAAGGCCAAGGGATCTCTCTGTTTTTCTGGGGACAGCAGATCTGCCAGAAATTGAGGGTGAATGACAGCCTCCACCTGGATAACAGAAGGAAAAGCGATGTAAGTCTGTAAGCAGGTAACCTGTGAAACAAGGGGCTTTACAGAAGAAACTAAGAGCTCCCCAACTCTCCCCTCTTACCCCTCCGGTATTGTAAACTGACCACCACCGGCTACACACATTCTCATGATGATGCATGCACACACATTACTCAGTTATAGAATAAAACCTAAGTCCTACTGCATTGGACAAACCCCAGATCATTAGTTCCCGGGAGTACCCACCCCAAGGATCTGCTAGAAACAAGATGTGCAGGCCCAGCTCACCTTGGAGACAAAGACCTTCTGAGAACACAGCTCATTGATGTAGCTCAGGAGACCTGGATCTGGATACATCCCTTCCTCCTCCTGCTGCTGCCCTTCTTCCTCTTGTTTTCCATCTGACTCCCCAGTGGCCAAGTGAGTCCCCACCAGCCATTCCATGATGTCAACATACTCCTTCACAGCTTCTGGTGGGATCTCCTTGGGTGCCTCAGGAGCAGGAGGTCTCTGGGCTTTACGCTGACGCCGGCGGGGGGCCCGTGTCTTGGAGGCTGCCTTCTTCGGAATGTACACTAAGGGAAGAGATGGACAGGAGAATGGGAAGTAGCACAGAAACCACAGATTCTGCCTCCTTCGGAATGTACACTAAGGTAAGAGATGGACAGGAGAATGGGAAGTAGCACAGAAACCACAGCTTCTGCCTCCCAGCTCTGTAAGCTCAGCAATCTGGGTACATTGAAATGGTTCCAGGCTGGATTGGGCCAACCTGAAAAAGCGCCAGCCATGGGAGATTTAGGACCTAGAGGGTCTAAGAATCACTGTATGAGGAATTTTGGAATCCCTGAGATTCCAAGAAACCCCCTAATCCAGTCCCCATTTCTTAGGCAGATGAGGTATTATGTGCTGAATTTAGAGTCTCGGTGAGAGTAGTCAGTTTACTTCACCAAGATCAATACCTAGTTCAGGGCAAAAGGAACCTGAGAACCCAGCCTCCTATGGGGTGGTCTGTTTGGAATATCAAATGCCACTCTCCAGAGGGAAAGTGGCAGAGCCTGGGCTATGCCTTCTCTAATCTGTGACTGGCTTCTGTATGCATCCCTTTGAGCCTTTGGCCCACGGCTCCTGTCAAAATTGGGTAGCCTCACCTGGCTGCTGGCAAACCTCAGAGGCCAGGGGCCCTAGAGGATCAAGTTTCAAAGGGGTTGCAGGAGACAGGCCCTGAGACCCATTCATCAGCTGTGTGTTCTGAATCTGCATCTCCTCAGCCTCAAACTCCATGAACCTGCAGAGGGTGAGAAAGGCATAGGCAATGCTGAGAAGGAGACCAGACCCATCAGAAATCCAGACGACAGCCAAGCATGGCCAAGAAAGGAAGTGCTCTCAGGTGGGCAAAGTCTGCCTAAGTCATGTCACCCAGGAGGGTGGTCACAGGTGGCTTAATCGTATTTCCAGGGAAACTTCAGGAGCTCAGCACATAGTTCCTTCCCCTATAGTCATAACTTAGGAAGCTTAAGAAAATGAATGGCCAGGTGGGGTGGCTCATGCCTATAAACCCAACACTTTGGGAGGCTGAGGTGGGCAGATTGCTTGAGCCCAAGAGTTTGAGACCAACCTGGGTAACACGGCAAAAACCCATCTCTACAAAAGATACCAAAAAAATTAGCCAAGAGTGATGACGCGCGTCTAGTCACAGCTATTGTGGGGCTGAGGTGGGAGGATCGCTTGAGCTCAAGAGGTGAAGGCTGCAGTGAGCCATGACAGTGCCACTGCACTCCAGCCTGGGCAACAGAGTGAGATCCTGCCTCAAGAAAATTTTTAAAAAGTAAAGAATGAGGCCAGGCGCAGTGGCTCACGCCTGTAACCCCAGCACTTTGGGAGGCTGAGGCGGGCGGATCATGAGGTCAGGAGTTCGAGACCAGCCTGGCCAACATAGTGAAACCCCGTCTCTACTAAAAATGCACAAAATTAGCCTGATGTGGTGGTGGGTGCCTGTAATCCCAGCTACTCGGGAGGCTTAGGCAGGAGAATCACTTGAACCCAGGAGGCAGAGGTTGCAGTGAGCCGAGATCGTGCCATTGCACTCCAGCCCAGGCAACAGTGTGAGACTTTGTCTCAAAAAAAAAAAAAAAAAAAAAAAAAAGTTAAGAATGATCTAGAGCTTGTAAACTTCTCTTGGACACAGTGAGGGCTTTCAGTACTTGTTTTTGTTTTTGAGACAGAGTCTCACTCTGTCGCCCAGGATGAAGTGCAGTGGCCCAATCTCGGCTCACTGCAACCTCTGCCTCCCGGGTTCAAGTGATTCTCCTGCCTCAGTCTCCTGAGTAGCTGGGACTACAGGTGCGTGCCACCACGCCTGGCTTTTTTTTTTTTTTTTTGTATTTTTAGTAGAGACGGGGTTTCACCGTGTTAGCCAGAATGGTCTCAATCTCCTGACTTCATGATCCGCCCGCCTCACCCTCCCAAAATGCTGGGATTACAGGTGTGAGCCAATGTGCCCGGCCTCACTTGTTTTCCGTACCTATCTCACCCAGCTTCATGGATTGTACACAGCAGTGCTCAATATAGGCTTGTTTAACTTAATCAGGCCTATGCAACAGCCTGGTGGGATCTCACAGTGGGATCCTCCTCAAGACCTCATTTGCCCCTGCCTACAACCACAAAGAATTCAAGGCAGTTCCTACCAGGAAACAATGTGAGATCCCAGAGTCCTGAGACTGGGATGGGATTCTTGGAAAGGTAAGTCTAGGAAGCATGGGTCCAAAAGGTTTTGGGAGGGAGTAAGTGGAAGCTAAGCTTGGAAGAATCTGTTCATTTTTCTGAGTTTTTTCTTTCTTTCTTTCTTTTTTTGAGACAGAGTTTCGCTCTTGTTGCCGAGGCTGGAGTGCAATGGCACAATCTCGGCTCACCGCAACCTCTGCCTCCTGGGTTCAAGCGATTCTCCTGCCTCAGCCTCCTGAGTAGCTGGGATTACAGGCATGCGCCACCATGCCTGGCTAATTTTGTATTTTTAGTAGAGATGGGGGTTTCTCCATGTTAGTCAGGCTGGTCTCGAACTCCCGACCTCAGGTGATCTGCCTGCCTCGGCCTCCCAAAGTGCTGGGATTACAGGCGGAGCCACCACGCCTAGCCTTTTTTTTTTTTTTTTAATCAAAGATATTATAGAGAAATAGAAGAAGAGCCAGGAGACAACTTTGGGCATCCAGGACACTGGCTTTCCCCGGCTCTTCCAGAACCAGCCCCCTCCCTGGGATAAAGGCGGAAAGGGATTTTCTGTGCCACTATTTCCAATGGAGGAGTGGTCCTGAAGTTCTGTATCAATAGCCACTTGCTACCAAGTCAATGAGAAGAGAAAAGAACCTGCCTGGTAGAGCACACCTCCTCATTGCTAGGTCCCTTCAGCATGAAATTTCTATATCTATCGGGGTCCAATCTCCAATCCCATCCTAAGACCTACAATATCAAGGCTCCTATACAGATTCAGGATCTGGTGAGGGGGGAGCTTTCAAGAGGAAACAGGATAGAAAAACCCAAGAGTCAAGGTGGTGGAAGAAGAAGCAAGGATCCAGGAAACTGCCATCCTAGTCTACACCCCTCCTCCCGTCCCTTTTTTTCTTTTCTTTTCTTTTTTTTTTTTTTGTGATGAGGTCTTGCTATGTTGTCCAGGCTGGTCTTGAACTACTGAACCCAAACCATCCTCCCACCTTAGCCTCTAGAGTAGCTGGGACTACAAGCACACACCCAGCCTAACATCCCTTTTTTTTTTTTTTTTTTTTTTTTTTTTTTTTTTTTTGAGATGGAGTCTTGCTCTGTCACCCATGCTGGAGTGCAGAGGCATGATCTTGGCTCACAGCAACCTCCACCTCCCAGGTTCAAACGATTCTCCTGCCTCAGCCTCCTGAGTAGCTGGGACTACAGGCACATGCCACCATGCCCGGCTAATTTTTGTATTTTTTTTTTTTTTAGTAGAGACAGGGTTTCGCCATGTTGGCCAGGCTGTTCTCGAACTCCTGACCTCAGGTGATCCACCGGCCTTGGCCTCCCAAAGTGGTGGGATTACAGGCGTGAGCCGCTGCGCCCCATCCTAACATGGCTTTTGATAATCACCCCCACACAAGTCTCTCTGCGGCCCTTACTGCTCTCAGCCACACAGCCTCCCTCAGGAGAATGAAGGTTCATCGAACTCACCTTTCTGCCATCTCATAAAAGATCATCCGGTCAAAGTTGCTGGTGTGCTCCCACTCCTGCACAGCCAATGGCAGTCCCTCCTCCAGGGTCATAGTGGGCTTCAGCCGGGCCAGGGAACGAAGCACTGGGCTAAAACCCCCATTGAGTCAGTCACATTCTAAAAGTGTGCTCCCATCCACCTGCCCTGACACCTACATCAATAACACATCCCCTGCCCCTCATCAAATCTATTGTGCCCCTTAGGGCCTGTCGTGTCCCACTTCTGATTAGACTTACAGACGCTCAACCTCCCATCCATTCATCTACCATACTCGCCCCTCTTCCTGTTGAACTTTACAACTAATATAAAATCAAACAGACAATTCTTCTCCCCACCTTTTAAAATCAATGGCAACTACCACCCCTAATTATCACAGTGCCATCCTCAATTAATTATTAGAAAGGGAGGACTCGCGTTATTAAATGAATGGGATTTGCTATAAAGTATGTTTAACCTTGTCCAAAGGCTCTTGCATTTTTTCTTTAAAGGCATTTGCTAACCCAAAGGAATCTCTAATTAAAGGTCATGTGGTGTTTTTATTTATTGGTTTTTCAGTCTTTGTTTCCAGATATTCCCCACAGACAGTTAAATGCCAGTACTAGACCCCCACTTCTAGAGGGCTCTTGAGCCCTTCCTAATCCAGAAGAAATCAAGAGCCCAGCCTAAAGCAAGGGCTTCATTTTTGTCTCTCTGACTCCCTTGGAGTCCTCAGACATTATTGGGCATCAGAATCGCTTGGGGAAGCTCGTTATAATCAACTTGCAGCTCCCCAGGATCCCACAACTGAGCATTTTAGGAGCTTCCCATGTTGCAGTGGTCTGGACTGCCTCTTGTGGAAGACCCTGCCCAGAGCCCCTGAGTGTGAAGCACAAGCAGACCAGGACCCAAAGCAAATGGATCCCATGCAAACCTTGAGAGCCCACATTGGTTCAAGATTTTGAAATTTAGCCTGCTAGGCTCCAAGAGCGAACTCAGATCTGCCTTGAGAAAGCAGGGAGCCTGAAGACGCTGTACATCTAGGACTTTGGGGGAACATCTTGATTCATTTGCTCCAAGTTCGGGGTAGAGGGATTCCTTTAGGAGTTCAGCCACTGGAAGAGCACCATGTACATTTGTTTAAAGCAATAAAATGTGGTATGTGTTATATAGCGGCTTACACAAAATGCTGAGGGCACAGGGCAGTTGAGAGGGACAGTGGGTCTGGGTGGGAAGGGAAGACTGTTCCCCAGCTGAGGAATGACTGTTTTGTAAACAAAACAGCCTAGGACCCTGGGCTCCTTGACTAAACACACACTCGCTCTTAAGCAAGGACGTTTTGACCTTTTGCGAGTTCTTTTCCTCTTCTAGATGGCCTTTTTAGGATAATAATAAAACAGTTGACATTTAATGAAACATTCTCTGCGCCAAGGACTTCACATATATTAACCCATTTAATCTCCTCAGCAACTCTGTGAATTAGGTATAGTTATCCCCCTTTTTAACTGAGAAAACTGAGGGCAAAGATGTTAAATGTCCTGCCCAGGATCACAAATCTAGTGAGTGGTAGAGCCATGCCCTTGACCACTAAGCAAGCTCTACCCACCACCCTATTTCAAAGTGAATTCTCCTGAATAAAATGAGTGGAGGGAGCAGAGGGAGCAGCACACACAAAGTCCTTTGCCTGGCCCCACACTGTTCCCCCTGCCACCCAGGGCCCTGAGTTAGGGTCCAGCACTCATCCTGGCTAGTTTGGATAGTTCTGACTCAATGTCAAAAGGTAGTAAAATAGAACGGGGGGAGGACCCTGGCACTTAGAGTGAGAGACCTAAGTTCCAATCACTGGTCCTTGGTTTCAGTCTTCTTATCTGTAAATGAAGATTACCAGAGGAAGGCTTGCCTGAACTCACAGTGTGGTGAGGATCACTTAAGATAAGACACCTGAAAGGTTGTTATAAACTAGGAAGTGGGTTAAGAGGCTGATTATTATTATTAATATGTTTTTCATTCTCAGAGCATCTCCCTTGCCCTCATGACCTTCCCTCAAGTAGTCCTAAACAGCCTAAACTACTATGTTCACCCCAAAGTCCTCCTTATTTAAAAGCCCTAGAATAATTAATCTCCGGTCTCCCCACTTACATAAGAAAACAGGAAAGAGCTTCTGTGTCAGGACTCTGGGATAGGTGCCTCCGGGCCAAGGCTTTGTAACGCTGCCACTGACGGAAGTTCTCATAAACGTCCTTGGAAATTTTGGAGCGGTCACCTAGGGAAGGCTTGGATAGAGTGGCCACAGGACCTCCTTCCCCGGTTGTCCCATGTGGCCCTGGCCAAGCTTTTTCCAGGGGCACAATGGGGACCAGTTGAGCAACTGGTGGTGGAGGCTGAGGCGGAAGGCCTGGAGGACCCTCCTGGCTGACACCAACAGCCTTAGAGGGCAGAATGGTCTTCACATTAGATGCTGTCACAAATGGAGGTGCAGGACCCTCAAGGCCTCCACAGGGAGTGCCCGGGGCAGTCGAATTGAGGGCAGTCTGAGTAAGGATAAAGTTCTGAGTTTGAGAGGGCTCAGCTGACCCCCCTTCTGTCTTGACTTTGACAATGACCTTGCCAGCCCCAGCCCCACTGAGGCAAGGGCCCCCATCCCCTGTCACCAACAGTGAGCTGGGGAAAGCAGAGAGCATCAGAGGGTTGTCTGGAGAGAATACTGAAGGCATGATGGGCTGTGGAGGTGGCTCCCTGGGTGGGTGGTCTGGTGGGTCAGAAGTTGGTGGGAGAAAGGGAAGTGCAGGGGATGGAGACGGGGCGGCACTAGGTTTCATGCTCATATCCGGTCCCGGCAATGCAGATGCTGTTGAGACAAAGAAAAAGAAGAAATGGAGTAGGAGAAAAGAAGACCAGAGTTAGCCATCTGAATTCCCCATTTTTTTATTTTTATTTTTATTTTTATTTTTATTTTTATTTTTTGAGATGGAGTCTCGCTCTGTCGCCCAGGCTGGAGTGCAGTGGCACAATCTCGGCTCACTGCAATCTCCGCCTCCTAGGTTCATGCCATTCTCCTGCCTCAGCCTCCTGTGTAGCTGGGACTACAGACGCCCACCACCACGCCCGGCTAACTTTTTGTATTTTTAATAGAGACGGGGTTTCACCGTGTTAGCCAGGTTGGTCTCGATCTCCTGACCTTGTGATCCGCCTGCTTCGGCCTCCCAAAGTGCTGGGATTACAGGTGAATTCCTCCTTTATTTTTAAATTTTTTTGTAGAGGCCGGGCACGGTGGTTCATATCTGTAATCCCAGCACTTTGGGAGGCCAAGGTGGAAGGATTGCTTGACTCCAGGAGTTTGAGACCAGCCTGGGCAACATGGCAAAACCCTGTCTCCATTAAAAATACGAAAATAAGCCAGGTGCGGTGGCATGCACCTGTAGTCCCAACTACTTGGGGGGCTGGGGTGGGAGGATCGCTTGAGCCCAAGAAGTTGAGGCTGCAGTGAGCTGAGATTGCGCCTCTGTGCTCCAGCCTCGGTGACAAAGGAAAACTCTGTCTCAAAAAAAAAAAAAGAAAAATTGTAGAGATGACGTCTCGCTATGTTGCCTAGGCTAGGCTCAGACTCCTGGCCTCAAGTGATCCTCCTGCCTCAGCCTTCCAAAGTGCAGAGATAACTGGTGTGAGCCACCACACCCCATCTGAGTTCTTCTTTAGACCCGAAGACTCAAAGCACTGATTCTCAACAGGTGAAAGAGGGGATATGGATGGGGAACTTGCATAGTTTGCAAATGTCCCCCAAGTGATTTTGATCTTACTTCTCGTTGAGAATGACTGCATTAAAGAAGTTGCTTCTTTTTCAACAAGACACACAGACCCCTATCTGCCAAGAAGAGACAAGCCCAAGCCATCACTGCCTCTAAGTGCTGCTTTTTTTTTTTTTTTTTTTTTTTTTTAGATGGAGTCTTGCTCTGTGGCCCATTCTGGAGTGCAGCAGCACGATCTTAGCTCACTGCAACCTCCGCCTCCTGGGTTCAAGTGATTCTCCTGCCTCAGCCCCGCAAGTAGCTGGGATTACAGGCACGAACCACCACATCCAGCTAATTTTTGTATTTTTAGGACATACGGGGTTTACGCCATGTTGGCCAGGCTGGTCTCAAAAACCTGACCTCAGGTAATCCACCCGCCTCGACCTCCTAAAGTGCTGGGATTACAGGCATGAGCCACCGCACCCGGCCCAAGCAGAGGCAGTTTATAATACATTCCAGCCTAGTTTTCAGGAAGGCATTTCTCTGCAACAGATAACTACAGATTATCTTTTCCCACTAAGGTCCTTCCCACCTTACCCTCCCATCCTCCATCCTCCACATCCCCTTCCCCTCATAAGCTCAAGCATGGCAAAATCCTAGAACAGGCTCCAGTTGCCTAAAAAAGACAGATGAACTTGGGCCTTCCCCCTTGAAACCTCTCTGTGCCAGTCCTAAGACACATACCCCTGATCCTCTCTCCCACCACAAAAACACATGCGGAAGTGTCCCCTGTTCAAGAGAATCAAGTTGCTAATTGCCATCCTTTCTCTATACTCAGCATGTGTCCTCAGAGACACCTTAATCTGTCCTTAAGGAAGTCCTCTTCCTTCCCCAGCCCCTAGTCTTAAAGGTACAATCTCCTTCCCTAGCCTCCCCAAGTGTGATACCTTTGACGGGGTGTAGCACCTCACATTCCTTTAGGTCAGCCCAGAGAGCTTGTCTCAAAGGATATGAGCAGGTACCAGAAATCCTCCTCACCACCTGCAGACTTACCTCCATCTGAAGCCATCCTCTCAGGTTTGGGCACTAACTGTGGCTGTCTGGAAGCCTCCAGAATGAGGCAGTCAGGTCCAGGACCCAGAGTAACCTGGCTCCAGTAGGTGCACAGGGATCCAAGGAAGGGAAGGTAAAGATCAGATCACACAGAACTAGAATACGGAACTCAAGGCATTCTGCTGTGGGGGAGGGGAGAGGGAAAAGTGGGGTGAGGGTGGGGACAGATATTCCATGAAGGGTTCTAGTAAGTATGAAAAAACCAGGAATTCCCTTCAAACTACAGTTTGGCAACACAATTGATGTTTGCCTCTTTAGGGCTATTTGTAAACTTTTTCTCAGATTCCCAACACATTACAGTTTTACCGTTTGGTTCACTACACTTCGATTCTTCACCAACATATCTCATTTTGTGTCCTTCCATCCCAGCCAGTTCTGTAACTGACTTCCTATTAACAGCAGGTTGACTGTAGACCCCTGACTTAATTCAATGATGGCTATATTTTCTGAACTAAATTCAGAGTACATTGGTCTATACACGTAAGGATCAAGGGAACTAAAGTTTAAAATTAGAATTGTCAGATGATCCAAGGTGCTCGATTGCTGTGTGCACATCATTTCCTTGGAAAGCTGTCCAATCTACTAACATAGGCTCTGTACTCCACAGACGCCTTACCCTTTGCTGAAAAGCCTCACTAAATAAAAAAGCTGCCATGCAGTTTAAAATTTCAAGAGTAGAAAGTCCTTCTTTTTGTTAAATTATTTTGGTTTAAACTTTAAAAATAAAATTTATCTGCTAAGGTTCCTGGCGACTATTTCAGGCCAGTAACTCCCAGAGCATCCTCTACAGCCACAGCTTCATCCAAACGTGGATTTCCCCCAAAAGGCCTTCCCTGGGGTTCATGGCATCTTTCTTGCTTCCTCTGAGATATCTTTTCTCTTTTCTAAAGACCTGAAGGCTAAAATCATCATTTTCCTTTCTAACAAAATTAACTACTTAGATTTAAATTTTTTTTTTTAAACAGAGTCTCGCTCTGTCACCCAGGCTGTAGTGCAGTGGCGTGATCTCTGCTCACTGCAAGCTCCGCCTTCCGGGTTCACGCCATTGTCCTGCCTCACCCTCCTGAGTAGCTGGGACTACAGGCACCCACCACCATGCCCGGCTAATTTTTTGTATTTTTAGTAGAGACGGGGTTTCACTGTGTTAGCCAGGATAGTCTCGATCTCCTGACCTCATGATCCGCCCGCCTCAGCCTCCCAAAGTGCTGGGATTACTAGGCGTGAGCCACCGTGCCCGGCCTTTAAAAAATTTTTAACAGGTAATAAATACATTAGCAAGGTTCAAAAATCAAACTGCGTAATAAAATACATAGCAATAAGTCTGCCTCCCAACCCTTACCCCTTTCTCCTGCAACTAAGTTCTCTATCCCAGAGGAAACCAGTATCATCTGTTTCTTGTGAATACTTGCAGAGATTTTTTATGCAACTACAAGTAAATACAAACCATATTCTTTTTTTTTTTTTTTTTTTTTTGAGACAGGATCTCGCTCTGTCGCCCAGGCTGGAGTGCAGTGGCGTGATCTTGGCTCACTGCAACCTCCGCCTCCTGGGTTCAAGTGATTCTCCTGCCTCAGCCTCCCGAGTAGCTGGGACTACAGGTGCCCGCCACCACGCCCCGCTAATTTTTGTATTTTTGGGGGTTTCACCATATTGGCCAGGCTGGTCTCGAACTCCTGACCTTGTGATCCACCCGTCTCAGCCTCCCAAAGTGCTGGGATTACAGGCGTGAGCCACCGCGCCCAGCCACAAACCATATTTTTTTTTCTTTAAGACGGACCCAGGCTGGAGTGCAGTGGTGCTATCTCAGCTCGCTGCAACCTCTGCCTCCCCGGCTCAAATGATTCTCCTGCCTCAGCCTCTGAAGTAGCTGGGACTACAGGCGCCCACCACCACGCCCGGCTAATTTTTCTGTATTTTTAGTAGAGACGGGGTTTCGCCAGATTGGCCAGGCTGGTCTCGAACCCTTGACCTGTGATCTGCCTGCCTCAGCCTCCCAGTGTTGGGATTACAGGCGTGAGCCACCGCGCCCCGCCAAACCATATTCTTAAAAAAAAAAAAAAAAAAGTGCAGGTTTTTCTGGTTACACAGTTAATATATATTCCAATGCTTTTGTCATTGTAAATAATGGCGTAACGATGATCTTTGTAATGATATTTTGGTTCTCATTTTCATTTCTTTAAACGAGAGTCTTATAAGGAGAACTTCTATATTCTTTTAAAAATTGTAAAAACTCCTAGAAGGTGCACTTTATTACGTTATTATTAGCTACTCACCACCATAAGAAAGAGCGCTGAATTTGCGGTAGGGACCTAACTTTAAATCTTGGTTCGACCGCTGAAACATGCTTCACCAGTTTCATAAAATAACTTTACGCTCTTTCGCTTTACGGAATATTGATACTCAACATGCATTCTTTACCGCCAACGCTTTGAAATGGAGCAGGGGAACTGGATGTAAAAGAGGGGAGGGAAGAAAACCTCTTCTTTCTTCCCTAGGGTAAAGGGGCTCTGAATCCTGGAGCCCTTGTTTCTTCAGGCATTGAAAACTCACTGCTCCTGAAATGGGTGTGTATCTTGAGACAAAGACAGGCTTCTATACGTCAATATTCTATCCACATCCATCCCTACCCCCCTCTAACGCCGTGTACCTAGCACACAGTAGGGACACTCCACGTGTTTTAGCCTGCAAAGTTGCAAGTAGGGCCCCAAGCCAAGCCCTGCTCTCGTGCGCCCCCTTCTGGCTAGCTGAAAACAAGGCAAAAATTGACTACATTTTCCGGAGTGCCAGGAGAGAGAGACTTCCGGTTATGCAGGAAGGAAATTGACGAACACGTGACGCGGTCGGGCGGACCACTGCAGACTGAGCGGTGGACCGAATTGGGACCGCTGGCTTATAAGCGATCATGTTTCTCCAGTATTACCTCAACGAGCAGGGAGATCGAGTCTATACGCTGAAGGTGAGGAGAGAAAACAGGGTGTAAATAGGCATGGCGAGAAATGTAGATGGGAGGAGTGGGTGAGGTCATACGTGGAGTTACCTAGCTGGGTGCGGGGAACCAGAAAGTCCAGAACCGAGGTGGGGAAGAACCGGGACCGCGCGACTCATTTTTTAATTAAAAGAAAAAATTCTGGCGGGGCGCAGTGGCTCCCGCCTGTAATCCTAGCACTTTGGGAGGCCGAGGCGGGTGGATTGCCTTAGCTCAGGAGTTCGCGACCATTCTGGGCAACACTGTGAAACTCCGTTTCTACTAAAATACAAAAAATTAGCCGGGCATGGCGGTGTGCGCCTGTTATCCCAGCTACTCGGGAGGCTGAGACAGGAGAATCGCTTAAACCCGGGAGGCAGAGGTTGCAGTGAGCCGGGATAGCGCCATTGCACTCACTTTTCCTTTTTTTTTTTTTTTTTTTTTTTAAAGACAGGGACTCGCTTTGTTGCCTAGGCTGTAGTGCGGTGGTGCGGTCTCGGCTCACTGCAACCTCCGCCTCCTGGGCTCAAACAATCCTTCTGCCTCAGCCTCCCGAGTAGTTGGGACTACAGGCGTGCGCCACCATACCCGGCTAATTTTTGGTTTTGGGGTTTTTTGTTTGGTTGGTTGGTTTTGTTTGTTTGTTTGTTGTAGAGACGAGGTTTCGCCATATTGCCCAGGCTGGTCTCAAACCATCCTCCCGCCTCGACCTCCCAAAGTGCCAGGATTACAGGCGTGAGCCACCGCGCTCGGCCTTTTTAAATTTTATATTTCTCTATTTATTTGTACAACTTTTTGAGTTGACCATTGCATCTTCTATTTTCATGTTTGCCCTTTTTCGCGCTGGCCCCACCCCATTTCATCACTCCTGTACTGACATACATTCTGTGTTCCTGGAGCAGAAATTTGACCCGATGGGACAACAGACCTGCTCAGCCCATCCTGCTCGGTTCTCCCCAGATGACAAATACTCTCGACACCGAATCACCATCAAGAAACGCTTCAAGGTGCTCATGACCCAGCAACCGCGCCCTGTCCTCTGAGGGTCCCTTAAACTGATGTCTTTTCTGCCACCTGTTACCCCTCGGAGACTCCGTAACCAAACTCTTCGGACTGTGAGCCCTGATGCCTTTTTGCCAGCCATACTCTTTGGCATCCAGTCTCTCGTGGCGATTGATTATGCTTGTGTGAGGCAATCATGGTGGCATCACCCATAAAGGGAACACATTTGACTTTTTTTTCTCATATTTTAAATTACTACAAGATTATTAAAGATAAAATGATTTGAAAAACTCTTATTTTGTGAGTTGTTGGAGGAAAGGATTGGCAGTATTTTTTTAAAGGGAGGGAGATGATAAAGGAGAGTACCCCAGAGAGTTGCAACAATACCACTTGGAAGAAAAACTTCAGTCCTGCTGTTGCAAGAGTGGTCATGTGCTGTTCATGATAGGAGGGTATTGGGGAAGAAAGATTAAGACTTTCACAGCTGTCAGCATTCACTGAAAAATACCTCTGTTGTCACTTAACGTAATTTCTTGTCCCTTGAAATAAGATTTTGATTAAAAATGGAAGAGTACTTGTAAAAGTAATAGGCATATTACAGACAGAGGTCAGTGAATTGAAAGTCAGAAGACCAGTATTTGCTTTTTGTATAACTTTGAGAAAGTTACTTAACCTGTTTAGTCTGATTTTTCTCCTGATTAACTTATCTTTGAACTCAAATTGATTTAGTGGTGGGCCTTTCTTTTTTTTTCTTTTGAGACAGAGTCTAGATCTGTTGTCCAGGCTGGAGTGCAGGGGTGCAGCCTTGGCTGACTACAACCTCCGTCTCCCAGGTTCAAGCAATTCTCCTGCCTCAGCTTCCCAAGTAACTGGGATTACAGGTGCACGCCACCACACCTGGCTAATTTTTGTATTTCTTTTAGTAGTGACAGGGTTTCGCCATGTCGGCCAAGCTGGTCTCAAACTCCTCACCTCAAGTGATCCACCCACCTCAGCCTCCCAAAGTGCTGGGATTACAGGCATGAGTCACCACACCTGGCCTGGGTCTTTCTTTTTTTTTGAGATGGAGTTTTGCTCTTGTACCCCAGGCTGGAGTGCAGTGGCGCCATCTTGGTTCACTGCAACCTCCGCCTCCTGGGTTCAAGCTATTCTCCTGCCTCAGCCTCCCGAGTAGCTAGGACTACAGGCGCACACCACCATGCCTGGCTAATTTTTGTATTTTTAGTAGAAACAAGGTTTCACCTTGTTGGTCAGGCTGATCTCAAACTCCTGACCTCAAGTAATCCGCCCGCCTCAGCCTCCCAAAGTGCTGGGATTACGGGCATGAGCCACCTTGGCCGGCCTAGTGCTGCAGATTTTAAAATTGCTTTGTGGAGTCTGTATTTTAATTCTGCAATCTTTATTTTCTATGATAAAAATTCTAGATTCCAGAAGCAGATATAACTTAAATTAGCACAGATGTGATTTATGAAGACATACCCTGGAAATACTTTTTTTTTTTTTTTGAGTCAGGTCTCACTCCTGTGGTCCAGGCAGGAGTGCAGTGATGTGATCACAACTCATTGCAGCCTCTACCTCCCTGTCTCAAGCGGTCCACCCCATTTTTAAATTTTTTATAGAAACGAGGTCTCACTATGTTGCCCAAGCTGGTGTTGCACTCCGGGCTCAAGCTGTCCTCCTGCCTTGGCCTCCCAAAGTGTTGGGATTACGGGCGTGAGCCACAGTGCCCGGCCAGACTTTGCTTTTCTTGGATCTTGCTATTTGACCATCCCAGCAGAAAAGTTCAGGATAGTTGTGGGTTGCTGAAAAGAAAAAAAAAAGTCTCTCAACTGGAGTCATAATTAATAGAAGACAGATGATTTTGAAATACATTACTGAAACATATAGGAATGGTGAAATGAGATACTTGTTTCCTGTCAAGGAATTTTATTTCTTAGCCTGTTCACTTACTTGCAGGGTTCTTAACATTGGATCTGAAGGATTTTAAAGAGTTAACTTAGAGAAATTGTGAAATGGGATACTTGTTTCCTGTCAAGCAATTTTATTTCTTAGCTTGTTCACTTACAGGATTGGATATAACATTGGATCTGAAAGATTTTTAAAAGTTATCTTATCCAATTAAGGGGATAATGATTGGAGACATGTTTCTTAAGCACCAAAGTCAGTAAGTGAATTTTGCTACCAGTTTTTTAATGTTGGCTGCAGTTCTGCCTTTATCTTACAAAAAAGAAAAAAAAAAAAGAATTAGCATTGCTCCATGCTACCACCTGTGTAGACTTAAAAGCTTTAACCTGAAAATATTCCTAATGAATATAGAGGAGAGAAAGCAAACTGGCATGAATATAAAAAGGACTTTTTCCATAAGAGATCCCCTGAGGAATGAGGCTTCATTTTGCACCAGAGGCTGTGTCTCCCTGAGAAAATAAAGAGATCCCTGGGGTATTAACGTCTGAGACATACATTTATAGAGCTTGGTTAGTGCTCAGAAACAAGAAAAGTCTTAACAGGGATAGTATATTGGAATTAGGTGGTACATATAAGTAAATGCAGATACACTGGTAGGAAATTGGGTTTCATAAAAATTCTGTGTTTCTTTATAAAGGAAAAGTCTGAAGTTTGAATGAACGGCAGGCCTGCCTGAGGAAAAAATTGATCCTGCTGAGGATGGATGAAAGCTGTGGGCCTGAATCAAGAAACCCAGACTTTATAAAGAGTCAAACTTTAGGAGGTTTACACTTTACATTAGGATTTCTCATTTTGTTACCAGGATCTTTTTAACCTTTTTGATCCTTTAATCCTTGAAAGGATTTGGACTTTGTGTGTCATTTGATAAAAGAGAACTTCCGGGAATACAGTTCCCATTGCTAGGAGTGCTGCTTAAACATAACCACTTGTGAGGAGCCAAGACCCCAGGCAAAACCGGGGGCCAGTTTCTGGGCCCAGGTGATTGTTAAATTTAGAGGTCTTGATCACAGCTATAGGAAATAGCTTTTCAAACAAAACATTGGTGAGTCAGAATTTATCGAACACCACCATTTATACATTAAATAAACACTAAGAAAAAATATTCTAGCGACAAATGTAGTGGTGAAAACATGGAATGGATTTGAGAAAATACATCAACGTCTTCTCCAGGTATAAAAAAACGTATTATTTAGTGGAACTTTCAGTCTGACTAGAAAGTGGACATAGCATTTATTAAAAGGACAAGAACAACAACAAAAAATTAAAGTAGGACAAATGTGTTTAAGGTACTTTATAGTTTTATTTTTATTTATTTATTTCTTTGAGACGGAGTTTTGCTCTTGTCCCCCCAGGCTGGAATGCAATGGTGCGTTCTCGGCTCACTGCAACCTCCGCCTCCCAAGCTCAAGCGATTCTCCTGCCTCAGTCTAAGGAATAGCTGGGATTACAGGCACACGCCACCACGCCCGGCTAATTTTTGAATTTTTGGTAGAGACGGGGTTTCGCTATGCTGGCCAGGCTGGTCTGGAACTCCTGAGCTCAGGTGATCGATCACGCCCGCCTCAGCCTCCCAAAGTGCTAGGATTACAGTCGTGAACCACCGCGCCAGGCCTACTTTATAGTTTTAATTTTTTTTTTTTACATAAAAGTGGTTTATTTGTATGTAGACCTCTACATAAAAATTACAATGAGGGTTATTCCCAGGTATAGGAGCGGTGTTTCTGGTTAAAGAAATCATGAATGATGTTTTCAGAGACACTCATGAAAGAGAAATGGCTCCCCGGGTTCTGAGGGTGAGGAGCAGCGCCCGCCCTCTAGGATGCTTCCAGAGTGAGTGTGCAGCACAGCCGGACCGAGGAAAAGGATTATTCCCCTCTTCACGCGGGTCGGGCCGTGCCCTGGACTACAGCTCCCGTCGTGCCCCTGGCCACTCGTATTCGGCCCCGCCCCGCCTGCCGTGTCCCGCGGCGAGCGCAGGCGCGCTGCACTCGGTCACCGCGGGCTGCGGCGGCTGGGCGGGGCTTTCGGGCGCCCGCGGGACGGTTCCGCCCTCTCACTGCACCCCCGGGCTTCTCTTCGCAAGGTTCACCTCGAATGAGGAACAAGCGGGGAGGGAAGGGAAGGGCTGCGGCGGCGCGGGCGCACCCCGTCGGGCCCGGGGCTGGGGGAGGCCAGGTCACGTAACTGCTGCTCTGGCGTCGGGCCGGGGAGGGGGCGCCAGCCCCGGCAGCGCGAACCCTGCGCGCGCCGCGGCTCTGAAACAGTTACCGGCTAGTAAACAACAGCTGCGCGCGCACCCGCATCAGCTGGCGCCGGGATACTGCACCTGCGACCTCCTTCTCCCTCACCCTGCTGCCCAGTCAGGCCAGCCTGCGTGGCCGTCTCCTCCTCTACTGGGACCCTGAGGAAGAACGACGAGGGGGTGACCTGCGCCGGGGCGGGGGTAGGGGAGAACGCGCCTCCGGCAAAGGGGGTGGCTCGTCCTGTCACACGCAGGAGAAACCTAGCGAGCGGACCGTGGCTCAGTGGACTAGCTACGACTTGCCACGACTCTGAGCTGCAGTCCGAGGTGTCTTGATCCGCTAACCTCCTCCCAGACCCCGAGGACCTTTCTGCTAGGAGAAGAGCGGGCGCGCCACCCCCACCGACCTCTCGGAGACAGGAATCCGCTCTGCCCCTGCATCCTCCTCTGCTCACCCTTCTCTCAGTAGTGTGGGTTATTTTTCCCGTTATGCATGTGCACCTTTCCCACCAGACCCAAGTGGATTGTCGACATCAAAAACACCGGGTGGCTTTGCATACACCTCCCCCCAGCCAGACCTGTGGGGTATTCACCTGATACACAACAGGTGGCCGGGTGTACACCTTTTAGCAATCTGATCCACGCTATAGTCGCCTGATAAAGGTTTGCCTGCACGCACTTCGCCCAACTAGAACCGTGGGACACTCACCAGATAAAGGACTACCTCGACAGGAAACTGGGGGCTGAGGGGAGGGAGGCTTCATCTGCTGCCCTGAGACCATGGCACTGAGCCTTCAGCCCCGGACCAGAGGGGTTAGCTAGGTAGCTCTTCATTCTGAAGGAAAGAAGTCACACAAGATTGGCATTGTTTTGTCTTTTTGTTTTTTGTTTTTTTCTCTCTTAAAAAATATATTCACCTATTGGTGATGCACTTTCTAGGACAGTCGGCTTGAATTCTGAGTAGAAGTATTCTTAGTTGGGGCTTTTTGTGTGGTGTGAATCAAGGTTATTGAAATGTGTTATTTTTCAAGTTATCTTTTGTATTGCAGTCAAAAGTAGCTAGCGTAAGAGGAAGATTTTGCGAGGTTCCCCCCACTTTTTTTGTTCTTAAAAAGAACAAAATGCATCCTCCAGAAACCACCACCAAGATGGCTTCAGTTCGGTTCATGGTGACACCGACAAAGATCGATGACATTCCAGGTTTGTCAGACACCAGTCCGGACCTCAGCTCTCGATCTAGTTCCCGAGTAAGATTTAGCTCCCGGGAAAGCGTGCCTGAAACAAGCCGGAGTGAGCCTATGAGTGAGATGTCTGGGGCCACCACTTCGCTGGCAACTGTTGCACTGGATCCACCCAGTGACCGGACTTCTCACCCCCAGGATGTCATCGAGGGTAAGTAGAAACACAGACCGCAGCATACTTTCATTACTGGGTTCTTTATCCAAGATGACCATCTATGGATCTGGAAGATCATAATCATATAATTATGATTATAATAGTCATCAGGAACCAAGGCATCTCTTTGTGAGATGCTTAGGAACTCTTTGGAATAATAGCATAGTGGCTCTTTGCAGTAGTAATTTGGTATGTGGGAAGGTGTATGACAAGAAGGAAGGCAAATGTATATTTTAACTTCCTCATTTTTGTCTTCTTAGAAATGAAATGGGTATTTTGGTTAAAAGTGAATATCAAAGAATGTAATCGTTTTCAGCACACAGAATCCTAAATTTTAAAATTTAGTGAGTTGGATATGTGTTCTGTAGCCATCATTGGCTATTTCAGTCTGCTTTAAGACTGGTTTCATGGAGTAGTTACTGGTCGTATCTTAGCAGCTTTCCTCCAAGACTTCGAATGTGTATTGCAAAATTCTTTTTTGAAATCTGTATTTTTATGGAGACCTTGACACAAGTAGCTAAGCCCACTCAGGGTGATGGTGGGTAGACCTAATGTGCTATTCTGTCAAATGGAAGACTTCTGAAAAGGCTTTTAGGGCCTGATTCCCATGTAATTTATTCTCTCTGAGCTTTAGATGGAAAGTCTGATGATTAGAGTTAGCAGGTAGCACACAAGCCACTCCTGGCTCATGTTGACTGCTACAGACCTTTAGCTTCCTAAACCAGTTTGTGTGTGTCAGCTGGCTTGGTTTTATTTGAGGTACTGGGAAGAGGTGATGGAAGAGAGAGAAGAGAGAAAATGGGGAGATCATAACATTTTTTGGACTCTGAAATTTAAAAGTTTGAGACCTGTACTGCTTTATATATTTAGTTTTATGCTGTGTTGTAACTAATGTAATCTTTTAATGATAAAAATTTCCCTTAAAGACTCTTAAAATAATATTCCACCCAAGTTTGAAAACCATAGCCTCACCCACTGACTTGTGAAAGCAAGGCTTACTCACCATTTTCCGGTGTCAGGAAATATTGTTCCTTTTAACCTAAAGGGTTCAGGAAACCAGAATGATTTTAGTTCCCTAATTCTGTTTGTGTTTTTAGTATCTGGAGACAAGGTAGATTTGGTAAAGTTTACAGTCCTAGAATTCACTCATCCTTGACTAATCATTTTTTCTTTTATGGAGACATAGGTTGGTTCTCAGACTTTACTGTTTTCAACTTTTTGACAAATTTTACAGTGTGTCATACACTGGATTAAAATTACAGTATGGAATACAAATTTATCATTTCCTCTTCCTCCAAATTAATTCCAAATTGTGGTTTTAGTTTTTATCCATCATGCTGTATTTAGGTTGTAAAAATTCCAGGTAAAGACTATACCAGTGTTAATTTCTTAATATTGTAATTATCATTAGGTAATTTATAGTTTAGTTTGTTAGACTTGTGACTTACATGTTACAGAATTGTATTTTTATTCTTTGGAAAAGTGGACTTAGTAATGTGTTAGACCAGCAGAACAGGTTCCTTGTCCAGTCTGCGGTTCTTACGTTACCCTTAAGCATTCTTTACAGTCTAAAGTGGTATCCTTTTACACTATAGGGGTAAAAATGGGACTACAGGGGTAAAAATGGGGACATATCTAAGTGAAATTTATGTTTGTTTACGTGGTTACAGATGTTAAAAGCTTGGTTCTCTATATAACACATTCCTTACTTAATGTTTAAATATTCTCCGGTACCCAGATGAAAGGGAAATTAATAGTCTGGCCATTAGAGAGGACTTTGCCCTATTCTCGTGGAACTTTATACTTTCTCAGTGACCTACCTTTTCTCTTTTTTTTTCTTTCTATATTTAAAAAAATTCTTATGATGACTGTCATCATGTGATAAATTTTCCCCACCATTAGAAGAAACCACTTAGAAACACAATTATTTCACCCTTGACTTCTCAGTATGTGAAAGCCCTTGTTAGATTTAGATGTAGATCTTCAAAGGGTGCTGTTGTGAAGAAAAGGGCCTAATGTTAATATACACTTCCCTCTAGGCTGGCTTTAATATAGATAACAACTGCATCCTTTCTACAGTTGACTCTCCTTAAGCTCATAGTGCATTTCACAGTTAGTTTGCTATTTTAGTATTTACAGTTCTCTGAATTTTTTCACCCTTTGTACATCCTTCTGTGGTTGTGACATTAGTATGATTCTCCTTTCCCCCATGCCTCCCACGTTTCTTCCTGTAGAGAAACTTCCCACCCGAAGTTTCTTGTCATATGTCTTCTACTCACATTACATCACACAAACAGGAGGTGACACATGAAGTTTTTTTTGTTTTTTTTTTTTTTGAGATGGAGTTTCACACTTGTTGCCCAGGCTGGGGTACAAGGGCGCAATCTCCACTCACTGCAATCTCTGTCTCCCGGGTTCCAGTGATTCTTTTGCCTCAGCCTCCCAAGTAGCTGAGATTACAGGCATGCACCACCACACCTGGCTAATTTTTTGTATTTAGTAGAGATGGGGTTTCATCATGTTAGTCAACCTGGTCTCAAACTCCTGACCTCAGGAGATACACCCACCTTGGCCTCCCAAAGTGCTGGGATTACAGGCGTGAGCCACAGCGCCCAGCCCTACATGAAGTTTTAAATACTTATTTCAGTATATTTTAATTTTTTCTGCTGTTGGCTTTCTGAGTAGTTTTCTTTCTGCTATCAAAGTAATTTTTCTTTCATTTTGGCAAGGCTCCATTTGAATTTATAGGACTGTCCAGTTGGTAAAATCAAGAATCTTAGCAGTGTATTAGCTTATGTATGAAGAACGCCTTAAAGATACAAAAGAAACTGTTGAGAGTGGATGCCTCTGGAAAGTGAGTTACAAAAATAGAGTGGAGCCAGGCACGGTGGCTCACGCCTGTAATCCTAGCACTTTGGGAGGCCGAGGCGGGTGGATTCCCTGAGCTCAGGAGTCCGAGACCAGCCTGGGGAACACGGTGAAACCCTGTCTCTACTAAAAATACAAAAAATTAGCCAGGCGTGACGGCGTGCGCCTGTAATCCCAGCTGCTCGGGAGGCCTTGACAGGAGAATTGCTTGAATCCAGGAGGCGGAGGTTGCAGTGAGCTGAGATCACGCCGCTGCACTCCAGCCTGGGTGACAGAGCGAGACTCTGTCTCAAAAAAAAAAAAAAAGAAAAAGAAAAAAAAATAGAGTGGAATTTTCTTTTACCAAAACAATTAAGGGCATATACAACTTTTAAGTATTTATAGTGTATCACTTTTATAGTAATTTTTTTGAAAAGCACCACATGTTAGAGCTAATGATCTAGAATCTTATTCTGATCAAACCACATTTTAATAAGTGAGGAGACTTAAAACCCCAATAGATTAGACTAAAAAAATAACAAAATAAATGAGGAAACTAAGGCTTATAGAGATGGTTATTTGTAGATCACAAAGTGGCAAAGCCAAGACTGAAGTTCAGGCCTCCTGACTTTTATCTAGTGCTCTTTCTTGCATCATTTTGCCTCTGCTATGATGAACATTTTTTACATGTGCTTTATAACCATGTGGCTATAAAACATATTTTTATATGTCATTTGCAGGACCTAATACTTTTTTTCTTTTTCTTTTTTTTTTTTTGAGGCAAAGTCTCGCGCTGTCGCCCAGGCTGGAGTGCAGTGGCGCTATCTCGGCTCACTGCAACCTCCACCTCCCTGGTCCAAGTGATTCTCCAGCCTCAGCCTCCCAAGTAGCTGGGATTACAGGCATCTGCAACCACACCCGGCTAAATTTTGTGTTTTAGGAGAGATGGGGTTTCACCATGTTGGCCAGGCTGGTCTCAAACTCCTGACCTCAAATGATCCTCCTGCCTCGGCCTCCTAAAGCTCAGGGATTACAGGTGTGAACCATACACCCTGCCTGCAGTCCCTAATACATTTCAACCTTTTATAAGTCAACAGATACTCCCTGAGACGCTGGTATGTATGAGGCAGTCTGGTATTAATTGTAGGAAATATACAGGTAACATATAGTTTCTACCTTTGCAGATCTCATGGTATAATGGTGAAAATGACTAGAGCACTTTACTTATTCCTTCACCAAATATTTGTTACTCTGAGCAATGAGTTAAGGATAAGGCACTGGCTGGCTGTTAAAGATGTTGGGTGTTAAAGACAGAGAAAAAGCATCCGTTAATCTGTTCTAAGGAAAGTTATGATCTAATAGACAAAGCAAACACATTTGTATATAAATTATAATGCTGTATAAGTCCAACAATAGAAATATGCAAAAATACGGCAAAGGAAAATGATCAACTAAGATAAAATAGAGACACTTAAGAGACTGGAGGACTTGATAAGGTAAAGTGTGGTGAAAAGTGTAGAAAGATTAAAGACTGTGGTCAGACGGTTGAATGTTGTTGGAGTGAGCAATTTCAGAGGTAGAGCATTTCTCATGTAATGTGATCTAGTGTGTAGCCTTGGAGTGGGTTTCTGAAGTGGAGAGTTGAGGTCTAAGTGTAACAACTTTGAGACTGGCTGTTAACCAAGTTTTTGTGAGAGATGTTAGAGACATAAAAGTAATTTAGATAAGTCCTTTCTTTAAGGAGTCATGTCCTCTCTGAAACCTTTTCTGATTGAACCCCATATCCAGATATAATAAACCAGGCTCTTTTTGTCCCTATATTGCTATAATACCTATATCACTATATTTTGTTTTTATTTACATATTATCTTTCTCAACTATGCTGTAGGGTTCTTGAGGACAAGGATACAAAATCATTTACACCTAGTGTAATATGTGATATCACATATAACTTGTACACCATAAATATACATTGAGTTGAAGATCTTGTAGACTTAAAAACAAGAGACAAATTAAAAACGTACTCTGATAAAGGCATATTAATGTATGTACGAGAGTAGTGCTACTTCATCTGGCTGCATAATGAATGATCTAGAGAGCTTTTCAAAAAATGCCTCTAGGCTGGGCGCGGTGGCTCACGCCTGTAATCTCAGCACTTTGGGAGGCCAAGGCGGGCGGATCACTTGAGGCCAGGCGTTCGAGACCAGCCTGGCCAACATGGTGAAACCCCGTCTCTACTAAAAATATGAAAACTTAGCCAGGTGTTGCGGTGCATGCTTATAATCTCAGCTACTCAGGTGGCTGAGGCATGAGAACCTGGGAGGCGGAAGTTGCACTGCAGCCTGGATGACAGAGCGAGACTCTGTCTCAAATAAATAAATACCTCTACCCTGACAAACAAAACCTAACAAAAAACAAAATTATCATTTTTAGTCACACACCAAAATAAGTGAATTATATTGTTTTGCTAATCATAGGTGACTATTACTTATTATTATTATTGTTATTATTATTTTTTGAGACAGAGTCTCACTCTGTCGCCCAGGCTGGAGTGCAATGGTGCGGTCTCCACTCATTGCAACCTCCGCCTCCTGGGTTCAAGTGATTCTTCTGCCTCAGCCTCCCCAGTAGCTGGGACTACAGGCACGTGCCACTACACCCAGCTAATTTTTGTATTTTTAGTGGAGATAGGGTTTCACTATGTTGGCCAGGATGGACTATTACCTTTCTCTTAAATAAGTCTTCTATATTATATAATTATTGAATACTATCCATGTTTTACCTCAGCATTCTAATAGCTAAAATATGTTGATTTGGTACCTTCTTAGCTTGTCTGAAAGAAGCATCCTCTTGATAGTTTTGTTTTTTTTGTTTTTGTTTTTGTTTTTTTTTTGAGACAGGGTCTCATTCTGTCAACCAGGCTGGATACAGTGGTGTGATCACGGCTCACTGCAGCCTCAACTTTCTGAGCTCAAGCAGTCCTCCACCTCAGCCTCTTGAGTAGATGGGAACACAGGTGCACACCACTATGACCAGCTAATTTTTTTTTTGTAGAGACAAGGTTTTACCATGTTGCCCAGGCTGGTCTCGAACTCCTGCATTCAAGCAGTTAGCCCACCTCAGCCTCCCAAAGTGCTAGGATTACAGGCGTGAGCCACCGCGCCCAGCTGGTTATATACCTTAACTGTTTTTCCTCTCTTCTCTATACTCTGTAGCCAGATTAAACTTTATAATATACTGCTTTATACCACAAGAAGCAATCAGCCAAATCCAGAATATGGGAAGTTTTATTGGATAACTAGATTCTTCAACAAATAATTGGGATGGGGTGGAGGAGGAGTGATGGGAAGAGAGGGAAAGCTGTTACAGATAAAAAGAGCCGTATCAGCCAAATGCAGTGTGTGAACTTGGTTTGGATTCTGATGTGCATAAAACAATTGAAAAAAGATACTTTTGAGACGAGTGGGGGAAATTTGAACATGTACATGATATTAATATTAAGGAATTGTTAATTTTCTTATAGATGTTTATGACATTGTGATAATGTAAAGCTGTTATCTATAAAGATATATATTGAAGTATTTACAGGTTAAATGAAATGTACTCCAGCTCCTTCCTCCCCACTCCTCCCCAAAAAAGTTGGGGAGAGATAGACAAAACAAGATTAGCAAATGTTTATAATTTGTTGAAGTAGAGTAAAAGGTACATTTTACTATTTCTTAGCTTTTATCTTTGAAGATGTCTGGGAACTCCTGAGCTCAAGTGATCCTCTCACTTGGGTCTCTCAAAGTGCTAGGATTGCAGGCATGAGCCACCATGCCTGGCCAATTTTTAAAAAGGTTAAATTACAATTAAAGGATTTTCTTTTGAGTGTGTCCTAGAATGCTGTAGATATTTGATTAAATATCAGTGATCAATACAGTGATTACCTCAACTTCTTGTCTTTGATCTTCGGTGGTCTCTTCTGTGTCCTCACTAAGTCTTTCCATCATGAGCCCAAATTCTTTTGTTCTCAGTGGCATGTTTCTAGATTCCAGATTCTCATAAATTTTGATATTACCTTTACTGGAATGGAAGGAAATGAAAGAAGGTACTCCTGCAAACCTGGGAACCTTATGAAAGTTATGCTTTCCCATTTTAAAGCTGTTAGAAGAAGGGGAATGTTTCTAATGCTGATGTTTAAGGCAACTTATAATGCTGTAAGCTTTTGAATTATGGCTGCTGCTTCTTTTGCCCTTCGTGTCTAACATATACTTCTGGACTACTAAGAACTTTGTGCAAATTCTAAAAAGGCACTCCTTTGTGCCCTGAGCCATCATGACTTCACTGGAGAAGGGCAAGCTGGATTTCAACCCTCTTCCCCTTGCCCTTCTGGCTTAATGCCCTCGTGCACTGTCTACACAGCTGTAGCTGGTGAGCTTGTTGTTTCAGAATAATGAAGTTACATGAGTTTAAGTTTTTGGTGATGTGTGTTTCTGAGGAGTAGGTATGAAAGTTTGGAGAGCTATAGTGTAGGAATTATGTGAGCATTTGAATGTTAAAACAATGTATTCTTTTAATGAAGTTTTATAAGTTTTACAAGTATGTGGAAAAACAAGAAGCTATTCTCTGTTAAAACCCTGTAATTAGTGCTTCAGTGTATATATGTTTTTATTTTTTGAGACAGGGTCTAGCTCTGTTACCCAGGCTGGACTTGGGTAGGCAGTGGCTATTCAGAGGCACAACTGTAGTACACTGCAGTCTTGAACTCCTGGGCTCAAGCCATCTTCCCACCTCAGCCTCCTGAGTAGCTGGGACTACAGGCATGCACCACCATGCCCAGCTAACTTTTGTATTGGCTTTTGGTAGAGATGGGGTTTTGCCATGTTGCTCAGGTTGGTCTCGAACTCCTGAGCTCAAGCGATCTGCCCATCTCGGCCTCCCAAAGTGCTAGGATTACAGGTGTGACCCACCGCACCTGGCCCTGGTATACTTTTAAGAATCTCAACAATTACATTTGAAGGTACAAGCACAAAACTGCAGAACATACAACATATACACATGCATACAGCACCTTGCCTTAATGGTAGTTCAGTACCTGATGAGTAGGAAACACTATCACCATATTTGCTCAGCTCTAAGGTGTGTACATTACCATATTTTAACATTTCTGATATTCAGGTGCGTCTTACTTTTGAAGAATTTTTAAGCTACTGTTAAAGTGGAATTTATACTTAACAAGATTTCAGAATCAAGTCAGTATTGTAAATAAGTCAGTCTGAGGGGCTTTGCGAAACCTGAAGTTTTGAAGTTACCTTTGGATGTCTTAACTGAAAAAAATGTAACGGCTGAAGTTTTTTTCTTCTTAAAATTTCAGTTTTTGTAGTTGAAAACTGTAGAAATAGAAAACAAAAGCCACATTGTTAGGAAATGACAGGTCTTCTAATTTTAGTCTTTTTTTTTTTCTTTTTAAAATTTCCTGTTATCTTAGCTCAGAGCTGGGTTTCAGTCTCCAGTTTTCTAGCTAATTTAACCAATGGCAGCTTTTTGTTTGTAGTTTTATTACGGCATTGCTAATCCTCATTATATTTGTCGTGGCCTTGAGCAAAAAACTCAATTGATGACATTCACCTGTTTATAGTCATAACCATTTGGTAAATAACTTTAATTTTTGGCAAAGTAGCACCTGAATTTCTCTCATTTTACCAGACAGGTCTACATTTACTTTGGGGTAAAGCTATTTATTTTTCATATTGCTAGTTTAAAAAAAGAGAGAAGAGAGAACACTAATAAGTTAAAAACTCTTATGTACACATCCACGTTTTCACTTTGAGGAGCTATGAGAAATTGAATCTAACCAAAATTTACTTTTATTCTATTTTGAGAGCATTTGCATTTACCATATCTAATTTTTTTTTTTTTTGAGACAGAGTCTTGCTCTATTGCCCAGGCTGTAGTGCAGTGATGCGGTCTCGGCTCACTGCAGCCTCCGCCTCACAGGTTCAAGCAGTTCTCCTCCCTCAGCCTCCTGAGTAGCTGGGATTACAGGCGCATGCCACCATGCCCGGTTGATTTTTGTATTTTTAGTAGAGACGGGGTTTTACCATGTTTAGGTCTCGAACTCTTGACCTCATGATCTGTCTGCCTCGGCCTCCCAAAGTGCTGGGATTACAGGCGTGAGCCACTGTGCCTGGCTAAAGTTGTTTGTTTGTTTTTTTAACAGCCTTTTTTACAGCTGGCTAATTTACATCCTAAGATGCAAACAAAAGATTATGTTTGGTTTATTTATTTTTTTCTGGTTCAGCAGCATGCTACATTTCAAATGAAATTTTAAGAATTGATAGGAATAGAAAAATATTCTTCCCTATTAGATGAGGTCAGTTCTTTCCCCTTTTGAAAAATGATCAGTTTTGGTATTTTTTCATTTTTTAAAAAGTCATTTTATTCTGTACTAAGATGAAATTTTTCTTATCCAGGAGAAACCTGAGGTTGATAAGGTTAAGTAACTTGCCCAAGGTCATACAAATAATAAGTTGAAGAATAATGATTGAACCTAGGCACATGTAATTCCAAGACCAGAATTTTTGTCATTACACTGCATTTTCTCTGGTATGCTAATAATAGTTGGCCCTATTGAAACATTTATTAAGACATAATTGCTAGCCTGGGCAACATAGTGAAACCTCATCTCTACAAAAAAAAAAAAAAAAAAAAAAAAAAAAGCAGCCAGTTGTGGTGGTGTGCACCTGTAGTCCCAGCTACTTGGGAGGCTGAGATGGAAGGATTGCTTGAGTCCGAGAGGTCAAGGCTATAGTGAGCCATGATCATGCCACTGCACTCCAGCCTGGGTGACAGAGCAAGACCCTGTATCAAAAAAAAAAAAAAAAAGTAATAAAATGACATATTCTCTGAATAACTTAGATTCTATGTTCGTAAAAAGAAATCTGGCATAAGAATAGGTATTTCATTGTCTTTTACACAAATTATGTGCCTAGAGCAGTGTAGTAGTGCTGAGTTACATCAACAGTTATTGATTTAGTTACATTAATCATTCTGTCCTAAAGCTAATGAAGATTTTGACCCAAGTCTCAATAGATCTAAAAAATTTTGTTTTGGATTGTGTTTTCATTTTCCTTTCCTCACATTTTTAGAAATATGTCCTTAGTTTTAACAATATGTTGCTTAATGTCAGGTTTATTTTCTATACACTTTTTTTGTGTTGACTAGGAGCCCGTTTTTAATCTAGCAAGCATTTCATAATGGATGAATGAAATATCTTAGATCAGAAATGAAACCCTGAGTAACTGAATGTCTGTCTTCATAGCTGCCAGTGCTACCCTCTTTGGTTGGGATTCTCAGGTCCTATCTGTCATACCTGGGCTATATTGACATTAGACTAAGGAAAAAGGTGGCAACCTTTTATAAAGAGTTGTGATATGCTGAAAGAGGCAACAGTGGCAACTGAGGACTCAGAGGCATTTGATAATGCCTGCTTTGGTATTTGGATCAGCGGCCAAAATGGCTGAAGTAGCTATCAAATTAGCTAGCCATCAACTATCCTACTCTATTCTTTCCTCTAGTGAAGACACAACTTTTAGGAAGTTGAAAAAGTAGCTGGGCAGGTGGTGGTGTGTTGTGTTCTCAAGGTTCATTCTCTAATTATAGTGCATTGGACGTATAATCCTAGTTTTGTATTGCCTTTGAGTCTATAGTTAATTTGGATAATAAGACTGTGAGCTCCTTGGGCAGGAACAGTGTCTTGCTCTCCATTTCATTCCTATTTCTTGGCACTTAGTGGGCACTCAAATATTATTGAGTGAATGCATGATCCTTTCAGCCTCAGTTAAAGCATGAGATTTTCCTGAGGCTTTAACTTGGAGAACTCTTTGCCTTTCTTACTCTACAATATGATGAATCCACCAGAAAATAATGTCTTTTATATATTTATAAATATATAAATCACCAACCAAAGAGGTAGCACTGGCAGCTATGAACACAGACATTCAGTTACTCAGGGTTTCATTTCTGATGTATGACATTTAATTCTTCTATTTTTAGTTTTAGCCTCCAAATTCATTATATATTCACCACTGATAACATTTCATAAAAATGCATTTTCATAGACAGTTTCAAGTCAAGATTTAAAAGACTTAAGCTGTAAGTCCTTACCATCCCATGATAGTTGGTCTTTACCAAAGTAATTGATGCATTCAATTCTTTTAATAATTTTATACATAGTAAGGCAAAATTTAGAATTTGTGATCTTTTTTATATTTTTCACTAATATTTCCTGTCTCAGTTGCAGAGGGATAAGAGGGTTTGCTGAATATGATAAATAAGGAAAATGTGTATACATCTTCTACTTAAGAATGAGACTATACCTTTCAGGCTCTGCTATAGTAGTAGCCCTAAATGTAAGTGGTGAACAGCTCATTCTCCTGTAAGATGTTTATAGCATTTTCTAACACAGAACTATTCAGAGTGTAGTACGAGACAGTGCTGGCCCATGAGCTGTTTATTATTTGTGAGGAGATAAGTTCAGAAATTGAGTTTTTAGAAACTTGCATAGCAGTTTGATAGAACAAATTTATGTCTGTCAAATCTAATAATAACAAATTGGGGCTTATATTTGATATATATTTATTTTATTTTTCTAGTAATTCATTTTTACTATTTTTTAACAAAATTATTGGCCCATAATGAATTGGAAATTCAAAGAAAAAAAAAGTTCTTTACCAGAGATAATTTGCAAAGCAGTGTTCTAAAACAGTGGTTCACATCCTTTCATGTTCGCCTAACCTTCTAAATGATACCACACTCGAGAGGGTACGGAGTATGGGATATAGAGTGCTCTTTCCCTACCGGTAGCCCTCTGATAGAGAATCCTTATATTGAAAATAATTTCCCACTGACTTTCCCTTAATTGTTTCAATCTTTTCACTAAATCTAACTTAAAATTTTTTTTTAATAAATGGGTTTAATAAAACAGAACAGTGGTTATTATGAGTTCTGAGCTATGCTAGTGTAACATATTAAGTTGCAGTATCAAAATACTACCCCAAAATAGACCCATTCCTCTGAAGAATGGGCATGCTAACTATTTTTAGCAGGTATAATATAGTCACAAATAATGTGTTTTACTGAAACTAATTAATAACATAAATACAATATGTGTAAGATTTGGCCTAATATATAAAGCACTATGGGAGTAATGCCATTATAAATGCCCCTTTTGCCCTGGCCTGACCTTTATATCTTATTACTTAAAAATACCATAATTTTTTTAAAGTATACAAATGTAAATATTTCATACCTGTATGATTCCTGTTTATCGTTGAATAATAATTCATCGTATGCCATGTACTGCAGGTTGATTATTTTATTGATGGATATCTGGGCTGTTTCCTGCTTGGGTTTTTATGAATAAAGCTGTTATATACATATTTGTTTGAATTTTTGTGGACTTACGCTTTTATTTCTCTTGGGTAAAAATACAGAGAACAAGAATTGCTGGGTCTTAGGGTAGGCATATGTTTTTGATTTATAAAAAAACTACTGGAACTTTTTCCAAAATGATTGTGCCATTTTACACTCCCCACCAATGTTTGTGCTACATCTTTACCAAAAGTCTTTTTTTTTTGAGACAAGATCTCACTCTGTCACCTAGGCTGGCGTGCAGTGGCACAATTAGGGCTCATTGCAGCCTCAGCCTCCCAGGCTCAAGCAATCCTCCTGCCTCAGCTGGGACTACAGGTATTCAGTAGCAAACCTGGCTAAATTTTTCTGAATTTTGGTAGAGAAAGGGTTTCGCCATGTTGCCCAGGCTAGTCTCAAACTCCTGAGCTCAAGCAGTCCTTCCACTTTGGCCCCCAAAAGTGCTGGGATTACAGGCCTGAGCCACCATGCCTGGATGCCAACAGTCTTTTAAATCAGCAGTCCCCAACCTTTTTGGCACCAGAGGCTGGTTTCATGGAAGACAGTTTTTCCACAGACTAAGGTCGGGGACAGGCATGGTTTTGGCATGAAACTGTTCCACCTCAGATCATCAGGCATTAGATTCTCATAAGGAGCACATAATTTAGATCCCTCGGAATTGCTGTTCACAATAGGGTTGGCGCTCCTATGAGAATCTAATGCTGCCGCTGATCCGACAGGAGGCGGCTCTCAGGCGGTAATGCTTGCCTGCCTCTCACCTCCTGCTGTGCGGGCCCCGTTCCTAACAGGCCAGGGACCAGTACCAGTCCATGGCCCAGGGGTTGGGGACCATTGTTTTAAATTGTGATTTTAATTTGCATTTCCCTGATGGCCAGGGATGAGCACTGTTTCAGCGGTTTTTAGTGGTTTGCATATCTTCCTTTGTCAGTTGTTTAAATCTTTTGCCCATTTTATTTGTCTTCATATTATTGAGGCGTAGGGAATTTTTATGTCTTCTAGATACAGATCTCCTTTGTCAAGTATATGTTTTATGAATATTTTCTCCCAGTCTGTGACTTGCCTATTCATTTTCATAATGGTGTCCATTGTATTTTTTCAACATTTTATTATGAAAATTTTCTTTTATTTTTTTCTTTCTTTCCTTTTTTTTTTTTTTTTTTTTTTTTTGAGACAGAGTTTCACTCTGTCGCCCAGGCTGGAGTGCAGTGGTGCAATCTCAGCTCACTGCAACTTCCACCTGCCTGGGTTCAAGCGATTCTCCTGCCTCAGCCTCCCGAGTAGCTGGGGTTACAGGCGCTCACCATCACGACTGGCTAATTTTTGTGTTTTTAGTGGAGACGGGGTTTCACAATGTTGGCTGGGCTGGTCTCAAACTCCTGACCTCAAGTGATCTGCCCACCTTGGCCTCCCAAAGTGCTGGGATTACAGGTGTAAGCCACCACGCCCAGCCTATTATGAAAATTTTCAAGCATACAGGAGCTTGAAAAACTTTCATCGTGAACACCCATACACCCACCACCTAGATACTATCATTAACATTTTATTATACTTGTCTTTTTACATATGTGTCCATCTATCCTATTGTATGCATTTTAAGGTAAATTGCAGAATCAGTTCACCTCCCACAAATACTTCACAATGCATTATTATGAATTATAAATTAGAATTCATATAATTATGAATTAGAATTCAGTAACTGCAGCTTTTTTTCTTTTGAGGTAAACTTTTCGTACAGTGAAGGCACGAGTTTTTGTTTTTGTTTTTTTTTCGAGATAGAGTTTCACTCTTGTTGCCCAGGCTGGAGTGGAATGATCCCGGCTCACCGCAACCTCTGCCTCCCGGGTTCAAGTGATTCTCCTGCCTTAGCCTCCCCAGTGGCTGGTATTACAGGCATGTGTCACCACGCCCAGCTAATTTATATTTTTAGTAGAGACAATGTTTCTCCCTGTTGGTCAGGCTGGTCTCGAACTGACCTCGGGTGATCCGTCCACCTCAGCTTCCCAAAGTGCTGGGATTATAGGTGTGAGCCACCACGCCCGGCAAAGGCACGAGTTTTAAGTGAACATTGGCAGAGTTTTGATAAATGCATGCACCTGTGGAATCCTAAACCCCATCAAGATGTAGAATATTACCATCACTCTAGGAAGTTCTTTCAGGCCCAGTCCCAGTTAATCTGTATTTCCATTCTTCCAGATCCAGCCATTGTCCTGCTTTTTCTGCATCATAGGTTAGTTTTGTCTGTTCTAAAACCTTATAAAAGTGGATTCACATATTATGTACTCTTCTGTTTAAAGCATCTTTCACCTAGCCGTAATGTTTTTGAGATTCATGCATGTTGTTGAACATATCTAGTTTATTCCTTTTTATTGCTGAATAGTAATCCTTTGTATGACTATATCACACTTTATCCATTCTCTTGTGAATGTATACCTAAGATGTTTCCAGTTTTTGGATATTATGAATAAACTGTTGTGAACATTTTTGTGCAAGTCCTTTTGTGGGAATATATTTTCATTTTTAAGGGTAAATACCTATGAGTGGAATTGCCAGATTATAGGGGAAAGTGTGAGACCCTTTTCCATAGTGGTTGTACTAATTTATACCCCCAACAACAGTGTATGAAAGTTCTTTTTGTTCCACAGTCTTGCCAAATTTGGTGTTTTTGGTCTTAGGAATTTTAGCCATCTTGGTGAGTGTAGTGATAACCTCATTGTGATAGTGTATTGTACTTTAAATAGCTATTTCTCACATCCCACCTTCTTTAATCACTCTCCATGCACATCACACACCTCAGCTTTACTAGTTTTCTCTCAGCTTTTTCTGTACTACTTTAACTTTGCCTTCAATTTTCTATGCCCCTGCACTTTTATATATAGTTCACCGTAGGAGAGAACCTGTGCAGCCAAACCAGTGCTATTAAGAACCAATGAAATAAAATTTAGGTGAGTGTATATGAGTTTTCTTTCTTTGAAACATACTCTATGTTGCCTACCTCAGGGCATTAGAGGTTTTAAAGTTGAGTTTCACCACTTACAATGGTGACTTTGGGCAAGTTTCTTAGTCTAATGTTTCTGTTTTCGTGTTGATTAAATGAGATCGTGATGTAAAGTTTCTAGTGCAATGCAGAGTACAAACTAGGTCTTTATTGCTTTCCTTCTCTTTTAGAAGTGGTATATATTTGTAGGGTTTTCTTTTCCTTTATTTTATTTTATTTTATTTTATTGTATTTATTTTTTTTGAGACGAGTCTTGCTCTGTCGCCCAGGCTGGAGTACAGTGACGTGATCTTGGCTCACTGCAAGCTCCACCTTCCAGGTTCATGCCATTCTCCTGTCTCAGCCTTCTGGAACTACAGGCGCCCGCCACCACGCCTGGCTAAGATTTTTGTATTTTTAGTAGAGACAGGGTTTCACTGTGTTAGCCAGGTTGGTCTTGATCTCCTGACCTCTTGATCCACCCGCCTCGGCCTCCCAAAGTGCTGGGATTACAGGCATGAGCCACCTCACCCAGCCTAGCTTTTTCTTTAAAAAAAAAAAAAAAAAATTGTTTATTCCAAAACAAGGCCAGTATTCTTGCTAGCATAAATCAGTTATCAACGTGATTGTGCTTTTATATTTACCTTCTTTTTTTCCTCTTTAATCCTCCTTCCCCCCTACCCTTCCTAGCCTCTGGTAACAACCATTCTACTTTCTATATTCATGAGATCCACATTTTTAGCTCCTACGTATGAATGAAAATGTGATATTTGTCTCTCTATGCTTGGCTTATTTCACTTAACATAATGACCTCCAGTTCCATCCGTGTTGCCGCAAATGACATGATTTCATTTTTATGGCTGAATCGTATTCTGTTGTATATATATTCCACATTTTCTTCATATACTCATGTGTTAATGGGCACTTAAGTTGATTCCATATTTTGGCTGTTGTGAATAGTGCTGCAAGAAGTGGTATATAACTGAATGACTAAGAATTCAAAGCATCATTGCTTCAGTTAAATTTAGCACAACCTTACTTGTCAGATGGAAGGCATTCCCAATAACAGAGGCCTTATACTACATCATCAATATGGACATTACACAGGGCTCAATTTACTGAACTCCCCTGCTAAGTACAGAGGTAGAACCTCATACTCTAAAGTCGTCAGCTGAGAACTTGATACAGTTGTCTGATAAATTATATCAAGAATTAAGTATGTTATTTTAAGGGTATGCTAAAGGAACTGTACGCCACTTAAAGGGATTTTCTGGGACTTTTTTTTTTTTCTTTGAAACAACCACTCTGTACAATACAAAAGTTCTGAACTCTTTAAACATATATATTTTTTTCTTTTTCTTTCTTTTTTTTTTTAGACAGAGTCTCGCTCTGTCGCTCAGGCTGGAGTGCAGTGGCGCAATCTCTGCTCACTGCAATCTCCGCCTCCTGGATTCAAGGGATTCTCCTGTGTCAGCTTCCTGAGCAGCTGGGACTACAGGCATGAACCACCACGCCTGGCTAATTTTTGTATTTTTAGTAGAGATAGGGTTTCCCCATGTTGGCCAGGCTGGTCTTGAACTCCTGACCTCAGGTGACCCGCCCACCTTGGCCTCCCAAAGTGTTAGGATTACAGGTGTGAGCAACGGCGCACAGCCGTATCTTTCATATTTTAAGTTGATATAGTGCCAGTCAGTCTTTAAAGAGGACAGTATAAAAATGAACCATTCCCGGCTGGGCACGGTGGCTCACGCCTGTTAATCCCAGCACTGTGGGAGGCCGAGGTGGGCAAATCATCTGAGGTCAGGAGTTTGAGACCAGCCTGACCAACGTGGTGAGACCCCCGTCTCTACTAAAAATACAAAAAAAAAATTAGCTGGGCATGGTGGCACATGTCTGTAGTCCCAGCTACTCGTGAGGCTGAGGCAGGAGAATCGCTTGAACCTGGGAGGCGGAGGTTGCAGTGAGCTGAGATCGCACTACTGCACTCCAGGCTGGACAACAGGGCGAGCGAGACCCTGTCTCAAAAAAAAAAAAAAAAAAAGTTAACTGTTCTCTAATCTTTCTTGTGTGAAATATGAGGGCAGAGGTTGAGATCATGACATGCAGATAAGAATGACAACTTCAGTGAAGGAAATAGAGGAGCAAGCGGTAGACAGTAGTTCACTGTGAATTCTGTCCAGTCTCCAGGTTTCAGCAGCTTTGGGAAGCAGGCTAAACTGTTCTTGGGGTTCTTCAGGTTAATAACAATAAGCAAGGGTGGAGTGCTTAATCCTTTTAAGTGAATGATAAACACTGTGGAAGGCGTGTCTTCAAGCGCCCCACTCCCTCAGGGCTGTAGGTCACGTGAGCTTAAAGTACTTCCCGAATCCCAGCCACTGTCTCTTGTAGGCAGGGATCACAGTCTGAAACGACAGCAAGGAAGAGGTAGGCAGGGAAAACTAACTGGAAGGAAGTTTAAATACAGAAAGAGCAAAGTATTATCTAACTATAACAATGCCACATTTTACTGTGACTAAGGTAGAGGACCCAGAGGAGGGGGCAGCGGCTTCGATCTCTCAAGAGCCTAGTTTAGCAGACATAAAAGCCCGGATTCAGGATTCAGATGAACCAGGTGAGTACGCAACTTGGGAGCTTTTGGAACCTATAAAATGTTTCATGAAAGAAGTAACTAGGATATCAAAATTCAAAATGCCTTCTTTAGGACAGAGAAAAGTGTTGTGGTTGAGGTGTTTTTCAGTTACTTATTTCACTCCCCTGTGTATCTGATAGCTTCTCTTACTTTTCTCACACACTGGATTGTTTTTCCCCACAATGAGTTCTGTGTTCATTACCAACAGGTGAAACTGAATCAGTGGCAATGTTTGAAGAGTTTTCAAGCAAAAAGAAAGACACAGAAGTCAATTTATGTGGAATTTAGAATTCACTTTTTCCTCACAGTTTAGATTATATCTGGAAAAGACTTTAAACCCACCGAGTGGATGACATTTAAACTTAGCAGTTTACATAATATTATATAAAGAGGGAGCATGGTTCAGTAGTTTTGTACCGTGGACTTTGACTGTACTTGTGATTTCTCAGGTTATTCAGTATTTTACCTCAGTTTACCAGCTTAAACTATAATTCAATAATGAATGGTCTAAGAATTTTTTAATGGCAGAACAAAAGTACAAGAGATGGTCATTGTGGTGACTAGCATAGCATCAGGTTAAAAAAAGTATTTGATGAATGTGATTATCCCTATTATTTTCTTTAAATGGTAACAGTTCACACTTGCTAGAGGAATTGTGGTTTTGAATTTTTAAACAAGCAATTAAATCTTTGTTAATATTATAGTATTAAATATAGTTGTAATTTGAAGCCCCTTATTTTTCAAGTCTGTAAATCGTGAGCAGCGTCTTTAGTTATATGAATTAAGAATAAGGGAATAAGCTCTCAAAATTACTTTTATTTTATTTTATTTATGTTTTTGGAGATGGAGTCTTTCTCTGTCACCCAGGCTGGAATGCAGTGGGGTGATCTCGGCTTACTGCAACCTCCGCCTCTCGAGTTCAAGCGATTCTTTTGCCTCAGCCTCCCGAGTAGCTGGGATTACAGATGCCTGCCACCACGCCCGGCTAATTTTTGTATTTTTAGTAGAGACAAGGTTTCACCTTTTTGGCCAGGCTGATCTCAAACTCCTGACCTCAAGCGATCCCCCGCTTCTGCCTCCCAAAGTGCTGGGATTACAGGTGTGAGCCACTGCGTCCGGCCTCAAAGTTACTTTTAATTCCGTGATTCTGTGATTCTCACTTTCCTTTATAGCATGTAACACATTGCAATTCCTTGGTGTCAATAGCGGTTGGTTATCTTTTTCTTAAAACCATTCGAGAATTTTTATGAATCTTGTTTGAAGATGCAAACTTTTAAGGAAAATGTTCCTTTTGTTTTTTCCTTCTAGTGAGATAATTTATTAGGGGAATATCAGAAAAAAGATTTTATGTAAACTCTTTGTCCGCAAGGTTATTTTCATTTTGCTGAATAGGATGATGGAAAGTGGAAAGCAAGTTTAATCTGCTTTGAACTTGAATATGATTCTCTACAACTCAACTTCAGCTCAATTAGGTTCTGTCTCAGGCCTGTGTGTATTTATTTATTTACTTATTTTTTACTTAATCCCAAATGTGATAGTAAGGCTAATGTGTATTTGAAGCTGCACCTTCTTTGCTTATGTTTTCCACCCTTACAGTTTAATCCCTTTAGGCTTTTGTCTTTGCTGTTGTCTTCGTTAATTTCATAAGCTGCAAACGAAGTCCATCTGTACCTCATTTCATTTGTTTTTTAAATTTGCTTTCTCCACCACCTCTACTGTTTTTTATTATTTCATCTTTACTAGTCCCATTATGTTTGCAGAAATTTGCTTTCTTCAGATTATAAGAGAGTGTTAAAATCATTCAATCTGTTAGCAACTACCTGTAAAAGCCATAAAAATTTGATAGTACCCAACTTTGTAATGAGTGGACATTATTAGGTGTAATTTATTTTCTTCCATAGTAATTGCTTTTAACAAGGAAGAAGTGACAGATATAATCTAAATTGAGTTTAATAAGCATTTTTACTTTGGCATTTTCCATAACAGCCCAGAAAATACCTACTTGAATAAACTATTGCTTAGCAAGTGAACAACTGCTGGTAGTATATTATCTAAATTGCACTTGCCTTTATTATAAGGTTAAATTCAAGGGTAGGAAGGAGGGAAATGTATGTCAGAACAATCTAAAAGTTATTTGTTTTTTTAAACCTAGGAGTAAAATATTTTTGAAGATAACATGATTTTTTGGAGCAGTTGCTTTTCATGCAATGAGCTTTATCCCCTTGTTCTCCTAAGTTAAAAAAAAAAAATCTTAAATTGATCATGGTTTTTTCACAAGCACTTCCAACATTGGCCAGTTATATAACCAGTAGCATTTTTCATTGTTTTTTCTTCTGAATTTATATGGAGAGAAAAATATGTAGTGTCATATAAATTGAACATATTTAGAATGTAAATCATCCTTTAAAATGTGTTTTTTAAATATGAGATTTATTTGAACGGGACAGATGAGGAATTTGAGATAAAATAGAAGTGTGAATGTAGATAATCTAATTTTTTGAAAAGGTACAGGTATACTTTGGAAATATTGTGGGCTCAGTTCCAGACCACTGCAATAAAATGAGTCACATGAATTGTTGTTTTTTTTGTTTTGTTTTGTTTTTTTGAGATGGTGTCTCGCTCTGTCACCAGGCTAGAGTGCAGTGGCGTGATCTCTGCTCGCTGCAACCTCCACCTCCTGGGACTACAGGCACATGCCACCACACCTGGCTAATTTTTTGTATTCTTAGTAGAGATGGGGTTTCACCGTGTTAGCCAGGATGGTCTCCTGACTTCGTGATCCGCCCGCCTCAGTCTCCAAAAGTGCTGGGATTACAGGCGTAAGCCACTGCGCCTGGCCGTCACATGAATTTTTGACTTCCCACTGCATATAAAAATGATATTTATTTATACTATACTGTAGTCTGTTAAGTGTGCAATAGCATTATGTCTTTAAAAAACAGTGTACATACCTTAATTTAAAAATTATTTTTATTTTTTTTAAAGACAGGATTTTGCTATGTTACTCAGGCTGGACTCAAACTCTTGGGCTCAAGCGATCCTCCCCTCCTGCCTCAGCTTCCTAAGTAGCTTGGACTACAGGCATGTACTACCATTCCTGGCTCTAAAATATACTTTATTACCAAAAAATGCTAATGATCATCTGAGCCTTCAGTGAGTAATAATCTTTTTGCTGGTGGAGGTGGAGAGTGTTGGCTCAATGTTGATGGCTGCTGCAGGGTGGGCTGCTGAAGGTTGTGGTAACTGTGGCAATTTCTTAAAATAGAACAACAATGAAGTTTACTGCATGAATTGACTCTTTTATGAAAGATTTCTCTGTAGCATGCAACGTTGTTTGATAGCATATTACCCACAGAACTTCTTTCAAAATTGGAGTCAATCATCTCAAACCTTGCTGCTTAGTTTATGGAATATTCTAAAATCCTTTGTTGCCATTTCACCAGTGTTCACAGCATCTTCATCAGCAGATTTCATGTCAAGAAACTACTTTCTTTGCTCAACCATAAGAAGCAACTCCTTATCTATTCAGGTTTTATCATGAAATTGCAGCAATTCAGTCACATTTTCAGTCTCTGCTTCTAATTCTCGTACTCTTGCTATTTCCACCATATCTGCATTATTTCCTCCACTCAAGTCTTGAACCCCTGAAAGTCATCCATGAGGGCTAGGATCTACTTCTTCCCAATGTTAATGTTGATTTTTTTTTTTTTTTTTTTAAGGCTGGTCAAGTGAAGGAGTAGGAGTGAGAGAAGGAACAAAGGAATCTGTAACTGGTTATGATCAGTTAGTTGTAAATACCATTGCACTCACCAGCCTAATGTTGATATTTTTACTTTTTCCCATGAATCACAAATGTTCTTAATGCCGTCTAGAATGGTGAATCATTTTCACTGTACTTTGCTTAGATCCATCAGAGGAATCACTATCTATGGCAGCTACAGCCTTAGAAAATGTAGTTCATAAGTAATAAGACTTGGAAGTTGAAATAATTCCTTGATCCATAAGCTGCAGATGGATCAAAGATGCTGTTGTTGATGTTATGCTGGCAGGCATGAAAACAACATTGATCTCTTTGTACATCTCCATCGGAGCTCTTGAGTGACCAGTGCATTGTTGAAGAGCAGTAATATTTTGAAAGAAATCTTTTTTTCCTGGGCAGTAGGTTTCAGCAGTGGGCTTAAAATACTCGGTAAACTAGCTGGGTGCAGTGGCTCACACCTGTAATCCCAGCACTTTGGGAGGCCGAGGTGGGTGGATCACCTGAGGTCAGGAGTTCGAGACCAGCTTGGCCAACATAACGAAACCCCGTCTCTACTAAATGCAAAAATTAACTGGGCGTGGTGGCATATGCCTGTAAATCCCAGCTACTTGTGAGGCTGAGACAGGAGGATCGCTTGAACCCAGGAGGCGGAGGTTGCAGTGAGCTGAGATCGGGCCACTGCACTCCAGCCTAAGCAACAGAGCAAGACTACGTCTCAAAAAAAAAAAAAAAATCAATAAACCATGCTGTAAACAGATTAGCTGCTATTCAGGCTTTGTTGTTCCGCTGAGCATAGGCAGAGTAGATTTAGCATAAACCTTTTTTTTTTTTTTTCGTTTTTAAGAGACAGGAGTCTCACTATGTTGCCCAGCCAGCCTTGAACTCTTGTGCTCAAGTGATTGTCCTATCTCAGCCTCCTAGTAGCTGAGACTGCAGATGTGCACCATTACACCTGGCTTGTTGTATAGTCCTTAAGGGTCTTAGGATTTTCAGAACAGTAAATGAGCATTGACTTTAACTTAAAGTCACCAGCTGCATTAGCCCCTAACAAGAGAGGCAACCTGTCCTTTGAAGCGAGGCATTGTCTTGTCCTTTCTAGCTATGAAGGTCCTAGATGGCATCTTCTTCCAACATAAGACTGCTTCCTCTCCAGTGAAAGTGTGTTGTTTAATGAAGCCACCTTCATCATTGATCGTAGCTCAATCTTCTGGATAACTTGCTATAGCTTCTGTAAAAGCACTTGCTGCTTTACCTTGCATTTTTATGTTTTGGAGATGTCTTCTTTCCTTAAACCTCATGAACCAACTTCTGTTAGCTTCAAACTTTTATTTTGCACCCCCATCAACTCTCTTGGCCTTCATAGAATTGAAGAGAGTTAGGGTCTTGTTCTGGATTAGGTTTTTGCATATTGGAATGTTGTGGCTGGTTTGATCTTCTATCCAGATCACTAAAACCTTCTTCATATCAGCAATAAGGTTGTTTAGCTTTCTTAACATTTATGTGTTCACTGGAATAGCACTTTTAATTTCCTTCAAGAACTGTTCCTTTGCATTCACAACTTGCTCTTTAGTGCAAGAGACATAGCTTTTGGCCTGGCGGCTTTTAACATGCCTTTCTCACTGAGCTTAATCATTTCAAGCTTTTGATTGAAAGTGAGAGATGTCCAACATCTTTTCACTTGAAAACTTAGAGGCCAATGTGGGTTTATTAACTGGCCTAATTTCAGTATTGTTGTGTCTCAGTGAATAGGGAGGCCAGAGGAGAGGGAGAGGGAAAAGGAAGCAGCTGGTTGATGGAGTGGTCAGAACACACACAACATTTATGGATTAAGTCTTCTGTGGGCACAGTTCATGGTGCCCCAAAACAATTTCAATAGTAACAGCAATTTCAATAGCACAGATCATCATAAACAAGTATAGTTATAATGAAAAAGTTAGAAATATTGTAAGAATTACCAAAATGCGACAGACATGAAGTGAGCACATGCTATTGGAAAAACAGCACTAAAAAGACTTGCTTGACATAGGGTTGCCACAGACTTTAAATTTGTAAACAAACAAAAAACCCCAAAGTATCTGTGAAGCACCATAAAGCACAGCACAATAAAACAAGGTATGCCTGTATATTAGAACCCTGCTTAATTTCAAAACCCTGGGTTTCGAAGGGAAAAGCAGAAACTCGGACTTTCCTTACGTCTTTCTTGACTGTTTTCTTCCTACCCATTCTGTTTTCTCAGCAGCGTGTGCTCAGAAACAGTACTTAACCACACACTGTATTATAATAATCTGTTTACTTGATTCTCTCCCCTGGTACACTGATTATAAACTCCTTGAGGACTTCGTCAGATCATTTTCGTATCTCCAGGTCCTAAGGTAAAAATATGGCACATAATAAGCAACTCAGTGAGTAAGACATGCTCCCTGCCTTTTTTATTCACCAAACACATGTTCAGTATAAATATGTCAGGTATTGTACTTACTTTTTTCCTAAGGCTACAGAAGTATAGGATGTACGGGAGGATCCCCACCAAAGGCAGCAGAATGAGAGTCAGAGACTTCACTTTAAATCCCAGTCCTACTAATTATTAGTAGTGATAATTTGTTATTAATTATTACTTGAGTGACTTTTGCCAAGCTGTTTAACTTCTCAAGGACTACTTTCCTTCACTGATAAAACAGAGAATAACAGCACCTGCTTTACAGGGTGGTTGTGAGGATTACATGGGATTATGTACCATCTATAAAGCACTTAATACATATGTGACAGCACTCAAAAATAAGAACTACTTTTAGTGGTCTAATAAGAAAAAGAAACAGATTTGGATAACAGATGATAGAATAATAATATTAACTGGACGGGACCCTGGACAGGTATCTCAGAGGAAGGGACACAATTCTTGCAGGAAGGTTTAGAGGCAATGATAAAAAGAACAATACAAAGGAATGAGAGCAGGGTATAGCACATGGGAAATAAAAGTTTAGGGCAGTTAGCACATTGGGCATGTGGTAAAGAGATAAGAGATGAGGGAGAGAGGTAGATTGAGGCCATTTATGGAAGTGTTATTAATTTCATCCTTTCTCCACTCTGTGGGATAGTGGGTGGTTATTGCCTTTTTAGTGATAATCTGAGGCTGGTGAATAAGTGACTTGCCTCAGGCCACATGGTGAGTAGCAGAGCCAATGTTCAACTTATAAATTCTTTGTGCTCTCCACTATACCATGATGCCAAATCCTAGCTTTTTACTAATAAGAAGAGATTACTTTATATCTTAATGTGCCTGAGCCACAGATTTTGATGTGAGCATTATCGAAACTGTGATTTTTAAAAATAGGACCAATATAACAAAGTTTTACTGATTATTGCATTTACTTAATCAGATATGAATTTCCATTCATTCATTTATTTAAATATTTATTTCCACTGCTTCACTTGGCTAGCCTAAAAATATATGTATTAAAAAATAAAAATAAATATTATGGTTAGTATTTTTGTGAAATAATTGTTCGAGATTTTCTCCCCTGCTCCTCAAATCTTATATTGCCTATGGATTAGGCAGATTTGAATTGATAAACTTGCCTTCACTGGACACAGATTGCCATTTAGAAGATTTTCTCTCCTTTAAAATAAGGTTCTAAGGAAATTTTTAGAAATGGACCTATAGCACAATAGAGAGAGGAACCTGTACTGGTATTGAAGAGCATCTCCAAACAGTAACTCACAAGTAATACAAATGGTAGGAGAGCAAACTATGAGACAAATTTCTATTAAATGAGGTTTAAATTTTATTGAGAATCCACAGGATGTTAGACTATTAACTAAATAATTGTTACCCATGAAAGCTTATGTTCTAAAAAAGGTGATTTGGCTGGGCTTGGTGGCTCATACCTGTAATGCCAGCACTGTGGGTGGCCAAGGTGGGCAGATCACTTGAGCCCAGGAGTTCAACACCAGCCTGGACACGGGACACACACACACACACACACACACACACACACACACACACACACACACACTTGAGCCCAGGAGTTCAACACCAGCCTGGACACGGGGACACACACACACACACACACACACTCTTGAGCCCAGGAGTTCAACACCAGCCTGGACACGGGGACACACACACACACACACACACACACACACACACACACACTTGAGCCCAGGAGTTCAACACCAGCCTGGACACGGGGACACACACACACACACACACATACACACACACACACACACACACAGTTGAGCCCAGGAGTTCAACACTAGCCTGGCCACGGGGACACACACATACATACACACACACACACACACACTTGAGCCCAGGAGTTCAACACCAGCCTGGACACGGGGACACACACACACACACACACACACTTGAGCCCAGGAGTTCAACACCAGCCTGGACACAGGGACACACACACACACTTGAGCCCAGGAGTTCAACACCAGCCTGGACACGGGGACACACACACACACACACACACACACTTGAGCCCAGGAGTTCAACACCAGCCTGGACACGGGGACACACACACACACACACTTGAGCCCAGGAGTTCAACACTAGCCTGGACACAGGGACACACACACACACACACACACACACACACACACTAGCTGGGCGTGGTGTTGTGTGCCTGTAGTCCCAGCTACTCGGAAGGCTGAGGTGGGAGGATTGCTTGAACCCAGGAGGTGGAGGCTGCAGTAATCCGTTATCATGCCACTGCACTCTATCCTGGGCAACAAAGTGAGAAAGTGAGACCCTGTCTCAAAAAAAAAAAAAGATTATCTCTTTTTATTCACTAACATTAAAATAGATTGAAATAGACAACTAAAGAGCTTCTCTGTGTCAATAAAAATCTTTTCTATAGTGATTGAAAAGCCTTTTATTTTCTAGTCCTTTTAACAATTCATGGGAGGCTTTTACCAGCCTAACTAACGGAAATTTAGATCTGCACGCTTTAAAATCTCAGGATCAAAGCTTTATCCTTTTTTTAAGTTGGCTCTGTGAGGCATGTTTTCCTGCCTCCTTCCCCAACCCGCAGTATCCAGCCATTGTCAGAAAGACTAATACCTCTCTGAAATATCTTCCCAATTCTGTTTACTATATCTAAGACCTTAATATAAGAATACAAATTTGATTCCTTTCAGATTTTTACATTTTAAAACTTTGTTTAGATTGTGACCCTTCTTTCTCATATTACAATCTCAGACACTTTGATTTCTTATTTGAGCACTGTTATCATCGGCTTTTTAGAATCTCTCACTTCCAAAATTTTTCTAGCTTAGTATACCAACCTTCTGTCAACTGTCTGCTACTTTTGCCCCACAAGAGATACACCAGATTTCAACTGATTTAATTCTATAAAGATAAAAATTGCTATAAAATATGCATATTGCTTAATTTTTAAATTCTATAGTCAAAGCAATATTTAGGAATATAAAAATATATTAAGTGTAATTTTAGTGTATTATAAAATATTCAAAAGATTTTTAAATTTCGGGCTGAATTTAGACATATGGCATAGGTTAACAAATTGATTATAAGCTGGTAAATTTAAAGAATCGAGAATTTCTTGCTTTGGCCAGGCTGAAAGAGGAAACAATTTTACCCAGAAAATGTCATCAACATTTCAGTAAAAATACCAACTACCATTGTTGAGCATGGTGAGTAGCAGAGCCAGTGTTCAAACCAGGCACTGGTTTGTGGCTTATTTAATCCTCACAACAATCAGGACAGGTAACCATTATCACCATGTTAAAAATGAGGAAAGTGAGGTGCCAAAAAATTAGGAAGATTATTTAAGTGACAGATTTGGAATTCAAAATAAGGGCTGTGTAGCTCTAAAGCCATTATTTTTCGCCACACCACGCTGTTTCTACTTTAAACATATATGTAATTATTTGTGTTTTCTGAACTAGGCTGCTCTGTTTTTTCAGTAGTTACTAGTTCTTCTTAAGCTCTATTATCTTCATGGATTTAACAAAATTAATTGAAAGTTAACTGCTTCTTCTACCGTTTTGTTTTGGATTGCTTTTTTATTTCGCATAGAGTATTTACAAATGTAGAATATTCTTTCAAATGGCACTAAAAATTGAGAAATCTGAACTTGACTTAATCCAACAATCTGGTTTGTTTTTTTTTTTTTTTTTTTTTTGTCAGGTGGACAGTGTCTGGCTTCCTTGCTCAGGCTGAAGTGCAGTGGAGTGGTCTCGGCTCACTGCAACCTCCGCCTCCCAGGTTCAGGCAATTCTCCTGTCTCAGACTCCAGAGTAGCTGGGATTACAGACATGCACCACCATGCCCGGCTAATTTTCATATTCTTAGTAGAGACAGGGTTTCACCATGTTGGCCAGGCTGGTCTTAAACTCCTGACCTCAAGTGATCCACCCACCTCAGTCTCCCAAAGTGCTGGGATTACAGGCATGAGCCACCGTGCCCAACCCTTAATCCAACAGTCTTTAGTAGCTCTCCACTCCTCACATTTCTAGGAAGATGCAATTATCAGCGAGATAGAAATAAGAGACTTAACAATTCGCAGGAGACTTGTACCAGTCTAACTAATGGAAATTTAGATCTGCATGCTTAAAGACTAAGGGTTAGTGATGGAAAAAAATGGGCATATGGAGCAAGTGAAATAATTGAATTTTAATATCACTGAAGGTAGGTAAGATATTTTTAATATATTAAGAAAAATTATATTTCATTTTCATGGAAATGAAGCTGAGTAAAAACTAAATTCTTTCTAGAGAAAAATACTAATATAGGTAGAATATAGACATGGCAAAGATTAAATATGGTACATAAATAACAAATGATTTTAATAAATTCTAAAGCCTCATATGGTAAATTAGATCTCATTTATTTTCCTGTATTCTTTCCATCAACATGTAACCTTTTGTGACAGAAGATTCTGATGGTTATATTAGAAACAGTGAACCTATAGTAAAAGCCCTAAAAGTTGTCTCCATCTTCCCCTTACTTCATTGCCTTCGTTCATATTTTTTTCTTCATCTCAACTTTCTTCTCTTCTGCTGTTTCCTGCCTACAGTAAAAAAAATTACATATACCCACATTCAGTTTCATTACTTCAAGACCAAGTTCATACTTATTTCCTCCAAGATGACTTTCCTAATCTTCTACTCCAACTTTGATTATATCATTAATTGGTATTAATGGGTGGACATGGTGACTCATGCCTATAATCCCAACACTTTGAGAGATGGAGGCTGTAGACCAGGAGTTTGAGACCAGCCTGAGAACATAGTGAGACCTCATCTTCAATTTTAAAAATAAAAGAAAAATGTAAAAAACAAAGAAAAATAATTGGTATTTATCAGCAGTCAAATATTCTTGCAGTAACACTGTAATTATATTTTATCTCTTCACCTGTATTGAGGGTGAGACATAGTGTTTTAATATTTTTCTGAAAATTACATATTTTATTTTTTATTGTGGAAATTTCAAATTCGGAAAAGTTTAGTGAACTTCCTGTTCATGTCTGTTACCTGTAGGTATTCTTCTTTATTTTTTAGATATGCTTTATATTTAGGGATGTCAATCCCTTTGGGAAATAAATTCCAAATGTTTTTCCCCATCGGTATTTTTTTATCGAGGTGCAGTTGACATAAAGTTAACTGTACATCTTTAAGGTGTATATTTTGTTGATGAATTTTGACATTTATATGCCCATGAAATAATTATAATGAAGATAGTGAACATTTTCGTCACCCCCAGAAGTTTCTTTGTGCCCTTTATGCCCCACTCACCTAATTCCTTGGTCCCTAGGCAACCACTGTTCTCTTTTTCTGTCACCAAATTAGTTTGCATTTCCTAGAATTTTATATAAATGTAATCATACAGTATGTACTCCTTTTGGTCTGACTGCTTTTATATAACAATTATTTTCAGAGTCCATCTAATCAGTTTCCTTTAATTTTGACTTCCATTAAGATCTTCCTTATTTCTTAAATTTTTTCTTCAGAACTTAATACTTAGGGCAGTAGTTGAAAACAATGCAGTCCACAGATGTTTGGACTTTACAGTGGCACTTTAAATTTTTGACTTACATGCCAAGATTTTAATGCTTTTAGGATTAGTCTGTAAACAGGACTGACTTTTCAGAGTGAGTTCTGGGAAGGTGGCTACTTGAATATCTCACTATCCCTCCATTCCTGCTTCCAGCCTGTATCTGTCAATCTTGAGTGAAGTGGCTCCTGGATCTGATGAACAGTTGGTGCAATTGAGGCCATGGGCTGTGTGAGAACTCTGTCAGGGAGAGTTGGTACAGGACTTTTCCTCTAGACAAGAGCCTGGAAAATCTCAGGATAAGCATAAGAATGGCAAATCCAGGAAAGAACTTGGTTTGGTAGATATCCATGAATTCCTGGAGGGAAGGAGAAAAGGAAAGAGCCATGGGTCTGAGATCTTCCCATCCCTGTGGCTGGCATATGTAAGGAGACCTGAGAGCAGGGAGGCTTCCTCCTGGGCCTCCACAAGGGCTGGTGGCTTGCCTGCTGCAGCACTGCCTACCCACAGGGGTAGAGACTGCTTTGCCTTTCCATTTTCTTGAGACTGCTACCGCTTGTGGTCCTCCAACAACTAAATCTCATCCCCCATGAGGTGACAAAGATAAACAACCCATCTGGGGAAGCCAGGCAACCTGAAAGAGAAAAACCACTTAGAATAAACAATATATTGAGTTAGCTAAATAGAAATGCTGGAGGAGGCTGGGCACGGTGGCTCACGCCTGTAATCCCAGCACTTTGGTAGGCCGAGGCGGGCGGATCACGAGGTCAGGAGATCGAGACCATCCTGGCTAACATGGGGAAACCCCATCTCTACTAAAAAAAGATACAAAAAATTAGCCGGGCGCGGTGGTGGGCGCCTGTAGTCCCAGTTACTCAGGAGGTTGAAGCAGGAGAATCACTTGAACCCAGGAGGCAGAGGTTGCAGTGAGCCGAGATCGCGCCACTCCCTTTAGCCTGGGTGACAGAGCGAGACTCCATCTTTAAAAAAAAAAAAAAAATGCTGGAGGAGAGAGAAACTTGAACATGAAAATAATAATGGGCCACATTTAAGACTTTATGGAACAAAAAATGTGATTTTTCCACCTAAATAATTATTATCACCTGACTCCATTTATCCTCACACACTTATTTTTTTTAAAACTATCTCTGCTAGAGTGTAAGCACCAGGAGAACAGGAACTTTTTTGTCTTGTATTCACTGCTAATCTGTTGTCAACTCTAATACCTAGAACACTGTCTTACACATAGTAGGCGCCCGAAACATAATTATTGAATAAAGGAATGAATGAGTATGAACAATTATTGACCTGGAAGATCAAGTAAAATAAATATTTCAAAGCATGGAGCCAAAAAAAAAATACAAAAAAAAAAAACTTTTAAAAAAGAGACCTATTGGATCGATTCAGGACACCTAACATGGCTAATACAAGTTCCAGAAGAAGAAAAAGGAACAAATGGAGAAGGAATAATTAAACAACATAAAATTATTTCCTGAGCTAAAGACTTCAGTGTGCAGAATGAAGTTCTGGGGGAGATCAGTGATGAAAAACACATACATAGGGATATCCTTGTAAAATTTTTGAGCTCCAAGGATTCACCTTGGAGGCTTCCAGATAGAACAGGTTGCACCTATCAAGTAACAGACTGGAATCAGAATTCTAATTCACAACACTGGAAACTAGGAGATGGTAGAAGAGTATTTACAGATTGGGGATTTCACAATCCCAAATCCCTATTTCCCTTGAAGATATTTCTCCCCTATGAGGGGAAACATGTTACAACTATACAAAAATTTCAAGGATATAATACCCACTTAACTCCTCTGAGAAAATTCAAGAAGGGGTTTTAGCCAAATAACAAGTGACCTAGAACAGAGATCACATGATGAAAGGGATAGAAATAATGGAAAATGACAGACTCTTTGGGAATGTATTATGTAAATGCTAAGTAAGGTTTTTAACCAAAGGATGCATAGTTCAGAGAACAATAATATTTACAATGTGATAAGTAAGTCAGGGCAGAACCTCAAAACTGTGGGAACAAAAGGAAGTAACAGCTTTCCAATTAAGGTGAGGAGAGGAAAAAGCACCAATATGTACATGAAAAGATGCTCAACATCATTAGTTATTAAAGAAATACACATCAAAACCAAAATGAGGTACAGTTTTTTCACACTCACTGGGATGGCTATAAACAAAAAGACAGATATCAAGTGTTGGAAAGGATGTGAAGTATTGAAACTCTCATCTGCTACTAGTGACAATGTAAAATAGTACAACTACTTTGGAAAACAATTTGACAGTTTCTTAAAAAGTTAAACATAGAATTACCATATGTCCCAGTAATTAAGTGTATTTCCACACAAAAACTTGTACAGGAATGTTTATAGCAGCATTATAAATAATAGCTAATAAAGAAGTAACAGCCCAAATGTCCTCCAGCTGACAAATGAATAGATAAAATGTGATATAGCCATATAATGGAATATTATTTGGCAATAAAAACAAAGTACTGATTCCTGCTATAACATGTGTGAAGCTTGAAAATGCAAGTTAAGGAATCTAGTTGCAAAAAACCCCAAACACATACTGTATGATTCCATTCGTAGGAAATGTCCAGAATAGGTAAATTTATAGAGGCAGAAGTTAGATTAATGGTCGTTTAGTCTGGATAGGGTTGGGGAGAGTGAGATGGGGATTAGCCTGCTGATGGGTAGAGGGTTTCTTTTAGTGGGGAGACAAAAATGTAAAATTAGATTGTGGTGACAGCTACACAACAGTGTGACTATATTAAGAAACACTGAACACTTTGAGTGAATTATATGGTGTTGTCTTAGTATGTTTCATGCTGCTATAACAATACCACAGACTGGGTAATTTATAATGAATTGAAATTTATTGACTCGTGGTTCTGGAGGCTGGAAAGTCCAAGACCAAGGTGCCAGCATCTGCTGAGGGCCTTCTTGCTGCATCTTCCCATGGCAGAGGGCAGAGAGGGTAAGAGGGAGTGAGAGAGAAGGGGACCAAACTCCCTATTTTGTTACAAACTCTCTTGATAATGACATTAATCCATTGTTGAGGGTGGCTTAATTACCTAATGGCCTAATTACCTCTAATTAGTCCCCCACCTCCCAGTGATGTTGCATTGGGGATTAAGTTTCCAACAGATGCTTTTGGGAGGATATATTCAAACCATGGCAGGTCTGTAGTTTATGTTTCAAAATGTATTTTTTTTAAAGAGGAACTAGTGTTGATAATACACAGCAGCTTGCATGAATCTGCAAGGCATTAGGCTCAATGAAAAAAAGGCAGTCTCAAAAGTTTATATATGATTCCATTTATATTTTCTAAATTATTGAAGATCATGACACATTTACTATTCAAAGTATACACACTAAAAACAATGTTTTTAAAAAATTCCAGAATACAGTATATATAATAATAGTTTCTAGTTTAATGTCTGGGTTTAAAACTTTAGGAAATGTTATGTTCAGCCTACATTAAGCAGTTAACCTTTGACTGTAACATGAAATCAATATAGGCTCTTAAAATATTGGAAATGTTCACAGTAGTCTCTTAGTCCCCCTAATTCCCCTTTTAACTCCTTAGTTCCTAATTTGTTGTTTAGGCCAATTTTCTCCCCTTCTTGTTAAGAAGATAGTCTCTTATGGTCATGTTTATTTTTCCAAAACCATCTTTAAAATGAAAATGTGAAATATGTTTCCACAGTGCATGAAAAATAATTTGGATCATCCACAAGACCAAAGAATGACATAATCTTTTTTTTTTTTTTTTTTTTTTTGAGACAGGGTCTCCCTTCTCCCGTCTGTCACCCAGGCTGAAGTGCAGTGTCATGATTATGGCTCATTGCAGCCTCAGCCTCCTGGGCTCAAGCAATCCTCTCACCTCAGCCTCCCAAGTAGCTGGGACTATAGACATCCACTACTACGCCAGGCTAATTTTTAATTTTTTTGTAGAGACAAATCTCCCTGTGTTGCCCAGGCTGGTCTTGAACTCCTAGGCCCAAGCAATCATCCCACCTCCACCTCCGGAAGTGCCAAGATTATAGGCATGAGCCACTGTGTCACCCAGGCTGGAGTGCAGTGGCACAATCTCAGCTTACTGCAACCTCCGCCTCCTGGGTTCAAGCAATTCTTTTACCTCAGCCTCCCGAGTAGCTGGGATTACAGGCTCCCGCCACCACACCTGGCTAATTTTTGTATTTTTGTAGAAATGGGGTTTCACCATGTTGGACAGGCTGGTCTCAAACTCCTGACCTCAAGTGATCCACCCGCCTCGGCCTCCCAAAGTGTCAGGATTGCAGGCATGAGCCACCACACCTGGCTAGCCCATAATCTTCTTTATACATAATTTTCTTCAGTAATATTTGCAACAGCCTCAAGATCCATCCTCCTTTGTTATTTCTTAGTAAGTTTTTTTTCTTCTTTTTTAACTGTGTAGGTACAGTCCTCTTGTATCATTTATACTTTTCTTGACTGACCAGTTTGTGGATTTGGCCCAATAAACTCTCTTTATATTATACTTTGGCCTTTATTAAATCTACTGTCTGGTATTACTCTCACCATCTTCTCAGTGTTATAGGCTGAGAAGAAAATTACAACCATAGGTTGTATAAGTTATAGGCTGTGAATTAGAAGTATAACTATCTTCATCACTGCTGAGTTCTTCAACTTCTAGTGGATTTATCTCCACATATTTGGAAGAATTTCAACACAACTTAATCTAATGTATTCAGAACACAGTTTACCTCATTTGCATTTTCTTTATACAAATCTGAGCTCAAACAAAAAGTGGTCTTAACATTTCTCTTGCTTGGGACACTCCACTAAATAGCACTGGTTTGCTTAAGAGCCTCTGTTAATCTAATACTTATTCTTAGCATATGTACTGGATTTTGAAGGACATTGTTGATGAGTACCCAGTATTAGTGGCAGATCTGCAGGCTGGTCTCGAACTCCTGACCTCAGGTGATCCGCCCACCTTGGCCTCCCAAAGCACTGGGATTACAGGCGTGAGCCACCACGCCCAGCCTTGTCTGGCTGTCTTTTCTTTAAAATAAGTCAGATGGATCAAAGAGACGATTGCTAAGTAAATTCACATACAATTTCTTCAGGATTCATGTGTTGTGTGTTCTGCTCCATAGGCATGTTTGGCCCTACATTTTCACTACTTTCTACCTTAATTACCATTTTCTTCCTTCTAGTATCTAGACTTGTTGGGAAAAATTGGAATGACAGCATTACAGTCATAGTGTCAATAATTTTTTTCCCTCTGTTTCCTTCTCTAGCATTCTGAGCCCTTGGTCTCAGGTGCTTTCTCTTTCCATTGGCTTTTAGGAAAGTTCATCCTTCTGTCTTCAGCTCTTATGTTTTGATGAGGACTTTGTTTCTTTGTTTCCATCATCAGCCTTTATTAAAACTAATCCTGAATTTTGGTCTCTTGGTATTTGTCTTTGAAATCACTTCAACATGAGTCAGTTAACAAACATGTTGAGGCCGGGCCTGGTGGCTCACACCTGTAATCCCTGACCTCACCTGAGGTCAGGAGTTCAAGACCAGCCTGACCGACATGGTGAAACCCTGTCTCTACTAAAAAAGACAAAATTAGCCAGGTGTGGTGGTGCATGCCTCTAATCCCAGCTATTCAGGAGGCTGAGACAGGAGAATCGCTTGAACCTGGGAGGCGGAGGTTGCAGTGAGCCGAGATCGCGCCATTGCACTCCAGCCTGGACAACAAGAGTGAAACTCCTTCTCAAAAAAACAAAAATGTTGAACATTTTATAAATGTTACATGAAGCTCTGTCTGTATTACATGAAGTTGTAATTGTCACAGCAACGTTAAAACAAAATTCTTGTCTCAAAATGCTTATAATGGGCAGATAGGACCCCTGCCCCTCATGCCCCCAAACCTGCTCCTCTCATTCTTTTTTTTTTTTTTTTTTTTTTGAGACGGAGTCACTCTGTCTCCCAGGCCAGAGTGCAGTGGTGCGTCTCAGCTCACTCACTGCAATGTCTGTCTCCCAGGTTCAGGCAGTCCTCGTGCCTCAGCCTCCCAAGTAGCTGGGACTACAGGCACACACCACCATGACTGGCTAATTAAAAACTTTTGGGTGTGTGTGGAGACAGAGTCTTCTATGTTTTCCAGCCTGGTCTGGGCTCAAGTGATCCTCTTGCCTCAGCCTCCCAAAGTGCTGGGATTACAGACATGAGCCACTGTGCCTAGCCACCTCCTTTCATTCTTAATCCTGGCAGCTGTGTTATGGCTAGGGGTAGGGGAGTAGGGGAATCTCACAGCCATGAAAACTGATACCACCATAAATTCATCATTTCCAACAATGTTGTACTGTCGACACTATTTAGACATTCTGTGTGATTCTAGTTAGCTTCCCTTCTCAATCCTTACAGAGTTAAAATGCTTAAGACCTCAATCCTCCATTCTCATATAGCTAAACCTTCTACTTCACAGAGTAAACTGTATTTCTTTATTTCTAATATTCTTCTTCATAAGTTCTTACCAGCATCTGTGTTGACACCTATCCTTTACCACCTTCCTTGTTGTCGTTCAATATTGATCCATACACCTGTGCTCTAGAACCTTTCTTGCTTCCTAACTCTTGTGATTTCTAATTTTTTTATTGACTCCTTCCCCCTTGATATATTACAATATTCAATCTCTCTGTCACTCTTTCCTTTTCTTTCTCGCCGATTTTTGCTCATTTAGTCTTCCAAATAATTCTCAAATTTGTCCCGTTCTCTCCATCTTCACTGCTACTATCCTAGTCCATTGTTATTTTTTGTCTAACCTCCTAAAGCCATCCATTACAGTAATTACCAGAGGAATTTTTCTCATATGTAAATCTCATCCTATTACTCCCTCATTTAAAACCCCCTAATGTCTCCCCATGCTGACAAAGTCTGTACTGCTTAGCAGGTACATGTACCTACACGATCTAGAACATCCCAGCTTAATAGCTTCCTTGTTTATTACTCTTTTGTACATACTGCACACCAGATATAATGAATGTTCTTGAATGTCTCTGTTGCTTTAACACATTTATTCCATCCTCTTGGAGTGTTCTTCAGTTACCTAGCAAACAATCTTCATGTTAAGACTGAGCTCAAATACCACTTCTTCCTTAATGGTCCCTGTGATCACTCCAGGAAATGTAATGTAATGTACACGCTACCATACTCTATGTCTACACCTCCAATATAGTACTTTAGTCACCCACTGCAATCACTTGTCTTACCCGTATGTGCTGTAAGCCCCTTAGGGGTAGCTGCTGTGCTCTATTCATCTTTATGCATCTCCAGTGCCTAGCACATAATCTGACATTTATAGATGCTTAGTAAATATTTGTTGAATTAATATGTTGATTAATTAAAAGATAATACAAGGCAGCTTATACCCAACAGTTGAGAAAAGGTTAAACTAAAATATAAAGGGGCTTAAATGCCAAGCTGAAGTTTTTCGAGTTCACCCTATAAGCCAATGGGTCCAAATAAGTAAACCACAATCTATTTATAAATGTCTACACCAGTAGCCTCCGCTACCACCATCATCCCCACCATCATCCCCCAGCCTGAGATTTCAAAGTAGGAACAAAGGTAGAGCTTACAAAGGCAGCCCTTCCCCTTTGCTTTGAGGGACTCAGATTAGTACCCCACACATGATGTAGATTACAAATAAACAAGTGAAAATGATCTTCACAAAATGTTTGGGGTCTCCTGGCAGTGTCACTTGGAAAGCTTTCAAAGTATTTATTTTGTTGTTTAAGCAATGATGCAAACTGATAAAGGCAGAATTTTAGGATTATTAGTATGGAGGAAAATGTAGGATTGTTTGAAGATGGGAGAATTGGTGGCAATTGGTCTAAGCTGAAAAGGATGAGAATCTAAATGATGGCAGTGCAATGGAATAGATTGGTGTGGAAGCATACTGAAGCCACATTTAACTGGATTTGATGACTAAATATTGAGACTGAGGGAGGAAGGGGGAAGAATCAGGTTGGAAGTACATGTGCTCACTGCTTCTGTGTACCCACTTTCTCTGTGAATGACAGGATTCTTTTCTTCTTTTTTATGTTAGGTATATTAAATCCTGCTATTTTATCTCTGGAATGTCTCTCCTCCATTTCCCCCCACCCATTTTTCTACTTTTTCATGAACTAATCATCCTTCAAGATTTAGCTCAGTTATCCCCTTGACAACATCTCTTACCATTGCTTTATTTTTATTTTATTTATTTATTTATTTATTTATTTTGAGACAGAGTCTCACTCTGTCGCCTAGGCTGGAGTGCAGAGGCACCATCTCAGCTCACTGCAACCTCCGCCTCCCGGGTTCAAGCAGTTCTCCTGCCTCTGCCTCCCGAGTAGCCAGGATTGCAGATGCCCACCACCATGCCTAGCTAATTTTTGTATTTTTAGTAGAAACGGGGTTTCACCATCTTGGCCAGGCTGGTCTCAAACTCCTGACCTTGTGATCCACCTGCCTCGGCCTCCCAAAGTGCTGGGATTACAGGTGTGAGCGGCCTATTTTTGTTCTTTCCTTCTTGAGTCCCACAGTATTTGTACTTAAACTGTAATAATTTTATTGTTTCATAATTGTGTATTTTTCCCCTCTGAACTTCTTGAGAGCAAATGGTCACTGTTTTTGATATCCATAGTGCCTAGCATGTACCTGACATATAGTAGGCATTCAGAGTCTTGGTTGAATTAATATTAATAACTACTACTGCTGTCCTAGACAGTTAGCCTTAGAGATGTTTGCACATGGACAGACCGCCGTGGTCTATTAATGAGTCTGCCTGCCTGTCTCTAATATATCTAGCATTTATTTCTTTTTGCATTTTTGTACTCATGTTTCCTTGCCTAAAATACTGCTTTCATTTTTAGACTTCTACATAGAGAATTTCAGTTGTTTTCCATCTCCTTTAGACTCCTCTATTTGCCTTCCAAGATTTTCCTAATATGACCCAATCTTCCCAAGCAAATCTTTCCAGACATGTGCTGTATTTATTCCTCCTCTGTGATTTTGAGCCCTCCATGATTTTTAAGGTTTTCAAAAATCCTCCTTCAAGTTCACACTGCCTTGATCAATGTTGCACGTCTCCCTGTGGACCCTCACACTGCTTCCTGCTAGTGAGATGATCCAAGACCACAGCTGAGGCCTGGCTTTGCCATGGTTCCATTGGCTTTATTGGCTACACCACCTTGGGCAAATCATTTCAGCTTTCTCTGAGCTAGTTTCTTTATGAATATAGGAATAATTCTTCTTCACATGGTTGCTGTGCAGTTTTTATGTGATGATAGTAGGAAATTTTCCCTAAATTCAGTCTTTTAGAGACTACCTTTGTAATCTTTCTATTTTTATGGATCATCTTTGTGTTTATTTAATTTTTTTCTTAAATTGAGTCACTGCTTTTATGGTTTCCTTTTAAAAAGGAACGTTGTCACTAAATGAAATACCAGCATGCTTGCCATAAATAGAGTATAAATTAAAAATAGATACAATAAAGCAGCTAATCTTGTTAGATACTGTTGCCAAGCTTAGGCTCTGACTAAGCCTGTTAAAAAAGAGATTAGCAACATTTGAAGAGATTTTAAAGATATTCTAGCACAAACATTTTTAAAAATGATATTTGGCAAAGTGCTTCCAACTTTCAGTTAGCTGGGTTAATGGCAGGATGAGGGGAGAAGGTAGAATCAGTTAAAACTTATCAAGATGTTTAGTAGAAAATGAACTTAATAAACATTTGTAGTTAAATTTTCAAAAATTTGATTCTTATGGAGTTATCAGAAGTATACAAATAACACAAGTAAAACAGTTTGGTTACTAAAATTTTTTTTCAAATATCAAAGTAGAAGCATATCTACTTTTCTATGTGGATGTTCTTTATCTCTTCTTAATTTCTCTACCTTCAGTCCTGACTCTCTGTTGGATTCCATAACCACATGAGCTTTCCTTTACCTTCTCTGTGTTCTGCCATGCTCTTGGCAAAAAGGGATGGGGCAGTCTTACCTGGGTCGGCAATGTTTGTGAACTCTGCTGCATTAGCAACGCATCGATATGGCCATCTGTGGTCACTGTGTAGTTCCATGCACCAGATACCTACTCTGACTATTTGTAATTATTTCATACATGCCTTGTTGTGATCTTGTGCCTTAGATAATTATCTTCCCTGGATAATTAAAAGTTATGTATATTACCATTATTCATTCTTGTACCTAAATTTTAGGAACAACCAGTATGATATAGTAGACAAATCAGAATCCAAGTTCAAGCGAGTCTTTTTTGAAATTTACACTCAGTTTGCCTTGGATGAACCATTGAGCCTAATCTTGCTTTAGCTTTTTAATATTTCCTATCTGTATCACAGGGTTATCATGAGAACCAAAAGAAATATGTGAAAATATTTTAAAAACTGTAAAATGTTACTATGTGTAAGTTACTATTATTACCATCATTCTTTCTTAGTTTCTTAAGTTGAAGTTGACTTTTCAACTAGATTATGAGCTGCTTAATGTCAGGAAATATCTTATGCTCACTCTTGTTCCCCACAGCATCCAACACAGCTTTAGGCATGTTTAAAACTTATGGAATTAAATTATCATTGTTTATTTGAATTGGAATCATTAATAAAATTGTACTGGGAAATGTAGTACAGACAGTCCTTAACAATTACTATTATAAATAATTGTATCACAACATTCCAAACTGTGTGTTTGTTTGTTTTTGAGATGAAGTTTCGCTCTTGTCACCCAGGCTGGAGTACAATGGCGTGATCTCAGCTCATTGCAACCTCCTTCTCCTGGGTTCAAGCAATTCTCCTGCCTCAGCCTCCCGAGTAGCTGGGCTTACACGCATGTGCCACCATGCCTGGCTAATTTTTTGTATTTTTAGTAGAGATAGGGTTTCTCTATGTTGGTCAGGCTAGTCTTGAACTCCCAACTTCAGGTGATCCGCCTACCTTGGCCTCCCAAAGTGCTGGGATTACAGGTGTGAGCCACCGCACCCAGCCTCCAAACTGTATGTTAATGTGTATTTTGTCCACACTATAAATGTATCAAATTTTTTGATACAAGAATAGTGACTCAAACTATTATTATCACATGACTGTATCGTTATAAATCAATGTGTATATCAGTGCTAAGAATTCAACCACATTACTTTGATATTTTCCACAGTACTATTGTACTACAAAATGTTTAGAATTCCAAGAAATATGCCCAGCTACCTAAATTCTAATTTGTCGCCATGACTCTTTTTAGCATATAATTGTTATTATGTCTGTTGAGGATCATTCTGTGGCTTATCTCAATTTTCTGTGATATAGTATTATTCCTATTGCATAGATGGTAAATTAAAGCTAAGAAGTATTGACTCATTTTCCCAAGGTTACACTAATAACATGTGGTAGAGCTAGTATCTCACCTGAGCTTTACCTGCTTCCCAGTTCTGTGTTATCTTTTCACTCTGCCTCATGTCTGCGCTCTGGGATAGTTGCACAGCTGTCATAGTGGGCTCTGTCTTCAGCATCATCCTGGAGGTTCCCTTTGCCTTTCCTGTAAAATGGAACAATCATGATAGTACTTACAGCATAGGATGAGATTGCTGTAAATGAGATAATACAGGTAAAACGTTTAGGTGTCTATCACATACATACCCTAATAAGTGCTAACTGTTGATAATTCTTTCTATTGTTGTTATGTCTACTAGGAGACTTTTATTGGTCCCAAAATTATTCATGACACTTGTATTTATTATAAATCCATAATTTAACCAAATATTACACAAATTGATGTAATATGAATAGGGAAAGTAGAGTTGTGTCTATAAAAGCTAACGTGGATTATTTAGCAGGTCATTAAACACTTATTTAAGGCTGGGTGTGGTGGCTCATGCCTGTAATCCTAGCACTTTGGGAGGGGAAGCAAAAGGATCTCTTGAGGCCACAAGTTAGAGACCAGCCTGGGTGATATATTTTGTCTCTACCAAATAAATTAGCCAGTTATAGTGGTGCACACCAGTAATCCTAGCTACTCAGGAGACTGAGGTGGGAGGATTGATTGAGCCCAGGAGTTGAAGATTACAGTAACCTAAGATTATGTCATTGAACTCAATCATGAGCAACAGAACAAGACCCTGTATCTTAAAAATAAAATTAAAAAAAAGGTATTTAGGGCCAGGTGTGGTGGCTCACAACTGTAATCCCATTACTTTGGGAGGCCAAGGTGGGTGAATCACGCGGTCAAGAGTTCGAGATCAGCCTGGCCAACATGGTGAAACCCCCTCTCTACTAAGAATACAAAAATTAGCCTGGCATTTTTGTATCACATTTTGGATCACAGGTGGTGAGTGCCTGTGATCCCACCTACTCAGGAGGCTGAGGCAGGAGAATTGCTTGAACCAGGGAGGTGGAGTTTGCAGTGAGCCGTGATCACACCACTGCACTCCAGCCTGGGTGACAGAGCAAGACTCCGTCTCAAGGTGGGGGTGGAAGGAAGTATTTAAATTAGCAGTGGACAAGAGACCTGTAAAAGAGTTGGGAGTGGGGCAATGACAAAGCTTTGAAAAGAATATAGATATTGCTTCATAAGTATCTTTAAACCAAAGTTGGAAATCACAGACTTATGCCTTATGGGTGTAATTTACACAAGAAAGAAAATGAATAAATTCAATCTGCATAGTTGTATCGCTTTTACAAAATGATTGGTGAATTAATATACATTTGCAAGTTTATATACTTTTATGTTGAAATATTAATGTGTGAGCCATTTTTGTGTGTGTGTGATTCTCTATTTCAACCAGCTTTTAAAATTACCTATCAGCCCTGGCTGGGCATGGTGGTTCACACCTCTAATCCCAACACTTTGGAGGCTGAGACAGGAGGATCACTTGAGAACAGGAGTTTGTGGCCAGCCTGGGCAACATAGGGAGACCTTGTCTCTACAAAAAAACATTTTTTTAATTAGCAAGGTGTGACGGCACATGCCTGTAGTCCCAGCTACTGGGAAGGCTTAGGCCAGGGGATTACTTGGACCTGGGAGGTTTAGGCTGCAGTGAACTGAGATTGTGCCATTGTACTCCTGCCTAGGCCTCAGAGCGAGACTTTGTCTCAAAAAAATGAAATAGGCTAGGCGCGATGGCTCATGCCTGTAATCCCAGCACTTTGGGAGGCCAAGGCAGACAGGTCATCTGAGGTCGGGATTTCGAGACCAGCCTAGCCAACATGGCAAAACCCCGTCTCTACTAAAAATACAAAAATTAGCTGGATGTGGCAGTGGGCACCTGTAATCTCAGCTACTCGGGAGGTGAGGCAGGAGAATTGCTTGAACCCAGGAGGTGGAGGTTGCAGAGATCTGAGTTTGCACCACTGCACTCCAGCCTGGGCAACAGAGTGAGACTCTGTCTCAAAAATAAATTAATTAATTAAATAAAATAAAAACCTATCAGTCCTGACAGCAATAGATAGAATTACTTTTACTACATTTTACTAATTTCCCTGTTTTACCTAATTGCTGTATCCTTAAAGCCATATCAGAACTCAATTAAGATTTTTTAAAAAACACGTATCTTAAGGAGTCGCTTCCAAGATGGCTGAATAGGAACAGCTCTGGTCTACAGCTCCCAGCAAGATTGACACAGAAGATGGGTGATTTCTGCATTTCCAACTGAGGTACCTGGTTCATCTCATTGGGACTGGTTGGACAGTGGGTGCAGCCCACGGAGGGTGAGCCAAAGCAGGGTGGGGCATTGCTTCACCCAGGAAGCACAAGGGGTCGGGGGATTTCCCTTTCCTAGCCAAGGGAAGCCGTGAGTGACTGTGCTTGGAGGAGTGGTACACTCCTGCCCAAATACTGCGCTTTTCCCACAGTCTTCACAACCATCAGACCAGGAGATCCCTTCCCATGCCTGGCTCAGCAGGTCCCACACCCACGGAGCCTTGCTAGCTGCTAGCACAGCAGTCTGAGATTGACCTGGGACGTGGGAGCTTGGTGGGGCAAGGGGCGTCTGCCATTGGTGAGGCTTGAGTAGGCAGTTCTGTGCTCACTTGGAGTAAACAAAGTGGCAGGGAACCGCGAACTGGGCAGAGCACACCACAGCTCAGCAAGGCCTACTGCTTCTCTAGATTCCACCTCTGGGGGCAGGGCATATCTGAACAAAAGGCAGCAGACAGCTTCTCCAGACTTAAACGTCCCTCCTGGACAGCTCTGAAGAGAGCAGTGGTTCTCCCAGCGTGATGTTTGAGCTCTAAGAATGGACACACTGCCTCCTCAAGTGGTTCCCTGACCCCTGTGTAGCCTGACTAGGAGACATCTCCCAGTAGGGGCCGACAGACACCTCATACAAGCAGGTTCCCCTCTGAGACGAAGCTTCCAGAGGAAGGATCAGGCAGCAATATTTGCTGTTCTGCAGCCTCTGCTGGTGATACCCAGGCAAACAGGGTCTGGAGTGGACCTCCAGTAAACTCCAACAGACCTGCAGCTGAGTGGCCTGTCTGTTAGAAGGAAAACTAGCAAACAGAAAGGAATAGCATCAACATCAACAAAAAGGACATCCACACCAAAACCCCATCTGTAAGTCACCAACATCAAAGACTAAAGGTAGATAAAACCACAAAGATGGGAAGAAACCAGAGCAGAAAGGCTAAAAAATTCCAAAAACCAGAATGCCTCTTCTTCTCCAAAGAAACACAACTCCTCACCAGCAAGGGAACAAAACTGGATGGAGAATGAGTTTGACAGGTTGACAGAAGTAGGCTTCAGAAGGTCGGTAATAACAAACTTCTCCGAGCTAAAGGAGCATGTTCTCACCCATTGCAAGGAAGCTAAAATCTTTGAAAAAAGGTAGGACAAATGGTTAACTAGAATAACCAGTGTAGAGAAGAGCTTAAATGACATGATGGATCTGAAAACCACAGTACAAGAACTTAGTGAAGCATACACAAGCTTCAATAGCCGATTCAATCAAGCGGAAGAAAGGATATCAGTGATCGAAGATCAAATTAATGAAATAAAGTGAGAAGACAAGATTAGAGAAAAAAAAGTGAAAAGAAATGAACAGAGCCTCCAAGAAATATGGGACTATGTGAAAAGACCAAATCTACGTTTGATTGGTGTACCTGAAAGTGACAGGGAGAATGAAACCAAGTTAGAAAACACTCTTCAGGATATTATTCAGGAGAACATCCCCAACCTAGCAAGGCAGGCCAACATTCAAATTCAGTAAATACAGAGAACACCGCAAAGATGCTCCTCAAAAAGAGCAACCCTAAGACACTTAATTGTCAGATTCACCAAGGTTGAAATGAAGGGAAAAATGTTAAGCACAGCCAGAGAGAAAGGTCAGGTTACCCACAAAAGGAAACCCATCAGACTAACAGTGCATCTCTCAGCAGAAACCCTACAAGCCAGAAGAGAGTGGGAGCCAACATTCAACATTCTGAAAGAAAAGAATTTTCAACCCAGAATTTCATATCCAGCCAAACTAAGCTTCATAAGTGAAGGAGAAATAAAATCCTTTACAGACAAGCAAGTGCTGAGAGATTTTGTCACCACCAAGTCTGTCTTAGAAGAGCTCCTGAAGGAAGCACTAAACGTGGATACGAACAACTGGTACCAGCCACTGCAACAACATACCAAATTGTAAAGACCATCAGTGCTATGAAGAAACTACATCAATTAACAGATGAAATAACAAGCTAGCACATAATGACAGGATCAAATTCACACATAACAATTATTAACCTTAAATGTAAATAGGGTAAGTGCCCCAATTAAAAGACACAGACTGGCAAATTGGATAAAGAGTCAAGACCTATCGGTGTGCTGTATTCAGGAGACCCATCTCACGTGCAAAGACACACATAGGCTCAAAATAAAGGGATGGAGGAAGATCTACCAAGGAAATGAAAAACAAAAATAAATAAATAAATAAAGCAGGGCTTGCAATCCTGGTCTGTTTGATAAAACAGACTTTAAACCAACAAAGATCAAAAGAGACATTTACATAATGGTAAAGGAATCAATTCAACAAGAAGAGCTAACTATCCTAAATGTATATGCACCCAATACAGGAGCACCCAGATTCATAAAGCAAGTTCTTAGAGACCTACAAAGAGACTTAGACTCCCACACAGTAACAATGGGAGACTTTAACAGCCCACTGTCAATATTAGATCGACGAGACAGAAAATTAACAAGGATATCCAGGAACTGAACTCAGCTCTGCACCAAGTGAACCTAATAGATATCTACAGAACTCTCCACCCCAAATCAACGGAATATACATTCTTCTCAGCACCACATAGCACTTATTCTAAAATTGACCACGTAATTGAAAGTAAAGCACTCCTCAGCAAATGTAAAAGAAACAGAAATCACAACAAACTGTCTCTCAGACCACAGTGCAATCAAATTAAAACTCAGGATTAATAAACTCACTCAAAACCACGCAACTACATGGAAAATGAACAACCTGCTCCTGAATGACTACTGGGTAAATAACGAAATGAAGGCAGAAATAAAGATGTTCTTTGAAACCGATGAGAACAAAGACATAACGTACCAGAATCTCTGGGACACATTTAAAGAAGTGTGTAAAGGGAAACTTGTAGCACTAAATGCCCGCAAGAGAAAGCAGGAGAGATCTAAAATCAACACCCTAACATCACAATTGAAAGAACTAGAGAAGCAAGAGCAGACAAATTCAAAAGCTAGCAGAAGGCAAGAAATAGTTACTAAGATCAGAACAGAACTGAAGGAGATAGGGACACAAAATCCCTTAAAAAAATCAATGAATCCAGGAGCTGGTTTTTTGAAAAGATCAACAAAATAGACTGCTAGCAAGACTAATAAACAAGAAAAGAGAGAAGAATCAGATAGGCATAATAAAAAATGATAAAGGGGATATCACCACCTATCCCAAAGAAATACAGACTACCATCAGAGAATACTATAAACACCTCTATGTAAATAAACTAGAAAATCTAGAAGAAATGGATAAATTCCTGGATACATACACCCTCCCAAGACTAAACAAGGAAAAAGTTGAATCTCTGAATAGACCAATAACAGGTTCTGAAATTGAGGCAATAATTAATAGCCTACCAACCAAAAAAAGTCCAGGACCAGAAGGATTCACAGCCAGATTCTACCAGAGGTACAAAGAAGAGCTGATACCATTCCTTCTGAAACTATTCCAATTAATAGAAAAAGAGGGAATCCTCCATAACTCATTTTATGAGGCCAGCATCATCCTGATACCAAAGTCTGACAGACACAACAAAAAAGAATTTTAGACCAATATCCCTGATGAACATTGATGCAAAAATCCTCAATAAAATACTGGCAAACCGAATCCAGCAGCACATCAAAAAGCTTATCCACCATGAGCACGTGGGCTTCGTCCCTGGGATGCAAGGCTGGTTCAACATAGCAAATCAATAAACGTAATCCAACATATAAACAGAACCAATGACAAAAACCACATGATTATCTCAACAGATGCAGAAAAGGCCTTCAACAAAATTCAACAGCCTTTCATGGTAAAAACTCTGAATAAACTAGGTATTGATGGAACATATCTCAAAATAATAAGAGCTATTCATGTCAAACCCACAGCCAGTATCATACTGAATGGGCAAAAACTGGAAGCATTCCCTTTGAAAACCGGGACAAGACAAGGATGCCCTCTCTCACCACTCCTATTCAACATAGTGTTGAAAGTTCTGGCCAGGGCAGTCAGGCAAGAGAAAGCAATAAGGGATATTCAAATAGGAAGAGAGGAAGTCAAATTGTCTCTGTTTGCAGATGACATGATTGTGTATTTAGAAAACCCCATCGTCTCAGCCCAAAATCTCCTTAAGCTGATAAGCAACTTCAGCAAAGTCTCAGGATACAAAATCAATGTGCAGAAATCACAGGCATTCCTATACACCAGTAACAGACAAACAGAGAGCCAAATCATGAGTGAACTCCCATTCACAATTACTACTAAGAGAATAAAATACCTAGGAATCCAACTTACAAGGGATGTGAAGGACCTCTTCAAGGAGAACTACAAACCACTGCCCAAGGAAATAAGAGGGGACACAATCAAATGGAAAAACATTCTATGCTCATGGGTAGGAAGAATCAATATAATGAAAATGGCCTTACTGCCCAAAGTGATTTATAGATTTAATGCTATCCCCATCAAGCTACCACTGACTTTCTTCACAGAATTGGGAAAAAACTACTTTAAAGTTCATATGGAACCAAAAAAGAGCCCGCATTGCCAAGGCAATCCTGTGCAAGAAGAACAAAGCTGGAGACATCAAGCTACCCGACTTCAAACTTTGCTACGAGGCTACAGTATCCAAAACAGCATGGTACTGGTACCAAAACAGATATATAGACCAATGGAACAGAACGGAGGCCTCAGAAATAACACCACACATCTACCACCATCTGATCTTTGACAAACCTGACAAAAGCAATGGGGAAAGGAGGCTACACAAACTACACAAACATATACATGGTGTTGGGAAAGCTGGCTATCCATATGCAGAAAACTGACACTGGACCCCCTTACACCTTATACAAAAATCAACTCAAGATGGATCAAAGACTTAAACATAAGACCTAGGACCATAAAAATCCTAGAAGAAAACCTGGGCAATACCATTCAGGACACAGGCATAGGCAAAGACTTCATGTCTAAAACACCAAAGCAATGGCAACAAAAGCCAACATTGACAAATGGGATCTAATTAAACTAAAGAGCTTCTGCACAGCAAAAGAAACTATTACCAGAGTGAACAGGCAACCTACAGAACGGGAGAAAATTTTTGCTATCTATCCATCTGACAAAGGGCTAATATCCACAATCTACAAAGAACTTAAACAAATTTACCAGAAAAAAGCAAACAACCCCATCAAAAAATGGGCAAAGGATATTAACAGACACTTCTCAAAAGAAGACATTTATGCAGCCAACAGACATATGAAAAAATGCTCATCATCACTGGTCATCAGAGAAATGCAAATCAAGACCACAGTGAGATACCATCTCACACCAGTTAGAATGGCAACCATTAAAAAGTCAGGAAACAACACATGCTGGAGAGGTTGTGGGAAAATAGGAATGCTTCTACACTGTTGGTGGGAGTGTAAATTAGTTCAATCGTTATGGAATAGAGTGTGGTGATTCCTCAGGGATCTAGAACTAGAAATACCATTTGACCCAGCAATCCCATTACTGGGCATATACCCAAAGGATTATAAATCATTTTACGATAAAGACACATGTGCATGTTTATTGCGGCACTATTCACAATAGGAAAGACTTGGAACCAACCCAAATGTCCATCAATGATAGACTGGATAAAGCAAATGTGGCACATATACACCATGGAATACTATGCAGCCATAAAAAAGGATGAGTTCCTGTCCTTTGCAGGGACATGGATGAAGCTGGAAACATCATTCTCAGCAAACTGTCACAAGATCAGAAAACCAAACACCACATGTTCTCACTCATAAGTGGGAGTTGAACAATGAGAACACATGGACACAGGGAGGGGAACATCACACACCAGAGCCCGGGGGGGTAGGGAAGGGATAACATTAGGAGAAATACCTAATGTAGATGACGGGTTGATGGGTGCAGCAAACCACCATGGCACGTGTATACCTGTATAACAAAACTGCACATTCTGCACATGTAACCCAGAACTTAAAGTATTTAAAAAAAAAAGTACTTGCTTTGGCATTTGCTTTGCTTTGCTTCCTCATTGGCTTTTTTCAAGCAAATTGTTATAAGTAATTTCTGTAGCTGCACTAGGTGTCATCATATTTAAGCTTTATTATTTGTCCTCTTTTGAAGCATAGTATGAGTACATATCTTGTGAATTAGGAGATAAGGTTGCTGCATAATTAATGCACATAGGGAAATTTTTTATTTTTGAGACAGAGTCTCACTTTGTCTAGAATGCAGTGGCGCAATCTTGGCTCACTGCAACCTCCGCCTGCCAGGTTCAAGCGATTCTCCTGCCTCAGCCTCCCAAGCAGCTGGGGTTACAGGCACCTGTCACCACACCCAGCTAATTTTTTGTATTTTTAGTAGAGACTGGGTTTCACCATGCTGGCCAGTCTGGTCTCAAACTCCTGACCTCAAGTGATCCACCCACCTCAACCTCCCAAAGTGCTGGGATTACAGGCGTGAGCCACTGTGCCCGGGCAGGGAAATTTTAAAAATGGAAAATGGAGCTCTCCTTTTAGACTTATGAATGCTATTAATGAAGACCACAATGTATTAGCCAAAAGACTACGGAGTCAAATACAATTTTTTAAATTGTGGCTTAAAAAAATAGCATAAGGCCAGGCATGGTGGCTCACGCCTGTAATCCCAACACTTTGGGAGGCTGAGGTGGGCAGATCACTTGAGGTGAGGAGTTTGAGGCCAGCCTGGACAATATGGTGAAACCCCATCTCTACTAAAAATACAAAAAAATTAGTTGAGCATGGTGGCACGTGCCTGTAATCACAGCTACTCGGGAGGCTGAGTCAGGAGAATTGCTTGAACCCGGGAGGCGGCGGTTGCAGGGAACTTAGATCGTGCTACCACACTCCAGCCTGGGTGTCAGAGCAAGACTGTTTAAAAAGAAAAAGAAAAAAAAAAGCAATAAAACCTAGCATCTTAATAATTTTTTAGTGTATAGTTCAGTAGTGTTAAGAGTATTTCCATTGTTGTGCAGATCTCCAGAACTTTTTCATTTTGCAAAACTGAACTTCTATACCCAATGAACAACTCTCCATTTTCCACTCCCTACCACCCCGTTAACCACCATTCTGTTTTCTGTTTCTATTAATTTGACTCCTTTAGATAACTAATATAAGTGGAATCATATGGTATTTGCCTTTGTATGACTAGCTTATTTGATTTAGTGTATTGCTGTCAAGATTCATCCATGTTGTAGCATGTGTCTGAATTTCCTTCCTTTTTAAAGGTTGAATAATATTCCATTTTATGTATGACAAACACACACACACACACACACATATAGCACATTTTGTTTATTCATCCATTAGTGGACATTTGGATTGCTTCCACCTCTTTAAATGAATTTTTTCTTACTGCCATTTGGTGGGTACATGGAGAACTCACACCTAATTTAAAAACCCATCCCACTGGTTTTCCACTACACAGGATTCCCTACTAAGCTGGCTTGGAAAAAAAAAAAAACCATCATAAGCACTGTGCCTTTAATTCGATTGCTAGCTCTCTGTCAGTCTCCAACTCAGTAAAGGGTAAATGGCATCTCTGTTCATCTAATTGCTGTGGAAATATCTTTGACTCTTTTCTTTCTCTCCCACCCTGTAGCCAATCATCAGCATGCCAATCTTGTCAGTCCCTCCTTTGAAACATACCTAGGCTAGTCAACATATCCAGCATCTGACCACTTCTCATTACCTCTAGTATTTCTGATCTGATCCATACTACCATTATCTTTTCTTGGACCACTGTAAAAGCCTTCTAACTTTTTTCTGTTTATTTGCTTGGTCCCTGCTATCTGCTCATTCCAGACTATAGCTGTTGTGATCATGTTAAAACAGAAACCAAAACCTTTCAATGGCTTCTTATCTCACAGTAAAAACAAAAATCCTGACTATATCCTACAAGGCCGCACATGATCTTTGATTCCTCCTCCAACATCTATATCCATCTCTTATTCCATACTCTGTCACTTTCAACTTGCTTATTCTGTCTGATAATCCGGTCTCCTTGCTGCCATTCATCAAACATGTCAATACATACCTGCTTCGCTTAGCACTAACTGTTCTTCCTGCAGATATTTGTATGGTTAGATATCTTCAATTTTCTGCTCAGATGTCACATTATCTGAGAGGCCTTTCAGACTGAGTATCTAAGTGTGCACACAAACCACTCTCCCACTAGTCCTCTGTATTCTTTTACTCAGCTTTTTTGTTTGTTTTATAGCTTACTGTTCTTGACATAGGTTACTGGTTGTTTTTTTCTCCACTAAAATTTAAGCTCCTTGATGGCAGGGATTTTGTTACTACATTTCTAGTAACTAGAATAGTGTTTCACATGTAGAAGGTTCTCAGAAAATATTTACTGAATACATTAATGAAAGAGCTACAGATCTCAAAGTAACATGGGCCAGGCGCAGTGGCTCATGCCTGTAATCTCAGCACTTTGGGAGGCCGAGGCAGGTGGATCACAAGGTCAGGAGTTCAAGACCAGCCTGGCCAACATGGTGAAACCCTGTCTCTACTAAAAATACAAAAATTAGCTGGGCGTGGTGGGCGGGTGCCTGTAATCCCAGGTACTCGGGAGGCTGAGGCAGGAGAATCGCTTGAACCTGGGAGGCAGAGGTTGCAGTGAGCTGAGATGGTGCCTGCCTAGGCAACAGAGCAGGACTCCGTCTCAAAAAAAAAAAAAAAAAAAAAAAGAAAAGAAACAAAGAAAGTAATATGGACATTACTTTTGAAGACTAGCCCGTGAGCTCTCTTTCCGTAAGATATCATCAACCTGCCTCCCTCCATCAGCTTCACTACAGCCATTATCATGTCTTTCTGTGGTTTCTTCAGTAAACTTGTAACTGGTTTCCCCATTTCTGTTCTTGGTCTCCCCTACAATCCATTCTCAAACCAGCAGCCTGCATTTTTAAAAAATTATGCTGGCCAAGTGTGGTGGCTCACACCTGTAATCCTCGGAGGCTGAGGCAGGAGAATCGCCTGAGCCCCAGAGTTTGAGACCGAGACGAGCATAAGCAACATAGGGAGATCCTGTCTCCATAAAAAAAATCAAAAAACTGGCTGGGTGTAGTGGCACATGACTGTGATCCCAGCTACTAGGAGGCTGAGGCGGGAAGATCACTTGAGCCTGGGAGGTTGAGGCTGTAGTAAGCCCTGATTGCACCACTGCACTCCAGCTTGATGTCAGCGCAAGACCCTGTTTCAAAAAAAAAAATGCTAACCTTTCAGTCGTTTTACGTCATTTTCAGAGTAAAATTCACACTCCTTATTATAGTGTGCTACACTACAAGATGTAGTGCCTACCTAATTTACCCTCTTTAAAAAAAAAACACTTTGTTACTCACTATGCTTTAGCTACATTAATATTTCCTAAATATACCAAGCTGATTCCCATCTTAGGGTCTTCTCACAGCTGTTCCTCTGTCCTAATCAGTCTTTTCAGGATCCTCATATGTCTGGCTCCTTTTCATGCAAGTCTCACCTTAAGGGTTACCTCCTCAGAAAGGTCCTGACAGTCCACCCAATAAAAAATAGCCTCTCTAATCACCCTTCTTTATTTTCTTTATAACACCATAAGCTGAAATTATCTTATTAATTATCTTTTCTATTTTTATTTTTATTTTTTTCGAGACAGAGTTTCGCTCTTGTCACCCAGGTTGGAGTGCAATGGTGCAGTCTCCGGTCACTGCAACCTCTGCCTCCTAGGTTCAAGTGATTCTCTAGCCTCAGCCTCCCAAGCAGCTGGGATTACAGGTGCCTGCCACCATGCCTGGCTGATTTTTGTATTTTTAGTTGAGATGGGGTTTCACCATGTTGGCCAGGCTGGTCTTGAACTCCTGACCTCAGGTGATCCACCTGCCTTGGCCTCCCAAAGTGCTGGGATTACAGGCGTGAGCCACAGTGCCCGGCTATTAATTTTCTTTTCTTATTGATGTTCCCATATCTGCATGACAAAAGGAACTTTTTCTTATTTACCTTCTATCCCTAGCACATGGAAAAATGACTGGGACTTATTAGTCGCTCAGATATTTAAACACAGGAATGGTTGAACGAATGAAGTTTTATAGTAGCCATCTGAGGCACTTGGTAAAACTACAGAATCTCAGCCTCCTCCCATAAAATTGAGTCATTAGGGTTAGTTATGTGACCCAGAAATTTGTAGTTTAACAAATACCCCATGACTGTTGTAACCAGGCAAATTTTGAAAATACTGACTTAATGGAAATAGTGCTGAGTGAATGAATGAGTGAGTGAGTGAGTGAGTGATCATAGCTCATTGCAACCTTGAACTTCTGGGCTCTAGTATCCTCTCACTTCAGCCTCCTGAGTAGCTGAGATGACAGGCACACACCACCACACCCAGCTAATTTTATTTCTTTTTTAAGAGATGGGGTCTTGCTATGTTGCCCAGGCTGGCCTCAAGCTCCTGGCCTCAGGTAGTCCTCCAGCTTCAGCCTCCTGAGTAGCTAGAATTACAGACTTGAAGCACTGTGCCCAGCCAGGGAGTTATCTTTTAACCTTAGTATATTGATAGGAATTAGTTCAACGTTTCCCAAAGTGTATATCATAGGACACTAATTATACAAGGTATTTGATACAAAATGAATGATCTTTTCCTATGTGTTTAGGAATGCTGAATATTATATTCTTCTTTTGGAGATTAGCTAGGCAGTCATTAGCATTTTGAAGGGTATGAGAAATTACACTTTAGAGCAATCTACTTATCTATTAAATAGATTTGACAAGTCTACTTACAATCCCTGCCCCAAACCGTTTCTTACCAAATCCCTATTAATATACTAAGGAATGTGTACTTATGCCCTAAGGACTATACACTGTACATGAAGTAGAGTATGTGGTTCCTTGCTACTATCGCAGCTTATTCTGTTCATGGTTAACTGTCTACACAAGCCACTATGTAGCAGATGGTGTGGACTAAAGTACACATTTTAGCTTAATGATCTTTAGCTATTTTTTTTTGGCATATGTAGGCTCTATATATCTTTTTTAAACTATATTTTTATTACATTAAAAATTAAAATAAGGATTTTTGTCCTTTATGAGGTAGTGTAGAAACATAAAGAATTAACTTTTTGTATGCACTGGTTTACATTGCCATCTTATTGCTTAATTACTTTGCCTAAAATTGCCTACTATTTTTTACTTATTTATTTATTTATTTTTGAGACAGAATCTTGCTCTGTCACCAGGCTGGAGTGCAGTGGCGCCATCTTGGCTCACTGCAACCTCCGCCTCCTGAATTCAAGCTATTCTCCTGCCTCATCCTCCCAAGTAGCTGGGACTACAGGCATGCGCCACCATGCCCAGCTAATTTTTTGTATTTTAGTAGAGATGGGGTTTCACCATGTTGGCCAGGATGGTCTCAATCTCCTGACCTCGTGATCCACTCGCCTCGGCCTCCCAAGGCGCCAGGATTACAGGCGTGAGCCACTGCACCCGGCTTACTCATTTATTTAAACCTCATTAATCTCATGTTAGTTTTTCTAGGTCTATCTAGTTCATTGCTATAAATTTAGAATATATTATGTAAAGAGGATGGGCTTTTCAGATTTTGACTTAGTTCAACTTGTTTTCCCACCAAGATGAGATCCTACCCATATAGACAGGCAGAATCTAATAAATGTGAATGTTAGAGTAATTGTCTTTGGTTCCATCTTTTTTTCAATACCTATTAAAGTATAGTGATCAGATCAATGTAATTAGTATATCCATTGTCTCAATCATTTATCATTACTTTGTATTAGAAACATTCAATATCCTCCTCCTAGCTATTTGAGTCTAATATATTATTGTTAACCGTAGTCATCCTTCAATAGTGTAGAATACTAGACTTACTCTTTTTTTATCTAGCTATACTTTTGTATCCTTTAACAAATCTCTTCCTATCCCCCTGCCCTCCGCCCATACCCATGCCCTTCTCACCCTCAAGTATCGTCTGTTCTAATTTTTACATCTATGAGATCAACTTTTTTTTTCTGACTCTCACATATGAATGAGAACATGTGGTGTTTAGCTTTCTGTTCCTGGCTTATTTCACTTAACATAATGTCCTTCAGTTCCATCTACGTTGCTATGAATGATAGGATTTTATTCTTTTTAAGAGCTGAATAGTATTCCATTGTATATACATACCACACTTTCTTTATCCATTCATCTGTTTTTGGACACCCAGGTTGAGTCCATATCTTGGCTACTGTGAATAGTGCTGCAATAAACATGCAGTGCAGGTGTCTCTTTGATATACTAATTTTACTAATTTCCTTTGCTTTGTATAAATGCTCAGTGGTGGGATTGCTGGATCATATGGTAGTTCTAGTTGTACTTTTCTTGAGTACTCTCCATACTCTTCTCCTTAGTGGCTATACTAGTTTACATCCCCAAATTCAGTTCCATCTTTAACTATCTTAGTTTAATTCTGAGTTGGAATCGTTTCTTTTGATGATGATGACGCTTTGGTTTTTTTAAAAACTGGGAGTTAAGAAAGTTAGAAATGCCTTACGTGTTAAGACTAGTCATTTCAGTTGTTTGTTTTCCTGAAACAACTTTTGTGATATGTCTAGATAATACAGCCAGTAGCATAACAGTCTTAATTCTGATGTATATGCGCTTGGTCATGCCTACTTCTTTATCTAAAGAATTGGGCAACAATTTCTGCTGTTGGTGTGTTATTTAATTATATTACTGATTCTAGATTTAATAAAGACTAAAACCTTCTAGCCCTGTGTTTTAGCTACAAGATACCAGCTAGCCTTTATTTGCTTCAAATTGTCTGCCAATGATGGTAAACAAAGTGATTCTCAAAGGAAATTTTGTTCAAAATAGTCTCAAAGACTATTGCTATTGGCAAACTAAGGAAAATAATAAAGCTCTTCAGAAAAACTTGACAGAGGCAGTTTTGCAAGTGAGTACCACCCACAATCATTTCACTCTGTCTCCATTCTCCCAGGTGCATGGCAGGAAACTAAAATCTTCATTCTTACTATTTACCCAAGATAAGTTAAATATATTGAGCAAGTGCTTATTTGTAAAACTACCATATCATTAGTGTTACAAGGAAATATTTTCAGTTCATCTTTCTGATTACATCTATCTGTTTTTAATAGGTATATAGTTTGTTTCTATTTTTTATTTGATCTATCATTTTGACTTATAGAGTATCTCTGGCTTTTGATTATAACCTGATTGTATTTTGTCCTAAGAGTAGCTTTATTTATGAAGACCATCATGGGGTAAAACTAGTGACATTATTGGCACATAGTTCCTATTAGAGAGAATAATCTGGTTTAAAATAAATGTCATTTTGAGTAATCTTTAGGACAACTCCCAGTCTTAGGCAAACTTGGGTGTGCCCTCACCAATGACATAGTCAGGAAAAGTGGTAAATGGGGGAGTTTAGACACAGAACAATTGAAGGGTGCTCAGACATATCTCAGCAGTGTTAGCATGATGACTGCACAATTTGGATTGCAAACCCAGAAACGCCCTTCAAGTTAAATCCACTGAACAATTGTAATTTTTACAGGCAAAACTAGTTTCATTCTAGTGGGTTCACGGGCCTATATACTCCCAGATTGACCTTTATTTTAGTTCTTTGTTTTTTTTGTTTTGTTTTGTTTTGTTTTTTGTTTGTTTTTTTGAGACGGAGTCTTGCTCTGTCGCCCAGGCTGGAGTGCAGTGGCCTGATCTCCACTAACTGCAACCTCCGCCTCCCAGGTTCAAGCAATTCTCTGCCTCAGCCTCCTGAGTATCTGGGATTACAGGGGCGCATCACCATGCCCAGCTAATTTTTGTATTTTTAGTAGAGATGGGGTTTCACCACGTTAGCCAGGCTGGTCCTGAACGCCTGACCTCATGATCCACCCGCCTCAGCTTCCCAAAGTGCTGGGATTACAGGTGTGAGCCACCGCTCCTAGCCTTGTTTTAGCTTTTATATATATTAATAAAAGATTTGCAGGTTCTTGGAGGTTAGTCTTCACATTACTAAATAAGTATCAAGGATTGCCCATAATTTTTCAATTATAATAAATGAAAATAAAAATCTAAGTTGAACTTGTAGGGAACTACACAAAAGACTTGTTTCTGGCTGGACTCAGTGGCCCATGCCTGTAATCCCAGCACTTTGGGAGGCTGAGGCAGGTGGATCATGAGGTCAGGAGTTCAAGACCAGTCTGGCCAACATGGTGAAACCCCAACTGTACTAAAAATACAAAAATTAGCTGGGCGTGGTGGTGGGCACCTATAATCCCAGCTGCTCTGGAGGATGAGGCAGAAAATTGCTTGAACCTGGAAGGTGGAGGTTGCAGTGAGCCGAGATCGCGCTACTGCACTCCAGCCTGGGCGACAGAGCAAGACTCCATCTCAAAAAAAATAAAAGGACTTGTTTCTACTCATCTGAAGTATAGGAGGGTGTTCAAAGGAAGACTCCTGGCTTGTCTAGAGAGTATACATACGTCATGTATGCACAGCTTAGAAGGCAAGAAAGTATATTACACAATAGAGGAGTTAATTTTTTTCTTTTTTTTTGAGATGGAGTTTCACTCTTTTTGCCCAGGCTGGAGTCAGTGGTGTGGTCTTGGCTCACTGCAACCTCCACCTCCTGGGTTCAAGCCATCCTCCTGTCTCAGCCTCCAGAGTAGCTGAGATTACAGGTGCACGCCACCACGCCCAGCTGATTTTTTTATTTTTAGTGGAGATGGCATTTCTCTATGTTGGTCAGGCTGGTCTCGAACTCCTGACCTCAGGTGATCCACCCGCCTCGGCCTCCCAAAGTGCTGCAATTACAGGCGTGAGCCGCTGCGCCCAGCCGAGCTAATTCTTTTTAAAGGAAAAGTCATTTATATTTTCCTCTCTAAAACCATACCTAGTCTGTCAGAGTTATCTGAGATGTTTTCCTATTTCTCTTCATAGGTTGTATTCCCTGGCAATTTCGAATAACTTGTTTTAGCCTATCATACCTTGTTTTAGAACAAGAAAGTTAGAATTACAGAATATTGGGAAGCAAGAACATAAGTTCTCAAAGCATCAAGACTATAACCTTTTTCTTTGGGCAGTAGTATGATGTGTCTTTAGCCACTGATTAACCCAGGCATTAGTTTTTTAGAACTATAAACATTAAAATATGAGGTTCTCAACTTTTCTGTTCCTGCACACCTGAGAGATACAAGGTATTCATATTAGTGACTATGGCTGGGAATCAGAATCTTGAAGGAGAGGTGTTGGTATGATTTAAAGAGAAAAATAAATGATGTGATAACACTTCCTCAGCTTTTCCTCTAGAGTCACTGGAGTAGGTTTAGATGATGACCAAGGTTCTTCTAGTTCTAAAATTCTGTTATGCTTTCTCTACTCTTCTTTTCATGCCAGCTACATGCTTGTTTCTCCATAATGATAGGGCCCAATTTTCCCTAAGAGAGAGAGTGACTACAGAACTGTTATTCCTATTTTGTCTTATGTGCAAGAACATTCCTACTTTGTCTTATGTGCAAGAATATATATATATAGTGGGGGGTTGGGGGAGAGATGAGGTCTCACTGTCACCCCGGCTGGAGTGCAGTGGCATCATCATAGCTCACTGGGGCCTCTAACTCTTGGGTTCAAGGGAACCTCTTGCCTTAGCCTCCTGAGTAGCTGGGACTACAGGTGCACACGCCACTATGCCTACCTAATTTTTAAAATGTTTCATAGAGATGCGGTCTCACTATGTTGCTCAGGCTGGTTTCAAACTCCTGGCCTCGTGATCCTCCCGCCTCAGCTCACCAAAATACTGGGATAACAGGCAGGAGCCACTGCACCCAGCCCCAGTATCCTTTATTTAGATGGGAAGTAAGATAAGTTTAAAGTAAAAACTGGGAATTCACTTGCTGGTATGTTTGGGGAAAATATTCTAGAATAGGAACATTTCAAATTTTCCTTTTTCAAAGCAAATTAAGGAAAAAAATCCCCTGAAAATAAATTGTTAAATGTTCAAATAGCATTTAAAACTTCTGTGGTAGAAATCAGATTTCTACCTGACTTCCTTAATTAAAATATATAGTGTATACTCCAATATACATCAGAAACTGGAATTTGTTAAGTATTCTGATTGTTTCTTTCTGTCTGGGATGCTTAAAGTGTTAATTAAATGATATGTAAAACATATGTGGACTATGGATTTTGTCTAAAACAATAATGTGATATAAAAATGTCTCAGATTTATTGTTAGACAAAATCAAAGGTACTTTTATGTAATCTGTTGCATACATCATAGCTGTAGAAAATCCTTAACTTCAGTTAGAGGTTAGTGAAAATAAAGATGTGACTTTTTTTCCCATTGTTCACATAAACCCTGGTCTAAAATTATTTTTATTACCCCAGGCACATTCAAGGAAGCCAGAATCATCAGCGTCTCAAGAGATTTAGTCTTTGAGGAAAGTGGAGCTTAGTCTTTTCTGTTTTTAGCTCTTAGTGCTTTTCAAACCTTTAAAATAAGTAAGTGGTTGACTGTTAAATGATGATTGTCAATATCTCTTGCATTAGGAACTTGGCTTATTGCCACGAATTTTATTTCAGATTACTAAAGAAATTGATATTTATGAAAGCCAATGTAGTCAGTGTATCTTAAAGTCAAACTACTAGAATATATCTGCTAATAGTAATAAGTGCTTTATTTATGTCTTGACTTTGAGCTGCTATAGCCATAAGTATTTTTTGTCATTAAAATGTTCCTTCGTCATTAAAAATATAATTCATATCACAATCCTGAATCATCCTTCTACTTTATGAAACGACTGCTTGGTCAAATTTGTGTGATTATTATTTTTTTAATTTACTTTTTATTGTGGCAAAATATATACAATACAGAAGTTACCATTTTAACCATGTTTAAGTGTACAACTCAGTGGCATTAATTACATTTACAGTGTTGTACACCCATTACCACTATCTGTTTCCAGAATTTCTCATCACCCCAAACAGAAACGCTGTACTCTTTAAGCAATAACATTCCATACCCTACTCCACCCAGCCCCTGGTAACCTCTAATCTGCTTTCCATCTCCATAAATTTGCCCTTTCTCAACATTTTATATAAATTGAGTCATATAATATTTATCTTTTTGTGTCTGGTTTGTTTTCCTTAGCATAATGTTTTCAAGGTTCATCCATGTTGTCACATGTATCAGAATTCCATTCATTTTTATAGCTGAATAATTTTCCATTGTATGTGTATATTACATTTTGTTGATTCCTTCATCTGTAGAAGTATACCTGGTAACCTTTTGGCTATTGTGAATTATTTTGTCATAAACTTTGTGGTAAAGTATCTGTTTGAGTCCCTGTTTTCAATTATTTTGGAAGTATAATTAGGAGTAGAATTGCTGATGGTGATTATGTTTAACTTTTTGAGCTATGTGATCATTCTTTACACTAGTTCATTCTATTTTTTATTATCTTCACATTAATATTTCATAAGTTTTTAAATTTTTTTGCTTATTTCCTTGGTTGACTTTTGTTGCTGATTTTAAAGAAATTATTTGTTTTGATCATTCATTTTTTTCTTTTCTTTTCAATTGTTTGTTTTTCAGACCTGAGTCAGAACTCCATCACAGGGGAACACAGCCAACTGTTAGGTATAGTATTACTGTGGGGATTGACTTTATCCAAAGTCACCCTTAACTCATTTATCCTAACAGACATTACTCCCTTCTCTGATTCTATTTTCTATCCCCTCCTTTTCTACTTCCCACCCAACAACTTTTTTCCTGCTGTTTCTATTCCCAACTTGCCAAGTTTTAGGAAACTACTTCTATAATTGATTACTAAGACTCAGTTAAATTAAAAAGTAATTTTGCATGGTTTATGGTTAAAAAAAATCTAAGAACTAGAATTTTTTAAAGATAATTTGGAAAAGAAGATATTATAATAGCTTTGTAATATCTGACTTTGCAGCTAATTTTCCCTTTTTATTACTTTTCTTGGCCTTTTGATCCCCTTTTTAATTATTGAAAGTACTTCATAAACAGTATGTCCTTAAGCAGTCCTTAGAATTTGGTGTTCCAGTTCCTTATCTATGAAACAAATTATGGAAATGAATTTACTTCCTCTGGGTACCACTTCTTTAAAGTAAGTGCATAATTTGACAAGAATTTCTCTTTTTTTTTTTGAGACAGTGTCTCGCTCTGTCACCAGGCTGGAGTGCAGTGGTGCGATCTCCACTCACTGCAAGCTCCGCCTCCCAGGTTCATGCCATTCTCCTGCCTCAGCCTCCCAAGTAGCTGGGACTACAGGCGCCCGCCACCACACCCAGCTAATTTTTGTATTTTTAGTACAGACAGGGTTTCACCATGTCGGCCAGGATGGTCTCCATCTCCTGACCTCGTGATCCGCCCACCTCTGCCTCCCAAAATGCTGGGATTACAGGTGTGAGCCACTGCACCCGGCCTTGACAGGAATTTCACAAGACCTCAGGACTGATAAATTTTCAAAGTGTAAAAAGAAACATACCCTGATGAGGCATTCAGCTCAAACAAAAGGCATATATAAAGAAAGTAAAAGTATCTCTTCTTCTTACCACCTCATTTCCACCTCTTAAAAGTACTTGCTGTTGACAGTTTCTTGGGAATTCTTCTAGAAATTTTTAATTATAAATTTTTGTATTATATATGACTATCTTTTCCTTTTTATATCAATGGTGTTATAGTAAATGGACTGTTCTATTATACAGACTGCTTCTTTTTACTTAACATTTTACCTTGGACATCTTAGTACATAAAGTTCTGCTTCATTCCTTTGTTTGTGATGGAAGAGTATTTCATTGTGCTCCTGCACTATAATTTTATTCAGCCAGTTTCCTACTCATGAGCATGTATTTCCAAGTGTGTTACTGTTGTAAGTTGTGTTGCAATGAATATCTTATACTTATATCCAGTATATAAGATAGATATATCAGTCTTAATGCCAGTATATTTGTAGGGTAAATTCCTAACAGTGGAATTCCTTACTCAAAAGATATGTACATGTTTAAAAAGATACATCAGCTTAAACTCTCACCAGTATGGAGTAATGCTTGACTCTCTATAATAAAAAAAAAAACAGGTATTATTAATCTTAAAATAGTTTCTTTACCTAATAGGTGAAAATGGCATCTCTAGTTTTTTATTTATACTTCCTTCAGTGTAAGTGAGGTTAAGTAATTTTTAGTATATTATTTGGTATTTAACACTTGTGTGTCTATGTATGCTTTGATTTGAGGCTTATTTTGATCCCTGCTGAGCTTTTAGCTGTTTAAATATGTGTAAAGCAGCTATGGAAAAATAAGCTATCAAAAAGTCCAAAGTAGGGAAAGTAAAAACTTCAGAGGATTAGTTGAAGAAACTGGGATACTCCTTTTTCGTTCTTTCTATATTAAAGACTTAGGATAGTCCTTGGGTTAATGAGAAGAGTTTATGAGACCATAGCCCTCATTCCTTTAGTGAGTTTATATGCTGAAACAGTACCTGACATCCTAGGCACTCAGTATATATTTGTTAAGTAAATGGTTTGACATAAATATACAAATCTGATCACCAAGGTCCTGACCGTGTGATGTTAGAGGTTTTTTGTTTTTTTGGTTTTTGGTTTTTTTGAGATGGAGTCTTGATCTGTCACCCAGGCTGGAGTGCGGTGGCACGATCTTGGCTCACTGCAACCTCCACCTCTCAGATTCAAGCAGTTCTCTGGCCTCAGCCTCCTGAGTAGCTGGGACTACAGGTGCACGCCACAGCGCCTGGCTCATTTTTGTATTTTTAGTAGAGTCAAGGTTTCGCCCTATTGGTCAGGCTGGTCTCGAACTACTGACCTCAGGTGACCCACCCACTGTGGCCTCTCAAAGTGCTGGGATTACAGGCATGAGCCACCACTCCCGGCCACTTTTTTATACTTTTATATTGGATAGTTTCTATACATTGCTCAAAATTAGTCTTCTGTATATAAAAATTTTATATTTGGATCAGGAACGATTAAACTTTCATTGAAAAATTTTGCCAGACCATGAAAAGAACATCTTTCCTCTAAACTATGAAAGTGTTTCTGTCCCTGATACATACATGACAGGCAGAGATGTTTGAGAATAGTTCATTATCAGGAACACATGTACAATGGAGGCAGCTTAGCTAGTGAAATGGACAGTCAAAAGTTGATACAGTTCTAGTATTACTAAGCTGGATTTTGTTCCCAGCTAATCACCTGCAGTAAAGGATACCTGGGGAACTGTAGGCAAAAATAAGTAACTTTGATTATGAAGGAAGAGTTATCTTAGTCATTATTAGCCAAAAAATTCTAATAGTATTTGCAAAGAGACTGCTTCAAACATTAATCTCATTTGGCAGCCTACAGTTGCATTCAATTTTTAGCCAACCTGAGGATTCATCCAGTCTTCTGGCCAGATTATCAGGTATGTCCATCCTGCCAGCCTGAGTTCTCTCTCCTAGATTCATGGAGTCAGATCATATTTTCCTTTTTTCTCATGCTCTGAAGAACTATCCTCTTCTGTCTTCTGTCTTAAGTATCTTTGTTTTAGCTGTAGCCTCAAAACCTTTAAAAGTCTGGTTTAATTAAAAGAAATTCATGAGTTTGCAAAAGACTGAAAGATTTTTTTTGTTGTATTTTCTAACCATCTGATAAGTTACTCAGAAAAGGCATTATAAGGTTGAATGAAAATCTTCCAACCAGGCGCCGTGGTTCACCACGCCTGTAATCCCAGCACTTTGGGAGGCCAAAGCAAGTGGATCGCAAGGTCAGGAGTTCGAGACCAGCCTAGCCAAGATGGTGAAACCCCATGTCTACTTAAAAAAAATTGGCCGGGCATGGTGGCGGGTGCCTGTAGTCCCAGCTACTTGGGAGGCTGAGGCAGGAGAATCGCTTGAACCAGGAGGTGGAGGTTGCAGTGAGCCAAGATCGCACCACTGCATTCTAGCCTGGGCGGCAGAGTGAGACTCTGTCTCAAAAAAAACAAAAACAAAAAAAGAAAAAGAAAAAAAAAGAAAATCTTCCCAGCTCTCCCTAAAAACCTTGTTTAGGATAATTTGGCCTGGTAGGTGAAAAACTGGTTCAATTGCCTTGCCTGCTTAATTGAATTTGTAATAACATCTTTCAGACCTTTGCTGTTGAATTGGATATATAAAAGCCCTTTCCAGTCCTTCTAAATGTTTTTACTGTCAACAGGGCACAGTTATTTTAATGTATCTACTGTTCCCACTGACTCATCGGGTCTCTTGCAAAACTCAGGGTCAGGCTGAGGAGATATACGGGAGGGTGAAACTGCTGTTGTAATAATCAAGCTGTACACCTGTGATTTATGAACTTTTCTGTGTGTGTGTGTGTGTGTGTGTGTGTAGCTTTGCACTTAAAAAAATTTTTAGAAAGCTAGCAAGCAAACAAGCCATGGGTCCTGGCATTATTAAAAGTTTTATCAGGCATCCAAGGAAAAATAATTCGAGTCTTCTGCAGTCAGTCTCTCATAAGGAATAGAAAACCAAGTAACTACTACCTCAGTTTTGAGGCTTTTGCAACCTTGATAACCAAAACTTAAGAATGGCAACATGAGATTAAAAAAAAAAAAAAGTATAGGCCAACCTTACTTAGGAACATATCTACAATCCTGAACGAAATATTTGCAATCTGAATCGGGCAACATATTTTTTTAAATTATCCCCTCATCAAGTTGAGTTTCTGCTAGAAATCCATGGTTGGTTTAATATTGAAAGTTAATTTATATAATTCACTATGTTAACAAATTAAAAGAAAAATATTGTATAATAATCTTAATAGAGGTTGAAAAAGCATTTGATTTGAAACATACCTGATATGGTTTGGCTGTGTCTCCCCCCACTCATCTTGACTTGTAATTCCCATAATCCTCACGTTTTGTGGGAGGTAACAATCATGGGGGCGGTTTCCTCTATGTTCTTATGATTGTGAGTGAGTCTCATGAGATCTGATGGTTTTATAAGCATCACGCATTTCCCCTCCTTGCACTCATTCTCTCTCCTGCTGCCCTGTGAAGAGGGGCCTTCCACCATGATTATAAGTTTCCTGAGGCTTCCCTAGCCATGCTGAACTTGGAGTCAATTAAACCTCTTTTCTCTCTCTCTTTTTTTTTTTTTTGTTTTTTGTTTTGTTTTGTTTTGTTTTTTGAGATGGAATCTTGCTCTGTCACCCAGGCTGGAGTACAGTGGCATGATCTCGGCTTACTGCAACCTCCATCTCCCAGGTTCAAGTGATTCTCCTTCCTCAGCCTCCCAAGTGGCTGGGATTACAGGGACCCACCATCACACCTGGCTAATTTTTGTATTTTCAGTGGAGACGGGGTTTCACCATGTTGTCCAGTCTAGTCTCAAACTCCAAGCCTCAAGTGATCCGCCTGTCTCGTCCTCCCAAAGTGCTGGGATTAGAGGTGTGAGCCATTGTGCTCAGCCAAACCTCTTTTCTTTATAAATTACCCAGTCTTGGGTATTTCTTCATAGCAGCATGAGGAAGGGCTAATACAGTAAAAACCCAGTATTTAAGTTTATGAGTTCATAATGATAATTTAAAAAATGAGCCAGGCACAATGGCACACGCCTGTAGTCCCAGCACTTTAGGAGGCTGAGGAGGGAGGTAGGAGGATTACTTGAGGCCAGGGGTTCAAGATCAGACTGGGCAACATTGCAAGAACCCATCTCTACAAAAAAGCAAAAAATAATTAGCCTGGCATGGTGGCACACACCTGTAGTCCTAGCTACTCTGGAGGCTACAGTAAGCTGTGATGGTGCCACTGTACTCCGCGACAGAGTGATACCCTGTCTCTAAAACAAAACAAAACCCACAACTAACTGGTCACCATTGGAGTATTTAGTGAACCAATTATTCTGAGAACTGGTCAGTAAAGGGAAAGAATTATTCGTCCTGTTTTTAACTGAACCACTTGGTAATCAAATAGTAGATTAAAGGAAATGTCTCTTTTTATAGAGGTATTCTAGCTAATAAATGAAGGAACAATAATAGAATGAGAATATTACCATTTGGTGACCTCTCATAAATTAATGGAGCTAGGCATTACTCATCAACAATTGCTAATATCTCAAAAGGAAAGACAACCAGATGACAATGACATGTACCTCCTGGCAGTTCATAATACCACTGTGAAGTAGTTTTCCTCCCTACCCTCCTAGAAGTACTGAATGTGATTAAGCTTTTAGATTCAACTACCAATTTATAGGAATTACAAAAAAAAAAAGAGCATGTTAAACAGCATCACATGGATGCCATGATCAAAACCCAGACCATCAGAAACTCTCCAGGACAAATGACATGGTTTCCTTAACACATCAATGGCAAAACAAAGTATAAAATCAAAAACATGTAGCATTTGGGATAACCTTTCAGATTCACATAGTCACATAGTACAAACCCAAACCTGTGCCAAGGGAAATTAGGTACACCTACTGCTCTCTTGCCTAACTCAGACTAGCAAAGGCCATTTGACAAGATCAGGAAGCTAAAGGAGTAACTTGAGATTTATCTAGGGCCCAAATTATAGTATAAGTGGTAATTGACAAATGCAACATTATAGAAGTAATAACATCACAACAGTAAAGTGTTTATATAAAGAGTAAGACCTTTGGTATACCTTTTTTCTGTTTACAAAAAAAAAATATGCCATGAAAAACAGAAATCTGAAATATTTAGTAGAATTATCCTATCAGTTTTCATTTGAATTATGCAGTGAAACACCAGTAAGTTTCCCAAAAATGTCAGCATTATTTAGATAGTAAAATGAGAAAAAAGAAACATAATAGTGTCTGGGCGCAGTGGCTCACACCTGTAATCCCAGCAGTTTGGGAGGCTGAGGTGGGTGGATCACCTGAGGTCAGGAGTTCAAGACCAGCCTGGCCAACATGGCAAAACCCCATGTCTACTAAAAATACAAAAAATTAGCCAGGCATGGTGGCAGGCGCCTATAATTCCAGCTACTCGGGAGGCTGAGGTAGGAGAATTGCTTGAACCCTGGAGGCGGAGGTCGCAGTCTGCTGAGATTGTGCCACTGCACTGCAGACTGGGCAACAGAGCAAGACTCCGTCTCAAAAAAAAAAAGAAAGAAAGAAAAAAAGAAACATAATAGTAATCTGACAGGTGATGTAATGCAAACCATTACTGAGGCCAGTCTCAGTGGGGATCCTTCAAAGGAGTCATTTTAGGATTCTGAATAATCCTAAAAGAGCCCTGGAATATGGATTTGGTTCTTAGTTCCTGCAGAGTAAAGATTATTTGCTACTCAGAAACTAGAAGTTCCATTCCATCTGGTATTTCTTGGGGTCACAACAGTGACCTAAACTTTTGAAGGCTGAACTCTAAAGCAGCATGGTTTCCCACCAAGATATTCAAGCCAAAAATTAATCCTTGCCTTTCAATATAATCACTTCTAATTTCATGCCTTTTGGTATAACCACACTTGATGAATGCTTCATTTCTTGCCTTGGAAAGCCTTGACCTTTCATGACTGTCCACAAGCCATGATTGACCAGGAACTCTTTGGGAGCCTCCCATTGCACAACACTACCACAAGTAGACCATGAGTAGGACATTATTGGTTGGAGGCATCATTGGTCTCATAAAATGTAGACAAAAATCTCCAGGGATATTCTTCTACCTTTCTAAAAAAAGTAAGCAAGCAAATGGAAGGTGGGCCAGAAACAGCCAGGATCCAGACTGTCTGATGATAATAAGACAAGGCAAGCCAGAGCTGCTAGGAGGTGGCTTGGACAGCAGGTAGCAGAATGGGACAGGATTGTCTCATGCCAGATTTTTGTAACAGCATCATTGTAAGGTTATTGAATAGCAGAGAGGTAGTATGTTGAACTCTTACTTCCATAACCCTCAAGAGAAATGACATGGTCCTGAGTCTGGGATACAAAATTCTATTAAATGTTTAAATCAGTAGAGGATGCAGTTAGGAAGATGAGCAAACTCCTCAGGAATAAAAGACTGTTTAAAGAGAAGGAAAATAAATGGAAATTCTAGAAAAGAAAAAATATATATAGATATAAAAAAGAAATTAAACAGTAGCTTAGTAGTAGGTAAATAGCGTAAACAAAAAGAACTACACCTAGATACATCTTAATGAAACTGCAGAAAATCTAAGAAAAGATCTTGAAAGCAGCCAGAGAGAAAGGACAGTTCATCAAAGGAACAACAGAATGACAGAAGAATTCTCAGTACCAAAACACAAAGTTACAAGCCAGAAAACACAAATAAGTGTACACAAAAATTTTGTAGAGACAAGGTCTCACAATGTTGCTCATGCTAGTCTCAAACTCCTGCCCTCAAGCAGTCCTCCTGCCATGGCCTCCCAAAGAGCTGGGATTACAGGAGAGGGCTGCTGCGCCCAGCCTGGAGACATCTCTGACAGTCACTACTGGAGGTGCTACTGGCATCTAATGAGTAGAGGCCAGGGATGCTCTTAAATATTCTACAGTGCACAGGACAGTCCCTCACAGTAATTATTTGCTCCAAAATTCCATAGTGCTGAGTTTGAGAAACCTAAAGGAATTCTAAGGAATATACCTCAAGAAAGAATAAAATGATCCTAGAAGACTAGTAGTCTGAAATGTAAGAAAGAGTAGTGAATAAATGAACTAGTAAACTTGTACATCGACTCAAATCAGTGTTGTCTCAATAAAACAACTCTAATATCTTATTTATGGAGTTTTTTTTTTTTTTAAAAAGAGACTACTGGGAACGTTGGACACCAATATTAGGTAAGTCAGGAGGAGAAAATTGGAATTGAAGTATTAGAAAGTCTTCGTGTTGTTCAGGAGGATGTCAAGCAATTGTTTAAACTTATTTAACAATTTAAGATATATAGTAAAATTTCAAGGGTAATTGCTGAAAGAACAGAAATAGAGAATGGAAACTAGAGGGGAAAATGTCATTAAGGAAAAACAAACCAGAAAATCCAAAGAGTGGGAGAGATAGAGGATGAGAATGAGTCATAGAGAAAAAACAAATAAAAAGATGTTAGAACCCTGTCTAAATATATTAATCACTAAGGTTGATGGACTAAACTTGGCAGTTGAAAAGACAGATTGTCAGACTTTTAAAAATCCAACCCAAACAAATAGATGATAAACTGTGTTGTTTAAAATGCCAATAAATTTGGAGGTAATTTGTTGAGCAAAATAATAATAATAACTAAACAATAGATGTATGTCTAAAATTGTTGTGCCAGCCAGGCCCGGTGGCTCACACCTGTAATCCCAGCACTTTGGGAGGTTGAGGCAGGCTGATGGCTTGAGTCTAGGAATACGAGGCAACATAGCAAAACCTCATCTCTACAAAAAATCCAAAAATTAGCTCTTCATGGTGGCATAAGCCTGTAGTCCTAGCTACTTGGGAGGCTGAGGTGGGAGGATCTCTTGGGCCCAGGAGGCTGAGGCTGCAGTGAGCTGTGATCGCACCACTGTACTCCAGCCTGGGCGTAAGAGTGAGACCCTGTCTCAAAAAATAATAATAATGATAAATAAAATTGGCATGACTTCTTGGTGGATTAAACCTTTTGTTATTATGTGGTATAAACAAAACTGTCATGCCTTCTTGGTGGATTAAACCTTTTGTTATTATGTGGTTACCTTCTAATACCTAATAAAATGTTTCTCATAAATTTATCTGATACTAATAAAATTATATCAGCTTTCTTTTGGTTAGTATTTGCCTGATATATCTCTTTCCTTAATGTTTTCTTAATGTTCAGCTTTTGTATGTCCTTATATCTCTTATAAATAGTATATGTCTAGATTTTATTGTTTAATCCAGTCTGTCAATCTTTGTCTTAGTCTATTTACATTACTGGTTTTATTGATATGCTTGGACCATTGTGCCATCCTAAATTATTTGTCCCACTTTTTCTGCTTCTTTATAATCTCTTCTTAAAAAAAAAAAAAAAAAAAAAAGCTTTCTGTATTACCCCTGCTTCCCAAATGAACTATTAGCACACTCTCACATTACTCTCTCCTTTGGAAAATCTATCCATTAACTAACTTACGTGGTCTGGCTCCTTTCTGTCTTTCTAAATATGCTCTCCTTTCCTCACTGTCCTTTAGCTATATTGTCCTTTCTGCTTTATGAATTCACTTGAATTGGTTCTGCTTTAGGATCTTTTAAAATTGCTGTGTTCCCTCTGCCTGAAATGTAGGCTTTTCCTTACTATCCTATGCCAGGAGTGTGCTGCAGCCAGCTTATACCAGCTCACAAGAGCCAGTTAATGCAAATCTCTTCCCAAAACCAGGTTCATTGTCTTCACATTAGTAGTTTGAAAATGGCCATGTGTGAGTATTTATACCACAGAAATTGTCAAGTACTGTAAGTCGGATTTGTTTTAATTCTTTAGAGGCTGTTATCAGCACACCAATGATCTTACATGAAGTCGTCATTCCCCTCCCTAGTCACAGTCTCTCCCAGTACCTATTTGATTTTCTTCCTTGAACTTACCACTTCTTGAAATTCTTTTTGGGTTTTTTTGTTTTTATTTTGTCTTTTTTGTTTGTTTTTTTTTTTTTAATTGCTGTTGTTGTTTTTACTTACTTTCTGTCTTCTGTAACTTCAGTATATGCACAGTAAAGGCAGGGTCTTTAACTGCCATGTCCACTGCTATATCTCTAGGACCCAGAACAGTATCCAGTACATCCTAGGAATTTAATAAATATTAGTTGAATAAATGAATTACTCAGAAGTGGTGATAATTTTAAGCTATACTCTTTTTTTTGAGACGGAGTCTCGCTCTGTCGCCCAGGCTGGAGTGCAGTGGCACGATCTCGGCTCACTGCAAGCTCCGCCTCCTGGGTTTATGCCATTCTCCTGCCTCAGCCTCCCAAGTAGCTGGGACTACAGGCGGCTGCCACCACGCCCGGCTAATTTTTTGTATTTTTTAGTAGAGACAGGGTTTCACCGTGTTAGCCAGGATGGTCTCAATCTCCTGACCTCGTGATTCGCCCGCCTCGGCCTCCTAAAGTGTTGGGATTACAGGCATGAGCCACTGCACCCAGCCTAAGCTATACTCTTTAGAATTTTCTGGAGCCATTAAGAAGAGGAAAAGAATTACATTTTTCTATTTATAACTTTTTGTTACTGAAAATATCAAAGGTACAGAAAAGTAGAATAGCATAATGAACTTTTATGAATGCATCACCCAGCTTCATCAATGTTACAAATCTGTTTTGAAGACCCTACCTAATTTTTCCCTAAACTGTTTTAAAGAAAATTCCAGACATCATATGATTTTACTTGCCCTTTTTAAAAAAAAGAGTGATATATTTTCTCTTATTTTTTGTTTCAAAAATGCCTTTTTACCTTTGATGTGTTGAGTCAGGATCCTAACAATGTTCATTTGCAATTAGTTGATATGTCTTTTAAGTCTCTTTTATCTATAAAAGTTCACCTTTTAAGTTTATGCCATTTATTTGCTGAAGAAGTCAGATCATCTTGTAAAATTTCTCACATTCTGAATTTGGTGATTAGATCCTTCTAATGTTTAACATATTCCTCCTTTGTGTTTTCCTTGAACTGATAGTTAGATTTCGAGGCTTGATTAGATTCAACTTCCATTCTTTTGGAAAGAATACATCATAGCTTGTACAGTGTATTTTTCATTGTATTACAGGAGATTGTGTTGTCATACCTTCAGAGATGTTAAAGCTGATAAGCAGGCTCCAGATCAGCCTGATCCATCCATTGTAAAGTTTTGCCTCAGCCTTTCACCTAATGGTTTTAACAACCATTGATTATCGTTGCCTAAATCTGTTATTTTATTAGTGATTTTTTTCTGTCATTCCATCTATCATTAATTAGCTGGAATGCTTCTATAAGGAAGAAATTTTCTTTTAATTATTGGTTACCCTGAAATACAGTTGGCACAAGAAAGGCAAGATGATTGCTTACTTCTTTCCATTTTTTTTTTTCTATTTATTAATGTCATTTTTCAGAGTCATGTGTTGTTTCCTTAACCCCGCAAAGGTGACTTTTTCAGAATATCATTTTGAGTATTTCATAAATTTGCATTTCAATCCATCACATTATTTATTTTTAATGTTTGTATTATTCCATTTTGGGGCATTGGGAACCCCTTCAGTTTGGCTCTGTGCCCTTTGATGTGACCCAGTAATTTTGATAGTTTATTGACTGTTTCTCAAGCCCATCCTTATACATTTAAGCTTATAGGGTTTTTAATTCTTTAATTTTTATATTGGTATTTATTTCCCCAGTATTGAAAATCTTGGCTTTTAATAGCATTTATGTTTTTTTTTCTCTTCTCTCCTTCCAGACTCTGTAATTATATAACTTTTGCATAATAATGAAACAAAGTTAAGGAAGTGCTCAAATAAAGTTTGCTGTCTTATGGGCCTGGTCTCCTTTTTTTCCTCATAGCTCTTTCACCGAATTTTTGTCAGATGCCTCTTTTAACATTAAAAAAAAATGTGGAAGGGTTTGTACAAAAATAATAGTTAAATGACATAATTTTTTTTCTTTTTTCAACTCCCCCACAAACCTGCCCCGAGACAGGGTCTCACCCTGTTGCCCAGGCTGGAGTGCAGTGGATCAGTCACAGCTTACTTGCAGTCTTGAACTCCTGGGCTCAAGGAATCCTCCTGCCTGAATAGCTAGAACTATAAGCATGCACCACCATGCCCTGCTAATTTTTTAATTTTTTTTGTTGAGGCAGGGTCTCAATGTTGCCCAGGCTGGTCCAGAACTCCTGGACTCTAGCAGTCTCCCACCTGGGCCTCCCAAAGTTCTAGGATTACAGGCATGAGCCACCATGCCTGCCCTATTTTTTTTCAACTTTTATTTTGGATTTAGAGGGTACATGTACAGGTTTGTTACATGTGTATATTGCATGATGCTGAGGATTGGGGTATGGGTAATCCTTTCACCCAAGTAGGAAGCATAGTGACACAGGATTTTTCTTGGCCACTTTGCCAGCCAGAGACCTCCAGCCAGCAACATCCATGCCCAGGCTTTGCTCAGGCCCGAGCTCACCAGAAGAGATGCCCTGTCTATTCATCCTGCTGGGCTATGCCTGGCTTGCGCTCCAATGCAGATCCTGCAGCCGTGGCAATTGCGCACTGGTGGGAGGGGGTGAGGGAGTGAGCGAGTGCAGTGTCCAGCTGGCTGCTCCAAGCAGTGAGACAGAAGCGGGCTGTATGTAGGGATTGCTGCTGGACCAGGCATGTCACACTGAGGGGAACATGGTGGCGCCCAGACGGGTGTCCGCAACCCTGAAACCTCAGAGGGGGTGTTACCGTGTGCTAATAGCTCTTTTAGTCCCACCATCTGCAGCCCCATGGATGGCGGCATGTTAACAGCTCTGTCTGTCCTGTCGCCCCTGCTCCCGCCCGCTGCTGCTTCCCGTCGCGTGGGGTAGCTGCCCTCCACTGGCAGAGCGTGGAGGGCCACAGTATTACAGCCTTCTTTGTACCTGTGTTTGGTGGGTCCTGAGTTCTTGTTCCACATCCAAGAAGAATGAGGTTGTGCTGATATCAAAGGGTGAGGAGGGCGGAGAATAATTTTATTGAATGATGAGAAACAATTCTCAGTGGAGAGGGCATGCGAGGGTGGTCTCTCTCATTGGGGCTGGGGCTGGGGCCTTTATGGGCTCAGAATAGGGGAGTGTATGCTCATTGGTTTGTGAGTATGCAAAAAAAGGCTAAAACAAAGGCACACAGTGTAAAAAACCAATTAGGGAAGGGTAGATATATGTAAAATAGGTAAAGAGTGGAGAATCAATTAGAGGAAAGTATGCCAAACGGGAAGAGAGGTTCTCAGTTCAGTCCATGGATTTATCCAGGACTTGTAGCTAGGCTTTAAACTGTCTTTGGCTTGAAGGTTGGGTTTCAATTGTATGTAATGAACATACAAGTGCATGTGTCTTTTTGGTAGAATGATTTATTTTCCTTTGGGTATATACCCAGTAATGGGATTGCCGGGTGGAATGGTAGTTCTAAGTTCTCTGAGGAATCTCCAAATTGCTTTCCACAGTGACTGAACTAATTTACATTCCCACCAGCAGTGTATAAGCATTTCTTTTTCTCCACAGCCTTGCCAACATCTGTTATTTTTGACTTTTTAATAATTGCCATTCTGACTGGTGTGAAATGCTCATCACTGAAATCATCAGAGAAATGCAAATCAAAACTTCATATAATTTATAAAAGGTCAGACAGCTGTGGAGGCAGAGAGCTTTTACTGTCATTATCAGCAGCAATAGTGTGTAAAGGAGACTACATCTAACACAGTATTATACCCTGAGTATATACTCAATATCTTTTTTTCCTCCTAAACTTAGGTGACTTTAAGAGTAGAGTCTCGGCTGGGTGCAAGTGGCTCACGCCTGTAATCCCAGCACTTTGGGAGGCTGAGGTGGGCGGATAACTTGAGGCCAGGAGTTTGAGACCAGCCTGGCCAACGTGGTGAACCCCTATCTCTATTAAAAATACAAACAAATTAGCTGGGCATGGTGGTGCGTGCCTGTACTCCCAGCTACTTCAAGGCTGAGACAGGAGAATCGCTTGAACCAGGGAGGCGGAGGTTGCAGTGAGCTGAGATTGCGCCACTGCACTCCAGCCTGGGCGGCATAGCAGCTCCATCTCAAAAAAAAAAGAGTCTTCATGGGCTGGAATTCCAAAAGAATAGCGTCTCTAGGGGTCTTGATTATTGTTAAGGAAAGGAATGACCCATGTTTACTTCTCAGAGTTTTCTTTTTGTTCCTGCTGGAGAGTTTTATTTTGTTCCATATTCTCCAAGCAGTGCTGATTGAGTTCTAAGATTAAATTTGAATATGAAAATGGGTTATATTAATACCGAAGCAACCTGCACTTATCTGGTGCTGATGTTTCTTCGTCAGAAACCAGTGAGAAACTAACTTGGTCTACTTTTTTTTTTCCAGACGACGGACATAAGAAAGCTCGAAATGCTTATCTCAATAATTCCAATTATGAAGAAGGAGATGAATATTTTGATAAAAATTTGGCACTCTTTGAGGTAATATTTTGGAGAAAACTATGGACTGAGACTTTAGGAACAGAGATCTCATGATAGCCATATTTTACCCCATTTGGTTTAAAAATTTTACAAGCTGGATAATTTAATGTTAAAAGAAAATATTGTAACTTGTTATTATAGTAAATTTTGTCTGTGTAATCTAATTATAGTGAGTAACTATTAAATCAAATTGTTATGTAGTAAGGAAGAGGAGTTTGACTTCTTGGACATATAGATTACCTTGCAATCTAATTCAGCTGTGATTTAATTGTTTTTATTAGAATAATCTTTCTTCTAACTATAAATCAGTGTATTTCTCCACCCTTTGTCTGGAAAGACTATCATTTGCCTTAGAACTAACTAAACAAGGCCGGGCGCGGTGGCTCACGCCTGTAATCCCAGCACTTTGGGAGGCCGAGGCGGGTGGATCACAAGGTTAGGAGATCGAGACCATCCTGGCTGACACGGTGAAACCCCGTCTCTACTAAAACTACAAAAAATTAGCCGGGCATGGTGGCGGGCGCCTGTGGTCCCAGCTACTCGGGAGGCTGAGGCAGGAGAATGGCATGCACCCGGGAGGCAGAGCTTGCAGTGAGCCAAGATTGTGCCACTGCACTCCAGCCTGGGCGACAGAGCAAGACTCCGTCTCCAAAAATCACTGTAGGAAGCAGGCTTCCAGATTAGCAGGACCTTCATGTCCTTTTTTTTAATTGTCAAATAATAACTGTATATATTTATGGATTACAATGTGATATTTTGATATTTGTATGCATTGTGGAATGATTAAATCAAGCTAATTAGCATATATATCACCTCGTATACTTATCATTTTCATGGTGAAAATATTTGAATTTGACTTTCTTAGCAATTTTGAAATATACAATATGTTAACTATAGTTGCTATGCTGTGCAATAGATCTCAAAAACTTATTTCTCCTGCCTAACTGAAACTTTGTATCCTGTGACTAACCTCTCCCCCTTCCCCTACATACACCCCAAGCTTTTGGTAACCACCATTCTATTACTACGAGTTCTACTTTTTAGATCCCACATGTAAGTGAGATCGTGTGCTATTTATCTTTCTGTGCCTGGCTTATTTCACTTAACATAATGAAGAGGACTTCTATATCTTATCTGAATAAGACAACATGGACTCTGTGGCCAGGCTCCATAAGCTGTGGCCAGGTTGTTGAAAGGAGCCTGGTTTATTTCAGCACTACCTTTTTCTGGCCTTTGACAATGATGCAAGTGCCACTTCTCTCAATGTACCATTTTTAGTTTGTTTTTGAGACAGGGTCTTGCTCTGTCACCCAGGCTGGAGTGCAGTGGCACGATCACAGCTTGACCTCCTGGGCTCAAAGGACCCTCCTACCTCAGCCTCCCTAGTAGCTGGGACTACAGGCATGTGTCACCACACCTGGCTGATTTTTAAATTTTTTGCAGAGACAGGGTCTCACTCTGTTGCCCAGGCTGGTCTTGAGTGCCTGGGCTCAAGCGATCCTTCTGCCTTGCCCTCCCATAGCATTGGGTTAGCAGGTGTGAGCCACCATGCCCAACTCAATGTACCAATTTTTTTTTTTTTTTTGAGATGGAGTCTCCCTCTGTTGCCCAGGCTGGAGCGCAGTGGCGCGATCTCGGCTCACTGCAACTTCTGCCTCCTGGGTTCAAGCTGATTCTCCCGCCTCAGCCTCCCGTGTAGCTGGGATTACAGGCACGTGCCACCACACCCAGCTTATTTTTGTATTTTTAGTAGAGACGGGGTTTCACCATCTTGGCCAGGCTGGTCTCAAACTCCCAGCCTCAGGTGATCCAGCCACCTTGGCCTCCCAAAGTGCTGGGATTACAGGTGTGAGCCACTGCACCCGGCCTACCTGTGAAATATTTTTTCATTTAATTTGAAGTTTTCTGGTAGCAAGATTATTTTGATACTTATGTTCAGTGTTCTTTGTAGCTCATTTCTTCCATGTCACTGGCTTTATAGGAAGAAATGGACACCAGACCGAAGGTGTCTTCCCTCCTCAACCGCATGGCCAATTACACTAATCTGACTCAAGGAGCAAAGGAACATGAAGAGGCAGAAAACATCACTGAAGGGAAAAAGAAGCCCACCAAGGTGAGGCCTCAGAATAACAAGGAATACATAGAAAGAGCCCTGTATATAAGAAAGAAGGAAATACCTAAGGCACCATTCTGTGTTCAGCAGCTATTTATTAAATGCTTGAGAGGTGCCTGGAACTGTTCTGGGCACCAGCGTCATAGCACAAAGAAAACATATGATGCAGTCTAAATTCTGATGTGGGGATACAGTCCTTAAGCTGTTTTAACTGCCAAAGTATATAACATATTAAGTGTTGATAAATTCCCGAGCAAAAAATTAAGCAGAGTAGAGAGACTGAAATTGGCAAGGGATCCAGAGTGGAGGGCGTTGCTACTTACATAGGTTGGACAGGGAAAGCCTTTCTGACAAGGTGATATTTGAGGAGAGATCTAGCTGATGGGAGGGAGTGAGCTATGTGGGAAAAGAGCATTCAGGGAGAGGGAATAGCTTTTCAAGAGAAGAGTGTCCATACCCATCTGCTGATGCCATCTGTCTGTTGTGAAGTTGTTGGGTTTTTTAAACACCAAACATCAGTTTGTCTCAAAATGAAAATATAAGACATTCAGTTTACCATTCTGGTTGTTCAGCCCTTTCAAAAAGGGATAAAACGGCCCTCAGATCTTCATTTTGCCATCTAATTTATTTACTAACTACTGTGAAGAATTTATGCCAAATTCTGAAGAAATTCCATCAAGTCCTTATTGTTTTTAAATGAAAAAAGCCAACAGCTTTGAAAAACAAAATTTTAAATTGTTGTGGGTGCACATAAAAGTTTATTTGTGGCCAAATGCCTATGTATAATAAACACATGCAGGAACCTTTGTAAAGTTAAAATATATAGCTTTAGGAATAATAAAAGTATGGTGATAAACACTTGAAAGATGGAGATTTTATATGTGCCCTTTTGAAGGTATTGATTAAACTTATGATTTCTGCTTGGAGGTTAATATGGTAGTTAGGGAGCAAGTTATTACATAAAAGAATAAAAACCTCTCTTTAGGATAACTGTGTGATTTTTTATCAATGTCTTTCTTTCTAGACCCCCCAAATGGGTACCTTCATGGGTGTCTACCTCCCATGTCTACAAAATATTTTTGGAGTGATCCTTTTTTTACGCCTTACATGGGTGGTGGGCACAGCTGGAGTTCTTCAGGCTTTTGCAATTGTCCTTATCTGCTGCTGCTGTGTAAGTACTGCACTGGCTCCTAGAGATCACCTGAACGTTGCAAGTTCTCAAGAGCAGATGCACATGACCTCTTTGGGAATAAAACAAAGAATACTTAGGGAAGGACTCATGATCTCAACAGAAGAAATTATTCTGATATTAAAATCTAAAGGATTTTCAGTTATTCAGTGCCTGTTAGTCACTGCTTGCTATCTATTATATGATGTACTAGAAATTACAAAGCAAGACTTCAACTGAAAATGGAAGATAAAGTTCCTGTCTTCAGAGAATTCAGAATCCAAACTATTTGAGCTTGATAGCACCAAAGTTGTGACAGAAAATGTGTTAGAAAATGTGATGTATCACTCCAGTATATATTGAGAAACAAGACAGGTTATTGCGGATGTGAGGGGTATTTGGTTTTTTTATTTGGTTTTGAAGTTTCTTCCCTTATCCCTTCCTTAGAAATTTAGATGTTCTTTCCAGGTCTTCTCTCTACTGAGAACATTTTTATCTTCCTTTAATTTAAACTTCTCATTATGTATCCCAGACACACCTATGAATTTTATAGTTTTCTACTGTCCTTTTTTATCACTATGACCTTTATACCCTACCTGTATATTATCCCCAGCTGATGAGCAAAACAGGTTAAGCAGGCACAGTTCATATTTTTAATAACTTAAAATGTTCATGGTACCACCTTTTTTTAGTCTCAGGCTTAAAACCTCAAGGCTGTGTTTGGCTTCTTAATTGCTTTTCACATCTAATCAGCTACCAACGCTAATCTATTCTCTGAAATCTTTTACACTCAGCCCTTTTTATTCACACTACCACCACTATAGTTTTTACCTCTCACTGAACTACTATGGTAGCCTGCTAACCAATCACTCGGCCTCCAGCTACTCCTATCTGCAGCGCATTCTATACTGTGCTACCGGGTAATATTTTTAAAATGCGGTTCCTGTGTGCTCAGAAGCCTTCAGTGATTCCCTTTCTTACTGAACATTGTTCTTGATATTGTATTTAGTCTTTAGTCAGGTTCTAACCTATTTTCTGAGTTATTTCTCTAGTTCTTCCTTTTGAGTATACTATGCTCTATTTCCTGTGTAACTAGGAAATCCAGAGTGAGATTAGCAGTTCTTAATAGCACCTGACCTACTGATGTGGGAGCATTTTGACAGAATCCTCCAGATATTAGTGGTATGACTAGCGCAATGAATTGGACCATATCATCTTATTTCCATACCATTAGGTATGACTGTCCATAAAAGTAGGTAGAGTTAAATGTTTGCCAAGTGCTCTTGGAACACAAATGGAGAAGTAGTATAGAAATGTCATCTTTACACAGTAACAATCCTCTCCTTTCCTTTTCTCTGCAGACAATGTTGACTGCTATCTCCATGAGTGCCATTGCCACTAATGGAGTGGTGCCAGGTTAGTAGGTCAAGGTTGTATTTCAGGATTTATCAGTGTTGACTCTGTGTTTATGCTATAAAGCTAGAGGTGCAAACTTCTGAAGAATAGAATACTATTTGGTCTGTTCTGTGCTACAACAGAGTAATGGTCTATAGGACGTAGACATAATACTACTTGACTTTAAGATGCCGTCTTTAAAATCTCTTTATTTTTTAAACTAGAATGCATTAATTTCAGTCACATTCTTAGCTTTTATTAGTTGGAATATATATTTTTTTATAGACAGAGTCTCACTCTGTCACCCAGGCTGGAGTGCAGTGACACGATCATAGCTCACACAGCCTCCAACTCCTAGGCTCAAGCTGCTTTCCCACTTCAGCCTCCTGAGTAGCTGGAACTAGAGGTGTACACCACTATGCCTGGCTATTTTTTTTTTTTTACAGAGGTGACATTTTACTATGTTACCCAGTTTGGTCTCAAACTCCTGGCCTCAAGCAATCCTCTCGCCTCATCCTCCCAAAGTGCTACCATTAGAGGCGTGAACCTCCACACCCAGCCAGAATATATTTTATTGGGCTGTCTCATGTCATAGTAAATATTCTCTAATTTTTTTCTAAGTAAATGCTGGCAAACTATTGCTTCATATGGCTCATTACATTAGTTGTGCAGTATATCCCACAATAACACTTTCACCTTTTACTTCCCACTAGCACATCTTTTTATCACATTGAGGGTTTGCAGAAGCCTGAAACATTTAACCTTTATGTATATATTTTTTCTTATTTCTGTTTTATTCATATTCCTCTTGCTAATACACACTCTTTCTTCTATTCACCTTCTGTTTTGTCTTTTAGCTGGGGGCTCATACTTTATGATTTCCCGGGCACTGGGCCCAGAGTTTGGTGGGGCTGTTGGCCTCTGCTTTTATCTTGGTACCACATTTGCAGCAGCCATGTACATCCTTGGTGCCATTGAAATCTTTCTGGTAAGTAATGACTTCATTGTGGTCTATAATATAGAAGAAATATTGATTTAGGTTTATTCTTTGCTATGAAAGCTTCTGAGAGATCAGCTGTGGGAATAAATCAGGTGATTGACTGCCAACGTCAGTTGGCCTCTTACATGAATATGAGGTGGAAAGGTTGAAATTCTGTTTGCCTGCCTGTCCCTTCCTTTCTACCTGATTGCCACCACTCTGCCACCTCATCCAAGAGGTTCAAGTCCAATGGGGAAAAAGTAAAATAAAGTTTATCTTTTTTGATATCTTCATCCCTATGAAATAAAATGCTTCTCATATCTCTCTTCACTGAGACATATTGTTTACTATTTAAAGTAGTGATAGTAGAGTCAGGGTTAAAGATCATCATTATAATTACTTTATATAACCCTATGAATAAAATTAATAATTTGTTCCTTTCCTTTCTTTCCATTTGGAAATGTAGTTATTCAGAACAGCATGTAGACCAAAAAAAAAAAAAAAATCCATGACATCCCATTTCTGAAGGCATTTCAGATCCTATTAGAAACTAGGCTAATTCCCCAGTCATTTTCTCTCTCAGCTTTGCTTTCTTTTGTGAAAGTAAATGCAAACGAATACAGCCTTTTTACTTAATTATTTTGAAATAACCTAATTTTCTCCTTTATTTTTACCTAACAGGTCTATATCGTCCCCCGAGCTGCCATCTTTCACAGTGATGACGCACTCAAGGAATCAGCAGCCATGCTAAATAACATGCGTGTCTACGGCACAGCTTTCTTGGTCCTTATGGTATTAGTGGTATTTATCGGCGTACGCTATGTGAACAAGTTTGCCTCACTTTTCCTGGCCTGTGTCATTGTGTCCATCTTGGCCATCTATGCTGGAGCCATCAAGTCTTCTTTTGCTCCTCCACACTTCCCGTACGTGTCTGTCTCTCTGCCTAGCCATCCTTATTGGGTAGTAATTGAAAATATCTGGTGGTGTGATAATTTTAAGTCAGAATTTCATAGAGTCTCTCTGAGATTTTCCCTCTCAGATAAGCCCAGTTAGACTTCCTTCCTCATCTAGGCAGGAAGCCTACCAGCAAACTATGTCCCGTTCATCCTCTTTCTTATGTCCTAAGCATAGAACTAGTAGCTGTAACCATCATTTAGGTTCAGATATTAGATTTTTTTCTCCCTGATAATTGTACATAATCTTTTTTTATTATACACATTTTGAACTATTCATAAAGGGCTTTGCAGACAGTGTAGTTATTGCCAGCAACCTTTATAAGGCCCACCTTGGCCTCCCGACGTGCTGGGATTACAGGCGTGAGCCACTGCGCCCAGCCTAGGTCAGGGCTTTTATCCATTACCCAAATAATGTACTTTGTACCCATTAAGTACTCTCTCATCATTCACCACCTCCTTCAACTCCCTAGTGCGAATACTTTAAAGTATGTTTTTTGAAGTAGTAATGGATTTGTGCACATCTGTGACTCACAGGCTCACTTTTCCCTTTGACTAGTGGCATAGGGACTAGCTGGCACTCAGTGTTATTTGTAGTCTTGTTACAGAATTATCTTGAAGAGTCATCTGGATTATCTGAGGATCAAACTCATCGGTTCTATGTTGATTTAACCAGATTACAGAAAAAAAGATTTTTCAAGACAAAAAGACAGTTCCAGTAGGTTTAATGACTTACCTCAAAGTTAATTAATGGCAGAGCAAGAAGATGAACTGTGATTTCCTGACTCCCCATTCAGTATTTCTTCTATGCTATGCTGCATGATGGCAGAAGTAGATTCCATCTTAAACTTTTAATCTGCTTATCTAGGGACTGTAATACAGCTGAAGGTCCTTTTTAGGGGCATAAAATTTCTAAAGGTGACATTCTGGTTATATCTCAATTTGGGAAATTCCATTTTGTCTCAGGTTCACCTTTGGGGCTTCTCCTCTTTTTTGATTAGTACACGGTCATAATGCATGGTATTTTCTTTGAGATATTCCAGCAAAACAAGACAAAAAATCTAGAATAATACATGAAACAAGACTGGGAAATGTTGAGAGTTGTTGAAGCTGAGTAATAGGTACATGGTTCATAATAATGTATTCAATCATTTTGCAAATTTTAGAAGTCCCTTTGTTGGACCTGAGAGGTATTTTAACTATGGATGTATTATTCCTTTGTTTATATTTGTGTCTCTGGGTTAAAGAAAAAAGTAAAACCAGCAGGTTAATATTTATGTTATCCTTACCGTCACTCCCACTGAGTCTAGGCTTAAATTCAAAAACAGTTTTCTCTTAGGCCATAGAGGGATCTGCCTTTTAATTCTGACCAAGCTGTTTTCCTTGCAACAGTAGCCAGAAGATTCAACCTTTAGCATAACATTTTCAAGGTGTTTGTTATGAATGTTAGGCTTTTCTAGGCCAAAAAAAGAGGAGTGCTTTTTACTTTATAAGAACAACAAAAGGACTTCAGTATTCTTTTAGACCTAACAATTTTAGCCAAAAATTTTGGAAGATGAGTCAGCATAATGTCTTCAGACAGTTCTTCAATTTGACTTCCTTCACTGCCACCACCTATGACCTTGGACAGATAACTGTATTTCCCTAACCTTCAATTAACTCCCTGTCTTCCTAAACTTCAGTGCCTCCATCCACAACATAGAAATTCTAATACATTGTGAGGTTGCTGTAAGTATTAAATTGGCAGAAAATGTAAGTCACCATTCACAGTGTTAAAATAAATTATAAATAAATAAACATTAGTTCCTTTCCCACCCATAACAGTAGAAGCTCTTAAAGATGGGGTTCTTGTTTCCTTTACTAACCTGTTTCCTTTTTTTTTAATGTACTTTTTTTCCTTACTTGATCTTTCTCCCTATTTCTTTTCACTTAGGGTCTGCATGCTGGGTAACCGCACCCTTTCATCAAGACACATTGACGTTTGCTCTAAGACCAAGGAAATTAACAACATGACAGTCCCATCAAAGTTATGGGGATTCTTCTGTAACTCGAGTCAATTTTTCAATGCCACCTGTGATGAATACTTTGTTCACAATAACGTCACTTCAATCCAGGGCATTCCTGGATTGGCTAGTGGTATAATTACAGGTAAGTTAGGGAGTTATTGGACAAGTTTTTTCCTATTTTCTGGGGAAAATAGGCCTTGTCATCTTAGATTCCTCTACTGTCCATAAAGATTCACTGCCATGGTGCTAATTCCCTTCTTAAGCACACCACACAGCTCTTAATTCACCATATTTCTGCTTTTCCATTAGTAAAGCTGTCCTTATTCAGTACTCCTTTACAGAGTGATGTCTGCTAAAATTCACCTCCATTTCAGAGCAGAGTTGAGCAAATCACTTTCTAACCTTACGGTAAAATATTCCGTGTATTCTTGTAAAATTGCCAATGTTCTTCCTGCACTGACAGAATAGACCTGTTTTAATGTCCACATCCACATGTATCTTCCTAACTTAGCTAAATTCCTGAAACATTCCTTAAGTGTCTTCTATTATAAATGTTTGGTCTATAAATTTCTTTGCACATAAGTAAGTTTACATTAAGGTGTTAGAAACAGCACTGATGACAAATAATAATGGGATTTGTGGGGCATTTAGTTTTAGTCTGTTTAACTTTTACTAATTTGCATTAGTAAAGTTAAACTATATTTGCATGTACCAAATCATTTTGTCAAATTATATTTAAATTAGATAAGAAAGAACATTATGTTTAGCTGGGCGCCGTGGGTTATGCCTGTAATCCTAGCACTTTGGGAGGCCTAGGTGGGAGGATCATGAGGTCAGGAGATCGAGACCATCCTGGCTAACATGGTGAAACCTCGTCTCTACTAAAAATATAAAAAATTAGCTGGGCGTGGTGGCAGGCGCCTGTAGTCCCAGCTACTCAGGATGCTGAGGCAGGAGAATGGCGTGAACCTGGGAGGCAGAGCTTGCAGTGAGCCAAGATTGTGCCACTGCACTCCAGCCTGGTGACAGAGTAAAACTCTGTCTCAAAAAACAAACAAACAAAAAAAAAACTATGTTTTTATTTATGTGTGTTTTATTGTGCAATGTGTGTGTATACATGTGCTCATGTAGAAGCAAACACACCTTTAGAAACTGTATAAATGAGGAGCCTGATTTTGAATGTTTGGGTAGAAAATTAATTATCTTTTTTTTTTCATACTGCTGCTGCTTAAATTCCCATTTTTCCCACTGCAGAGAATCTTTGGAGTAATTACCTACCCAAGGGAGAGATCATCGAAAAGCCTTCAGCCAAATCTTCTGATGTCTTAGGCAGCTTAAACCATGAATATGTTCTTGTTGACATCACCACCTCCTTCACGCTTCTGGTGGGAATCTTCTTTCCCTCTGTTACAGGTAAACACATAGGCTGTTGTATATTTTAGAAGCTGTCAGACCCACGGAGTGATTTTTCTCAGGAGGCAGAATTCTCAGGGTTCCTAGATTTGCTTCTACTCTTTGCTATCAGTATCAATATCAAAGTGTCCAAGAAGTTAACTTGGTTTTTTCCCCCTTATCTCTAAAGGTATCATGGCTGGATCAAACAGATCTGGAGATCTGAAAGATGCTCAGAAGTCTATTCCGATTGGTACTATCCTTGCCATCCTGACCACCTCCTTTGTTTGTATCCTTTTTATGGATCCAGTCTGAGTCTTAGTCATAGGAGCATCCAGTAGAACTAGATGATCAGTATTTTTATCCTGGTAACAAAGATACCTGCTTTCTATCACTTCACTTCTTGCCAGATTATCTGCCTACCTCATATAGAAAATTCAAAAAAGAATTTATAGGAGTATTTAGCAGCTCATTTTACTGACAGAAGAAAGTGTCTACTGAGTGTCTACTTTCTATCTCATGTTAGAGGGTAAACAACAGTTTCCTTGACTCTCAATATGGTAGATTTAAGCAATGTTGTCCTTTTTGGTGCATGTATTGAAGGGGTTGTTCTCAGAGACAAGTGAGTAATGAATTTCTTTGTAACAATTATGTGTGTGTCTGCCATGACTTCTGATCATTCCACATAGCTCCAAGACAGTTACAGACTCAACACAGCCAGGCACCGTGGCTCATGCCTGTAATCCCGGCACTTTGGGAGGCCAAGGCAGGTGGATTGCATGAGCTCAGGAGTTCAAGACCAGCCTGTGCAACATGGCAAAACCCTGTCTCTACAAAAAGCACAAAAATTAGCCAGGTGTGGTGGTGTGCACCTACAGTCCTGGCTACTTGGGGGACTGAGGTGGGAGGATCACTTAAGCCTGGGAAGTCAAAGCTGTAGTGAGCCATGATTGTGCCACCGTACTCCAGCCTGGGTGACAAAGTGAGACCCTTTCTCAAAAAAATAACCCAACCTGAGTTATCAATCATGACTAACAATAAGAAAATATATGAATGTAGTTCCCAAAGGGGCCAGTATTTTCAGTGAATATATGAGACAGTTAAATACAGTCCTTCAAAAAAGCAGTGAATGTGTCTGAATAATGAGGACTTCCCTGTCCATCAAGAACTGTTCAGAAACGAGACCAAAAGTCAAGAAGGGCAAGTAAATAAAATTTCAAGTGTCTCTAGCATCTCCTTTATGAGAGATAAGTATCTAATTGTGTTTGGCATTCTAAATAAAAGCCTGAAACTTACTTTCTTCATATTCTGTTCTTTTCTCTTCTCTTCTTTTCTTTTCTACTTATTTATTTAGAGACAAGGTCTTGCTCTGTTGCCCAGACTACAGTGCAGTGGTGCAGTGACAGCTCCCTACAGCCTCAACCTCCTGGGCTCAAGTAATCCTCCCGCCTCAGCTTCCCAAGTAGCTGGGACCACAGGTGCATACCACCACACCCAGCTAGTAGTTTTTTTTAATTTTTTTTGTAAAGATGGGGCCTTACTATGTTGTCCAGGATGGTCTGAAGCTCCTGGGATCAAGCAATCCTCCCACCTTAGCCTCTCAAAGTGCTAGGCTTATAGGCATGAACCAACACACCCAGCCCTTTCCGCTATTATTTTATTAAAATTTCCCATACTACACAGATGTATCCTCTATTCTTTATCCACATCACTCACTTTGTACAGACCTTCAGGATTTTTGCCTATGTTATTGTAATAATCTCCCTTTTAGTTCTAGCCTCTAATCCTTCTTCCACACTGCCACCAGAATGACTTTTCTAAAACACAAAATTTGAACATACAAACCTCCCTGCTTCAGAGCCTGCCAAAGCCTGTTAAAATCCATCACTGTAATCTGGCCCTCTCTACCTCTTTTTACTGTTATCTCCTGCCATTCCCTCATAAGCTCCCTAACTTAGAGTTTAATATGTCTTATTATGTCTCCACGTATAAACACATTTGTCTGTGTTATTTCCTTTGCTTAGAATAGGTTACTCCCACCTGGCCAACTCATATTCATCCTCTTAGAGACTAGGCTAAGGGTCTTCTCTCCTGTAAAGCTTTCCCATACTCACCCAAACAGAGGTAAACACTCCACCTTGTGTTCAGCAACTCCATTTGAATATACTATATTATAGCATTTATGATGCTATATTGCAGCTACTTGTTTTCATATTACTCTCCCCTACACGTTGAGCTCTTTGAGGACTCGAAGCCTAACAGATGCAATATAAATATTGTTGACAAAAATAAAAAGCACAATATATATATGTATATAACACAGTATATGTGTGTGTGTGTGTGTGTGTGTGGGTGGGGGTGTATATATGTATGTATATAGTATAGTATATTACTATACCATTGTAGTAGGAAATTCATGGAGCTTTGGTAAGTTACACCATGATATAAAAATTATTATTGAGAGTGTAAATTAGAGTATCATTTTGGAAAATTATTGGTTATTATCTCCTAAAGTTGAACATGTGCTTACCTATGACTCAGCATTTCCACTTCTAGGTATATCTAACAGAAATGCTTGCACATGTGCATCAAGACTAATTCACAAGAATTTTCACAGTAGTGTTATTCTTATTTATTTATTTATTTATTTTTGCCTGCTTCATTTTCTCTTCATAAGTATTCTTAATAGCCAAAACCTGGAAATAATCCAAATGTCCATCGCTAGTAGAATGATTAAATTATATATTCATGTAATAGGAAGCCATACAGCAAAGTAAGTCATAGCAATATACACCTCCCCCCAAAAAAATTCACAAGCAATGCTAAGTGAAGAAAACCAAACACAAAAGTATGTACTGTGTATCATTTATATAAAGTTTTAAAACGGTAAAACTCTATAGTATTCAAAGTCAGAGGGCTGGGTATGGTGGCTCATGCCTGTAATCCCAGCACTTTGGGAGGCTGAGGCTAGAAGATTGTTTGAGGTCAGGAGTTCCCAGACCAGCCTAGGCAACATAGCAAGACTTTGTCACTACAGAAAGTAAAAAATTAGCTGGGCATGGTGGCGTATGCCTGTAGTGCTAGCTACTGGGAAGGCTGAGGCAGAAAGATCACTTGAACCCAGGAGGTTGAGGCTACAGTCAGTCATGATCACAGCATTACAGTCCAGCCTGGGTGACAAAGCAAGACCCTGTCTCAAAAAAAAAAAAAAGTCAGGATAGTGGAGAGGAAGAAAGGACTAATGAGTGGGGATGGGCATAAGAGAGAATTTTGGGTACTGGCAGTGTTCTGTTTCTTGACCTGCATGGTAGTAGGTCAACACCTACAGCATGGGTGTTGGATTTGTAGAAATCTTCAGATGTGCATTTGTTGTTTTTTTGCACATTACTTTTTTTTTTTCCCCTAGATGGAGTCTCGCTCTGTCGCCCAGGCTGGAGTGCAGTGGCGCAGTCTCGGCTCACTGCAACCTCTGCCTCCCGGGTTCACGCCATTCTCCTGCCTCAGCCTCCCGAGTAGCTGGGACTACAGGCGCCCGCCACCACGCCCAGCTAATTTTTTGTATTTTTAGTAGAGATGGGGTTTCACTGTGTTAGCCAGGATGGTCTCGATCTCCTGACCTCGTGATCCACCCGCCTCGGCCTCCCAAAGTGCTGGGATTACAGCCGTGAGCCACCGCACCCAGCCTTGCACACTACTTTTTGTGTGTGATACTTAATAAAAATTGTTAAAACGAGTAATTAAACTGATGCTATGTTTCACCCATCAAATTAGAAGTGACCTTAATTTTTTTTAATACAGAAGACTGGTGTGGAGTGTGCATGTGCCACAAGACTTGAATCTTCTTATATTTCCAGTGGGAGTAAAATTTAGTACAAACTTTCTGGACAGCAGTTTAGTAGTGATTTTGAAATGTTTTAAGATATTGATCCCTTTGGTTAGTTATTCCCTCTTAAGAATCTGCCATAACTTAGCTGGGCACAATGGCTCATGCCTGTAATTCCAGCATACTGGGAGGCCAAGAGGGGAAGATCACACGAGCCCAGGAGTTCATGACAAGCCTGGGCAACAAGGCGAGATCCTGTCTCTACAGAAACTTTTGTAAAAGATTAGTCAGACATGGTAGCACACACTTGTGGTCCCAGCCACGTGGGAGGATGAGGCAGGAGCATCGCCTGAGCCAGAGAGGTCAAGGCTGCAATGAGCTGAGATAGCGTCACTGTACTCCAGCCTTGGCAACAGAGTGAGACCTGTCTCAAAAAAAAAACAAAACCTGCCTTAAGGAAAAAAACCTGAACTGTGAATGTAGATATGTGCATAAAGATGTTAATTATAATATTTTATATAATAGAAAGTCAACACTAGAAGAATGGATAAGAAATTGTGATGCAATATTATTCAAATCACTACAAATTTTTATTCATAGCTTTTTATGACATAGAAAAATGCTTACATTTCAAGAATACAGAATTATAGTGCAGTGAGATCGCGATTTTTCTAAAAAGCAGATATTTTGATACCCTGAAGGGGAAAGTTACAACTGAAGCTTAGCTTATTTTCTAGCCCCATATGTATTTTTTTCCTAATATAGGTCAATAGTGCCGTTTGATCAAATCTGGCTATCTTATATTTCGTAATATTATTTGTCTCACTTTTGATTCTCTAAAACTTAGAAAAAAAAAACTGGGTGGGCTGGACGCAGTGGTTCACGCCTGTAATCCCAGCACTTTTGGAGGCTGAGGCAGGTGAATCACTTGAGGCCAAGAGTTCGAGACCAGCCTGGGCAACATGGTGAAACCCCATCTTTACTCAAAATACAAAAATTAGCCAGGTGTGTTGGTGCACACCTGTGATCTCAGATGCTCAGGAAGCCGAGGCAAGAGAATTGCTTGAACTTGGGGGGCGGAGTTTGGAGTGAGCCAAGATCACACCACTGCACTCTAGCCTGGGTGACAGAGTGAGATTCTGTCTCAAAAAAAAATTGGGTGAATATCTCTAGTCTTTCAGTCTAAAGTTATTTCCAGATTAAATTTCCCACTCCTATTTCTTTCCCAGGTTCGGTGATGCTGTGAAAGGTAATTTGGTGGTAGGCACCTTATCTTGGCCATCCCCATGGGTGATTGTTATTGGCTCCTTCTTTTCAACATGTGGGGCTGGACTTCAGAGCCTCACAGGTGCACCGAGGCTGCTACAAGCTATTGCCAAGGATAACATCATACCGTTTCTGAGGGTGAGTGACCTTTTATTATGCCCTCTTCTTTTTTTCCCAGCTTTAATGAGAAACAGTGTGGTCTTCATGGGCTTAGAAATTACTAGATCATAAATGTGGAGACGTGGGTTTTTAGTACAAGAACCTCTAAATCCCAAGCATGAGTTTACCTGTGAGTGCTGTAAAGGTATTTAAAAGGTATCACAGTTGTAACACTGTTGTCTTCCAGATGTCTGAAAACTGTAGGCTAGAGAAATCAGAGAGCAATGACTCAGTACTCCTGTGCCTGATATTTCCCTTCTGTGTACAGGTTTTTGGCCACAGCAAAGCCAATGGGGAACCTACCTGGGCTTTACTTCTAACTGCTGCCATTGCAGAGCTTGGAATACTCATTGCCTCCCTGGATCTTGTGGCCCCAATTCTTTCCATGTAAGAGCCAGTGATTCTCTTCAGTTATTCTTGCTTAAATGATAAATAATGCATGTTTATTTCCATCAGTCATATAACAGTAGTGATAACAGAGTGGGCTAAATACAGATGTAACTTCACTTAAATAAAAATCATTCCTGAGAACTTCCAAGTAAGGCTAACTTTTGTAAGTTATTAGGTTTTTTCCTACCTATTTAACTTCAAAAGTTCTTTGGCTTCATTTCTAATTCATTGTCAATTGGTTGTAGCTTTTACCACCACTGTTAGTTTTTATTTATTTATTCACCTATGACTTATTGATGCTTACTACTTACCTGGCACTGTGTAATGTGGTATTCTGGGAATACAAAGATGGATAAGACACAATCTTATGGAACTGATAATGGATAAGGAAACCAATGATTCCCATATAGCGTGATGAGTGCCATGATAAAGGTGAACACTGAGTGCCCTAGGAACACCAGAGCAAGGCATCTAAACAGATGGAAACTCAAGAAAGATTTTCCGGAGGAAGTGATACTTGTATCTTGAAGAATAACTGGTTATTTGCTAAGAAAATAAGGGGTGAAGAACATTCCAGGCAGAGAATGCATATAAAGGAATTGAGGGATGGCATAAGGTAGCACATCCAGAGAACTGGAAGTAGTTTGGCTTGGCTAGAGTGGAGGGTACATGTTGAGGGAATAACAGAATAGAGAAGTAGGTAGACCCAGATCACAAAGGTCCTGGAACTTTTACCTGGAAGTAGTGGGTAATCCTTGAGCACAAAATGATAATGCTTTAGGATGATCAATCTTGTATAAAAGATGGATTAGAAGGAGGCTAGAATTGAGCTGGGAATGCTAATTGGAAAGAAGAAATGAGAGCCTGAACTAAGGTGATTAGTAGTAGAGATGAAAAGGAAGAGAAGCAGCTTAAGAGATTTTTAAATAGAATCCATAGGACTTGGTAAGTGAATTTGGAACAAGGGTAAGGAAGAGGAAACCTGGATTATCCTAAGAACAACTGGGTAAAGAGTGGTTGTGTCATTGACTGAGAGAACAGAGAAGGATGAACAGTTTTGTGGGGAGAGGTTTAAGTTTCCCTACTTCCTACTTAATCAAGGGTTAGTTGTCTAGAAACAGGCTTCAATACAGCAAAGGTATTCAGTTACTTAACCTTCAAAGAATCATCTTCCAGTAATAATCATTCCTCTTACTCTTTATTCTTCAGGTTTTTTCTCATGTGTTACCTCTTTGTAAACTTGGCATGTGCCTTGCAAACATTACTTCGAACACCCAACTGGAGACCCCGATTCCGCTACTACCATTGGTAAGTCTGCTTCTTTTATTCTTTTTACTCACGTTTGGAGAGAACCCATCTTTGAACTAGAAAACTAGGAGAGTCTGGGTTCTCGATAAAATTTTTTTCTTGGTCAGCCATTTCATACTGTTTCAACTTTCAATTCTTATCTGAATCCTCATCCTCCTATCCTATTTTCCTATATCACTTTATAATAACTTATAACACCCAATACGAATAGAGCAAAAGCACTAAATAGAGATATCCAGCCTTCTATAATTTTCAGGTTAAAACAACCTTCTCTTGCATGTTTATTTTCCTGTTTGTCTCTTAGGGTTACAGAGTCAGAGGTTCTAAATTCCAATCTCAGCTCTACTATTTCCTAGCTTTGTAACCTTCAGCAAAGCACATAACCATGTAAAATTTAATTTTATTCATTTGTAAAATGGGACTAATAAATCTAAAGTGCTTATCGTAGTGCCTGATACATAGTAAAGCTCAGCTCTCAATGAACTGTTGCTGCTGCTGCTGTTGTAGTTAAGTCTCCCCAGTCCTGAAGGGGTCATCATGAAAGATTTTTGGCTACCATCCCATCTCTTTCCTCTTATAGCTCAGAGCTCATTAATTATGTCCTGTATGTACCCGTTGCTACATTCTTCTTTGCTAACTTTCTCCTTGTTCCCTTTCTGTCTTCACTTACCAATGGTGGGCAGTGATGTAACGTTTACTGGGCAAAAATTAAAATCTTCAACTGATTTTTAATGCCTCAAATCCTCTTTCTAGCTTTAATGTTAGTTAGAAGTTCTTTATGAGGCCGGGCGTGGTGGCTCATGCCTGTAATCCCAGCACTTTGGGAGGCCAAGGCAGGCGGATCACCTAGGTCAGGAGTTTGAGACCAGCCTGACCAACATGGGGAAACCCCGTCTCTACTAAAAATACAAAAGTAGCCGGGCATGGTGGCACATGCCTGTAATCCCAGCTACTCAGGAGGCTGAGGTAGGAGAATCGCTTGAACCCGGGAGTCGGAGGTTGCAGTGAGCTGAGATCCCAGGTTCACACCATTCTCCTGCCTCAGCCTCCCGAGTAGCTGGGACTACAGGCGCCCGTCACCACACCCGGCTAATTTTTTGTATTTTTAGTAAAGACAGGGTTTCACCGTGTTAGCCAGGATGGTCTCAGTCTTCTGACCTTGTGATCCATCCGCCTCAGCCTCCCAAAGTGCTGGGATTACAGCTGTGAGCCACCGCATCCGGCCCAAAAATAATTTTTCTCAGTGAGTTCTGCAGTTATGCTAATAAGTATTTATAAAATTTTTAGAAATATTTATATGAAATTTTTTAAAAAGATCCTAGAGTTATTAACATTTCTGGCTGCGTGTCCCATCCTGGCTTTGCCAAGTAAGTATTAATTGTCCTCATAACTGCAGATGACTGATAGTGTTCCGTTATTTATATGGTTTTCCAGCAGTTGGAAACATCTTCTGTTGCAAAGGACAGTTTGGGGTTTAGTGCACATCTACCGACTGTTTCATGATAAGACAACTATAGAATTGAGAATAATCATTTAGAAACTTTTGTGGCAGTTTGACATTGCTACAGCATCCAGGCATGTGATAATTTTTCGAATAATTCATTTTTATTGCATTTTACAAAAGTTCTATTTATAATAGTTTCAAAGTTTTTAAAAAATAATACCTCACCACAGATAGTTTGAGAAGCACCTTTAACATAGGCTTCTTTTTCAGCTACTTTAAAAGATACTTTTTTGTTTTTAATTTTCTAGGGCCCTTTCTTTCATGGGAATGAGTATCTGTCTGGCTCTGATGTTCATTTCTTCCTGGTATTATGCCATTGTAGCCATGGTAATAGCTGGTATGATCTACAAGTACATTGAATACCAAGGGTGAGTGTGGATTTAATCTTGATCACTGCTAAAAGTAGCAAGACTAGCTAGTTTGGTTAGAGCCAGCTCAGTGAAAATATCTTAAGGACTCAGGTAACTTCATTTTCATAACTATATTTTGTACCCCTAATTCTTTAACCATCTTAATGATGCAAGCTTTTCATCACAAGGGAGATCCATTGAGAAAGTATGAATGGATCAATGGAAAATAACAAAGGACATTTCCAAATAATAATAATTAGTACTAAACAAAGTACAACACAAATGTAAATATTTTTGCTTATCTCTTCAGTCAAGGGGTTGTCTCTGAAATGAAAAAGAAATTAGTTCTGAACAACTTAGTAACTACTAAGACTTACAGCTTTCAAAAATGAGGACGAAATAACATTCTTATTCAGAAGATCACATTGAACTTTACTTTCTCTGCATTATTTTCAAAGTAACTTAAACTCCAGGTCTGTTATAATTTTCTAATCTAAATTGCTCTTTTACATTATTGTTTTGAACAATTACATAGAAGGACTGAATGAGTGACCCCTTCAGGCTTTATTGGGAACTGTTTGTGCAGTGCAGTCTGTTGGTGCTGTTGATCTACCTACATCAGGTTCATTATGTTAGTAAAGAACATTATGTAAATCATTAATCTGAGCTTTAATCTTCTACCTTGCACATGTGTGATTTTTAGATTCAGAAAAAAACTTTATTTTTTAAAATTATACTTACTATAGTTTAAATTTGTCTCTGCTCTTTTCTTTTTCTCACAGAGCTGAGAAAGAATGGGGTGATGGTATCCGTGGGCTGTCCCTCAGTGCAGCCCGGTTTGCTTTGCTTCGATTGGAGGAAGGACCTCCACACACTAAAAACTGGAGGTAAAGAAATCAACACTAGCAGTATTTGGCACATGGTTAACACACAAAAATATGTGTTTTGTTGATTTTAGGATAAGGAAACCATATGTGGCTCAAGGAATTGGTATAATGGACCTGTTTTGAACTATTCTAAATCCTTAATTTTTTTATTCCCTTTTCTTCATGTCGTTTATGATCAAGATTTCTACAATTTATTATTCTTCCTTGAAGACTGATCAACTTGAGATAGTACTGGGAGCATTCAAAATAATGCCCTTATCCTGTCATCTCCTGTGATCTCTTCCTTCTGTCAAATTACCTGTTTCATACAGATCTCCTGAATTAAAGGGTGGAGTCTGTCATTCTGTTCCCCAAACCCAAAATGTTTTCTCCTCCCCTCCAACCCCCACCAACCTCTTCACAGGCCTCAGTTGCTTGTATTACTGAAACTAGATGAAGACTTACATGTCAAGCATCCTCGCCTCCTCACCTTTGCCTCACAGCTCAAAGCAGGAAAAGGTCTCACTATTGTGGGCTCTGTCATCGTGGGGAACTTCCTAGAGAACTACGGTGAAGCTTTAGCTGCTGAGCAGGTAAGAGTCAGGCTTTTGAGGTATTGGAACTCAGTTTACAGCTTTGTGATGTTAAGTAGTAAGACCTCAAACTTCTACTTGAATCTTGTTCCTGAGTGATCTAGGAGGTTTCTCACTTAGTGCTGACCTTTGAAAGGACACTTTTTCCCAAATAATAAGATGAGCCAAAAATAGTTATTTATTATTTCTTCCTGTTTAAAGCATTACTAAATTATAAGATTATTAAGTCTAAACCTTATGTTCAAATATACTCCAAACATTAATCTAAGCACTGAGAAAAGTCATGTAAATAAATTGATCCCTTGAACTATGGAGAGGGTTCCTCTCAATCTTGTGACAACAAGGAGTAATGACCAAATTTTCTTCCTCTTTACTAATCTACGTGGTATCATGAGCAAGATTCCTTTGCCACTTCTGGTTAGCTGTATTGAACATTAAAGTTCTACTTTAACAAGGAAGTTGTTTTCACTCTAATACTTATTATATATGATAGAACTAATCCTATTGTTTTTGAAATGCCATTGTGTTCAATGGCATTTCAAAAGTTTTACTGTGGGGGGAGGGGGGAAGGATAGCATTAGGAGATATACCTAATGTAAATGACGAGTTAATGGGTGCAGCACACCAACATGGCACATGTATACATATGTAACAAACCTGCACGTTGTGCACATGTACCCTAAAACTTAAAGTATTTAAAAAAAAAAGTTTTACTGGATTTCATTTTGGAATCCTTTGAAATCCTAAACACTAGAAATGCTGAAGAAACATTACTCCAGAATGATGGTAAAAATTAATAAAAGGTACACAGGATTGAAAATCAGGAGAGCCTAGTTCTTAGCCGCATCACTGATTTAATCTGTGCCTTTGCAAAAATCATTCCATTTTCCATACCATTATTCCCAGGGTGGAGTAAGAGTAAATGAGATGATATCTCCAAATTGGTTTGACTAAATAAAGGAAGAGTAATGCAAATACAAGTGTCATGAATAATCACCATTAAAATGTCAAAAAGCATATGGGAATGGGAGAGGCGAAAAAGAAAACATACCTGAGAAAATTCTAAAGTGAAACTGAATCATCATACTGAGTTTCTGGTAAGATGAGTCAGGGCATGACTGGGGCTGAGGCAGGAAGGAGATCGTGTTCACAATAGTGAATCACCCTGGTCAACTGAGAAAGAATGTTGAATATTCACTTTGTAGAGATCCCTGTTCCCAGTTTTTTGGTATGGTGCAAAGGAACAAAAGCAGAACAGAGGAAAAAGCAGAGAAACTACATGTAGACAACCAGCTACAGAGGCAAAAATACGTAGTAAGCAAAAAGACAAAAGATCATGAAATTCCTTTGGGATAATTTTAACTTTTTGGACTTTTCTGTAGATGATATAGTATTATGAAGACTTTGGAAAAAGGTGGGGGATATAATATGGAGAAGGAACAATGGGTTAAAATGTCCAGAGTGAACCAGTTCAGTGTTGCGGTCCTGTGTCTCTTTCAGACCATAAAGCACCTAATGGAGGCAGAGAAGGTAAAAGGATTCTGCCAGCTGGTGGTGGCCGCCAAGCTGAGAGAGGGCATTTCCCACCTCATCCAGTCATGTGGCCTTGGGGGCATGAAGCACAACACGGTGGTGATGGGCTGGCCTAATGGCTGGCGTCAAAGCGAAGATGCCCGCGCTTGGAAGACTTTTATTGGTACTAACCATTTCTCATACAAACCTAAAGGCCCAAGTCGAGGGTATATAGTTAAATCTCTGTCACCCCCAGCCTCCTAAAGTAGAGACTATGCCATTGCTGAAGCATAGTCTTATAAGGCAACCTGAAAAACTATTGGTAGTAATACCCAGATTCTACCTACCCCCTTCAGCTTCACATTATGTTCATGAATTATTTCTGTCAAGTCTTGTGCTAGGAATTATCTCCAAAATTGCCGTGTTTTCATTTGTGATTTTCCATATTGATGTTCTCACAGGAATTGCAAGAATTGTTCTTCAGCATCATAATCTCTCAAATTCACATATCCCCCCTTAGAAATGTAGTAATGGGAATATACCTAGTAACATAAACTGTGGTTCTCAGTCTGTTAGCTATTCAGATTTTTCACAATGGTTTTTGATACGTAATGAGAAATAACCTACTAAGTAAATAGGACCCCTTGCTCAAAGAAGTGTGAAAAGAGCATTTCCTTGCTTTCCTGACATGCTAGGAAGCAAGGCAAGCCTAAGGATTCTTCTCTGCTTATTCTTTTTTCTCCCTAGGCACAGTTCGAGTGACAACTGCTGCCCATCTTGCACTGCTGGTGGCTAAAAACATCTCCTTCTTTCCCAGCAATGTGGAGCAATTTTCTGAGGGCAACATTGATGTGTGGTGGATTGTGCATGATGGGGGGATGCTTATGCTACTACCATTCCTACTGAAACAGCACAAGGTATTTTATACAACTTTTTTTTTACAAAAGTCTTTCTCCCTTCTGTCCTGGTTCACAGGACAGACAAATTCTTCCTCTGATTATAATAGTGTTGGGGTTTAGAATCAGAAGAGTTGGAAGTTATTCTAGGCTTTCCCATGATCCCACTTTCAAACAAGAGAAATCATTGTCTTTGTATTTGATACCTACTTATCTCCAAGTGAAATTCAGCCAATTAATAAAGTTCCATATGAGCCCTAGGGGAAAACAACAAGTGAACACATCTTTTTTTAAAAAATACTGAAAACTTAAGGTATATGTATATGTGTGTATTGCACGCATATATGCGCTCATTCCGTGGTAAGACTAATTAAATGAGATTTAAAATAGTAAATATATAGTCTGCATGTTGTCATTGATACACTGTCTGAATAAAGTACCCTCTTAACGTATCGTGAACCATCTTTTCTTTTGCCAGTGTTTTCTTGTTATGAAATTAAGGACTCCTTAAAACTGTATTAAATGTGGTGTTTAGTCAATCTTTTGCCCTAATACAATAACATAGCAAGTAGGAAGCTAGGAACAAATAGCCTTATACTACATATAGCAAGGTTCTTCTAGACCACAATGTCTAATGTCTTAGGAAATAACCTTTTTTGCCTCCTTGCTCTAATTTTTCACATGTGTATGTCACTCTCTCAGGTGTGGCGAAAGTGCAGCATACGGATCTTCACAGTAGCCCAATTAGAAGACAACAGTATCCAAATGAAGAAGGACCTAGCCACCTTCCTATATCACTTACGCATTGAGGCGGAGGTAGAAGTGGTGGAGATGGTGAGAAAGCTGAGTTTGAGATACAAGAGGTTCATTCCCCCATTCCTCTCCCTGTCTTCCTTGAATCTTTTCTGGTTTGGGAAATTTTTCAGATCTAAATGTGGATTAATCCCCTAGTGCCAAAAAAAAAACAAAAAAAAACCCTAATTTGTTGCCCTAAGTAGAATGTATATGTGATGCATGTTTGATGTTATTTTTTGGTTTTGCTTTCTTGTTTATTACACAGCCCTTATATTTCTGCCAGATTCTCATCTGCTTAATATAGTTTTATGAAATTTTTATTCATATATTCAGCTTAAAATCACACATGGCTTTTAAAAAAAACCTAACAGTATAAAAAAGAGAGACTGGAGTTTGTATTTTGTGTTTCAAGGCAACACATGTCTTGGTTAGATTATGGAAAAGACTCTCAGGGCCTCTGAATTTTATCTACAGTCACAAAAACATTTATGTAGCTCAATGACTAAACAAAGTAAGGGTGAAGCTTAGGTTAATATAGTGATGCTGTCCCTGGTTTAATTTAGTGACTGGAAATAAAAATGTATGGTTCATCCTTCTTTCTCCTTTGTGCTTTTTGCCCCTTTTATGTGATGTCTATGGCAGCATGACAGTGATATATCAGCATATACTTACGAGCGCACTTTGATGATGGAACAAAGGTCCCAGATGCTCCGGCACATGCGGCTATCCAAAACAGAGCGAGACAGAGAGGTGAGACATTACTGCATCAATCCAATCCGTGCTCTCTAAAGTCTGTCACTGAAAGGGATGATACTGGGCTGGGCATGGTGGCTCACGCCTGTAATCCCAGCACTTTTGGAGGCCGAGGCGGGTGGATCAAGAGGTCAGGAGTTCAAGACCAGCCTGGCCAAGATGGTGAAACCCCATCTGTACTAAAGTACGAAAATTAGCCGGGCATGGTGGCACATGCCTGTAATCCCAGCTACTCAGGAGGCTGAGGCAGAGAAGTGCTTAAACCCAGGAGGCGGAGGTTGCAGTGAGCCAAGATCACGCCACTGCACTCCAGCCTGCGTGACAGAGGAAGACTCTGTCTCAAACCAAAAAAAAAAGGGATGATACTATATTGTTTTCAAGGATGACAAATTCCTTCTCACTCTGTCAGTTATTCCACTATAACCCATTACTGCTTCAAAATAACCAAAGATGAAGCATAAGAGAAAATTTGGTAGAATAACTTGTGTTGGACCTTCTTCCTCAGGCACAATTGGTGAAAGACCGAAACTCAATGCTACGATTGACCAGCATTGGCTCTGATGAGGACGAAGAGACAGAAACCTATCAGGAGAAGGTGCACATGACTTGGACAAAAGACAAGTACATGGCATCCCGGGGACAAAAAGCGAAGTCAATGGAAGGATTCCAGGACCTGCTTAACATGCGTCCGTAAGTTTTCCCACTCCCAAGTTTATCATAAAATTACCTAATCAGTGGCACAAATGTGACTTTGCCTGGACACACAGGATGGAGTCTGTTCATTTCACCCTGAATCTAGCCACCTCATTATTGTTTGCCTGTTCATACTGGCTCCCAATGAACACTGTACACAAGCTAACCATCCCCTCTATCCACATAGTTCACCTCCATACTGTGTTCTTACTATAAAATAAGCCAACAGAGAATGAGAAAACCCAGATATTAATATCATAAAGAAACCATTTTAGCCTGGGCACAGTGGCTCACGCCTGTAATCCCAGCACTTTGGGAGGCAGAGGCGGGTGGATCACCTGAGGTCAGGAGTTCGAGACCAGCCTGCCCAACATGGTGAAACCCTGTTTTTACTAAAAATACAAAAAAAATTAGCCGGGTATGGTGGTGGGGGCCTGTAATCCCAGCTACTCGGGAGGCTGAGGCAGGAGAATCACTTGAACCTGGGAGGCGGAGGTTGCTGTGAGCTGAGATTGTACCATTGCACTCCAGCCTGGGTGACATGAGCGAAACTCCCTCTCAAAAAAAAAAAAAAAAAAAATCATTTTATCAGATTATCCATAGTCAAGTGAAAAAGCTCAGGATCTCAAGTTTTTAACGTTGACTTTATGGCTAGTTGTCTTTTTACCTTAACAACCTTTATTTCTTCCCCACTCAGGGACCAGTCCAATGTGAGGCGGATGCATACAGCAGTGAAACTCAACGAGGTTATAGTTAACAAGTCCCATGAAGCAAAGCTGGTTTTATTGAATATGCCAGGGCCACCCCGAAACCCTGAGGGTGATGAAAACTGTATCCTTTCCAAGAGTGGGGCTTCCAGTAGGGAAAATCTCCTTAACCTCTTTCTGAGATAACTAGGTAACAATAAAAGTCATTGTCTATGCCCCACTTTCCCTCTTTAAGGAAGGGAGACTTAAAAGTCCTAGGCAAGGATTTTTACAAAGTTATAAGATTAAACTCTTTTAGGGGAGTTGGGGCAAATATAATTCAGTTCTAGTTTTAGGTGGTGTATTTGCAACATGACATCTAATATTCAGTGTATAAAACCCTTCCTGACAATCCTACAGACAGCATACCCACATCCTTTCGCCTTTTTAGGTTCTACCCGCTTTGCAAAGCCTTTCTTTTGGATAGAGTTAGGGGAGAAGCTGAGATAGAACCTCCTTTAACTGAGGGGAAAAAAGAGATAGGGATTCTTCCTCATACCTTCATCCCAGGACTCCTGGGATACGGGAAACCCTTCAGCATTGACACATAAATTAGCTTATTCCCACCAGTACCATTAAGAAAGAAGAGGTTTAGGCCAGGTGTGGTGGCTCATGCCTGTAATCCCAGCACTTTGGGAGGCTAAGGCAGGTGGATCACCTGAGGTCAGGAGTTCGAGACCAGCCTGGCCAACATGGTGAAACCCCGTCTCCACTAAAAATAGAAAAGTTAGCTGGGTGTGGTAGCAGGTGCCTGTAATCCCAGCTACTCGGGAGGCTGAGGCAGGAGAATCACTTGAACCAGGAGGTGGAGGTTGCAGTGAGCCAAGATCGCACCATTGCACTCCAGCCTGGGCAACAAGAGGAAATTCTGTCTCAAAAAAAAAAGAAAGAAAAGAAAAAGGTTTAAAAAGAAAAAGACAAACCGAACTGGCAGAAAAATCTGACTTGAGCAGCTTCACTTAGAAATTACTTGGGTTCTCTCTAGGAATCTTGTTAGCTGCCCTATTGTGGCTTTTCTTCTTCTTTCATCATTTTTATCTTATTTAGAGTAACACTTCTAGGTTTTCCCATTTTTTAAATACACAAATGGGAGTCTGGTATTATGTATGCAAAAGGACTGGATCTCTGGTTACTTCACAGGGTTAAATTCAATCCAAAGTTCAGACTTTTCTGAATATATAATAATTAAGCAGCTAATTTTGTAGCTCTATGATCAGATAACCTCAGATTATGATGATGCCAGGTTTTAAGTTTGTGCTCTTCTTTTGCCTGTCTCCTTGACAAGTTTTGAAGACATGGAGTTCCTAGAGGTGCTTACCGAGGGACTAGAGCGAGTCCTACTTGTCCGGGGTGGTGGCAGTGAAGTGATCACCATTTATTCATAACCTACTCTGAATGACCGTGCTTGACCTGTTTTCTTAAAAGGCCTACGTCCTCCATGGAAGTGCCAGCTCATTACTACCACTCCCACTCAACTAGAAGCCTGTGTTCTGTACACATCATACTGAACTCTTGATGAGCTGAGCCTCAAGTACCTGTGTAAAAGAGCTCCCATCTGATCTGCAGTCATTACAGAAAAAGCAAATATTCCCTCAACATCAGAACAATGCTCAAGTCTTTCAAGCCACGTCTGAGCAGTCAAAGGCAAATTAGAATTAACAAGCTGAGCCAATAAATGAATTGGTAAAAGGGATGCTAGAAATTCAACTGAAGAAAAAAAGCAAGTCAAGTACGTATTCAGCATTAAAGATGAATCTCAGAAGTCATGGTTCAATGTTGACACTGTGAGGATAACAACTAGAGACAGCTTCATCTTACTAAAGAATTTATGGTCAAGTATATTTGGACCTATTATCCTCGGCAAGCCAAGATGCAAACATTTTTTAGCTATATTTCTTTAGTATACCCACTGCTGTAATTTTATATTAGGATACTAACTTGAAACATGGCTGCAGCCTCTACTTCTTCAAAAACATCCCCCCAAAATACCAGATTTAAATATCCAAATACTGTGTCAGTGTATACTTCAACTGTTTTGTTTCTCTTAACTCAAAACCCATTCTGTCATTGTAACACAGGCAGTGTTACCATGGAAATTGTTTTTGGTAAGGTAAAAATTATTTCTTTCAGGTTCCTTTCAAATGGCCGAACTAAGAGAACTCCAAAAGGAAGCTATTAACATTTACTGAAATAGTCTGTGGTTCTCTATACAACATGGACAAAACATACAAGCTGTTGTCTAAGAAATGCAGGTCATGGTGCACATTAATCAACAGGTTCTTCTCCCCCCGCCCCCACCCCCGCGCCTTTTTTTATGCCCTCTTATTAAGCACAGGTCAAAAAATCTTAAGGAACAAATACTAGGAAAACTGGCTAAACATCCTTCCCTGAAAGCACTGGACCATCTTTTAAAGGGCACATCTAGCAATGGAATTGGAAGTTCTAGAGCCACACTCTTTCTTTAGTGCCAACGTTACTGAGCGGCTACTCTCCTTACCTACTTTACTAAAATGGCATACAGATTGGCATTGACCTGTTGAAGAAATTTTACCACTAAGAAATCTTTTGCCTCATCTACAAAGCCATAGTTAAGACTTGAGGCATTCAACTTAATGCCAAGTATAAGCATTTCCCCCTTTTTCTTTCAATTTTATTCTTCATTCTGACTACAGAAACTTGGCCCTGAACTACGAGATTAGCCAAGCCAACAGTCTTCTAATTTGTTTTCAGAAACTTCAGGCCGGGTGCCGTGGCTCACACCTGTAATCCCAGCACTTTGGGAGGCCAAGGCAGGTGAATCACTTGAGGTCAGGAGTTCGAGACCATCCTGGCCAACATGGTGAAAACCTGTCTATACTAAAAATACAAAAATTAGCTGGGCATGGTGGTGCATGCCTGTGATCCCAGCAACACGGAAGGCTAAGGCAGGAGGATCATTTGAACCCAGGAGGCGGAGGTTGCAGTGAGCCAGGATTGCACCTCTGCACTCCAGCCTGGGTAACAGAGTGATATGTTTCAAAAAGAAAGTTCAGTGTGCCAAGGAAATACTTGTGTAAGCTCAGCTTTTTATTTACTAATATACTGATCAAACATCTGGCTTACAAGCATAGGGAAACTACTTATGTGGCTGGCTGAGCAGTAATTTCAAGTATGTGAAATCTTCATTTCTTTTACAGAATAGTTATTTAGAGAAACTTTTCTTGCCTGTATTCATGGCTGTTTTTGAATTTCAATTTATTAGTCATAAATAGTGCCACTCTTCTTTGATTACTAAATAGGACATGGAGCAAGCTGACCTAGGTGTCACAAATTATTCATTTGACCTGTAAGGACAGAGAAAACCCTTCAATATAGCTTAAGAAATTGAGTAATTTTGGGCCGGGTGCAGTGACTCACGCCTGTAATCCCAGCACTTTGGGAGGCCGAGGCAGGCGGATCACGAGGTCAGGAGATTTGAGACCATCCTGGCTAACACGGTGAAACCCTGTCTCTACAAAAATACAAAAAAATTAGTCGGGCATGGTGGCGGGCGCCTGTAGTCCCAGCTACTTGGGAGGCTGAGGCGGGAGAATGGCGTGAACCCGGGAGGTGGAACTTGCAGTGAACCGAGATTGCACCACTGCACTCCAGCCTGGGCGACAGAGGGAGACTCCATCTCAAAAAAAAAAAAAAAGAAAGAAAGAAAGAAATTGAGTAATTTTGATTTGTTCCCTTTGCTTGCTTCAACCTCCAGGCCCACTGAGGATGGCAAAGCGGATAGGATCTTAAGTCTTTTTTTCTGTTACTTCCTACAGATGGTAGAAGCATTATTTACAACTCCCACTGCAACACTCCATTGCTTAGTTGAGTTTAACAGTAGTGAGTCATGTCCTGCAGGATCCAGTATCTTTTTTTTTTTTTTCCGAGACGTAGTTTCGCTCTTGTTGCCCAGGCTGGAGTGAAATGGCACAATCTTGGCTCACCGCAACCTCTGCCTCCTGGGTTCAAGCGATTCTCCTGCCTCAGCCTCCCGAGTAGCTGGAATTACAAGCATGTGCCACCACACCCAGCTAATTTTGTATTTTCAGTAGAGACGGGGTTTCTCTACTGAAACTGATGTTGGTCAGGCTGGTCTCGAACTCCCAACCTCAGGTGATCCGCCCGCCTTGGCCTCCCAAAGTGCTGGGATTACAGGCGTGAGCCACTGTGCCCAACCAGGATCCAGTATCTTAAAGGCCCATACTGTAAAGGTCAGCCTGCCTAGGAATTCTGCCACATTTACACACACCCCTGGCCAAAGTAATATTTTTTTTTTCCATGTAGAACAAATTATGGGCAGAAAGTAAAGTTAGTTTTAGAAGTGCTGTTTGTGGTTGGAGAATTGTAAAAATCTTTTAAAGGGATAAGGGAATTAGTGGCTTTTAATATAACCACTGCTTCAGCCCGAAACACAAAATCACTGTTACATGGAAAACTGGTTATTAGGCCAGATTTATATTCATGTCTGTCTAGAGTATTTCATGTGTGTATGTGTTGCTTACGTTGTCTGTCTCCAAAGTCTCTCATCTCTTTTAATCACTGCAAATAAAGCAATACTGAAAACTTGAGAGAATGCACCTTAGGGGAAGGGGCTATTTCAAGACAGAAAACAAAGGAAATACCTGCCTTTTGAATAAGATCCCGCTTTTGAGTCTTACCTATGACTTTACCAGGGTAGATTAGAAATACACATCCTCCTGCTGACCCTCTGCCTTCAATAGCTATCTATCTTAAAAGCTGAAGTTTGAACTGCAGCATCTGCTTGACAGGTGCCAGGTTCCTTCGGCAGGGGGACGATCACTCTATATATCTTCCGTTGCCTCAGATTCCTGTGGCCCAAGGATCCCACCAATCCTCGTTCCCCCTAAACATGCTAACAAAAATCCCTTATCGTGGGTATTAAAATAATAACAGTTACACTGTATGCATATTTATGTGCTCCTTTTGTCTGGTTTTTCTTTTCATCATGTATAAGCTGAATTCAGCATTAGTTTCTCACATCTTCCCCCAGGTATCCCCAACAGAATTTTTATGTCCCAGCTTGTATTAAATAGAAGTGAAATATTAAGGAAAATAAGGAACTTGTGCAACTTTTTTTATGCATTGTTCTCAACCATTTAATTTATTGAAAGGAGATGCTGCAACAGTTCTTGATTTAGCAGCAGTTATTCTCTTGTTTACATAGTTATGTTTTTTTGTTGTTGTTTTGCTCTGTACTGGAAACAAAAATAAAGTTTTCTACATTATTTTCAGCCTTGGGTTATGGTATAGTTTCTTTGTGTTTGTCGTAATATGCACATTGTCCTTCTAGGACCTGTCACCCCACCATGGAGAAAAGAGTCTTTTGGTTCTTTTTAACATAAGTGATTAGTTTAAGAGTATGCTGAGGAGCCACTGGGCTTAAAGAAGGATGTAAATAAGACCCAAATACATAGGGACCAGGCGCTGCTTTCTCATGTTCACAAAAGCAGTCCTCCACCACTGAACTCCATTCTCTGAAAGAAGAAAGAAAGAATAAATAGGTGAGTGGCAAATGAGTGTTAAAATAACTTCCTGAATCAATTACTTAATACTTTAACCACAAGCTCTATTTTGCCTATCCTTAAAAAAGAACTTCCAGGCCAGGCGCAGTAGCTAATCTTAGCTAAACACTTTGGGAGGCCAAGGCAGGCAGATCGCTTGAGCCCAGGAGTTCAAGACCAGCCTGGGCAACATGGCAAAACCCTGTCTCTACAAGAAATACAAAAATTAGCGAGCCATTGGGGTGCACACCTGTAGTCCCAGCTACTTGAGAGGCTGAGTGCCTGAGCCCGGAGGTTGAGGCTGCAGTGAGCCATGATCACATGACTGCACTCCAGCCTGGGTGACAGAGCAAGACCCTGTTTCAAAAATAATAACTTGGCCAGGCATGGTGGCTCACACCTGTAATCCCAGCACTTTGGGAGGCCGAGGTGGGTGGATCACCTGAGGTCAGGAGCTGAAGACCAGCCTGGCCAACATGGTGAAACCCTGTCTCTACTAAAAATACAAAAATTAGCCAGGTGCAGTGGCAGTTGCCTGTAATTCCAGCTACTAGGGAGGCTCAGGCACAAGAATCGCTTGAACCTGGGGGGCGGAGGTTGCAGTGAGCCAAGATCACACCACTGTACTCCAGCCTGGGCGACAGAGTGAGACTCTGTCTCAAAATAAATAAATTAATTAATTAATTAAAAATAATAACTTAAAAACTCCTAATGGCTCTTATTTTTTAAGAAACCCTAGGCCAGGCGCAGTGGCTCACGCCTGTAATCCTAGCACTTTGGGAGGCAGAGGTGGGCAGGTCACTTGAGGTCAGGAGTTCAAAACCAGCCTGGCCAACATGGTGAAACCCCATCTCTACTAAAAGATACAAAAAAATTAGCTGGGCATGGTGGCAGGTGCCTGTAATCCCAGCTACTTGGAAGGCTGAGGCAGAATAATTGCTTGAACCCAGGAGGCGGAGGTTGCCGAGATCATGCCACTGCACTCCAGCCTGGGCGACAGAGCAATACTCCGTCTCAAAAAAAAAAAAAAAAAAAAAAAGAAACTCAAATACCAACTCCAATTTCCTACCATCAAGTAGGTCAGCTATTCACTGTATACTACAACTACCCAAAATTCAGCTTTTCTTTTGCCTTACCTCAGGGGGCTCAATGAAGGCTAACCAATCCGATGCATGTGTAGGTAACAGTCCCATGGACTGGCACTTGTAAACAGCCAATGCCAAACCCATCAGGTTCCCAATGAGATAGACCAAACCCTGAAGAAACTTCTGGCTTGAACTTTCTAACATCTTGAAAGCTGTTGCGGTAACAGAAGTTGTCAAACCAAAAGAACTCTTTCCCCCAATACGAATCAAGCCAACTGTATATTAAATTCATATAGACAGACCCATAGTAAGACAGCAAATAGGACCATTAAAGGCAAACAGAAAACCATGGTAAGCACTACACTCCCCTCCATGCCACCACCATTACCCCACTCCCCTATATACCTGTTAGCCAAAAACTGTCCCTAAGAATTTACCTTTAATTCTTCCTTTTTTTTGAGATGGAGTCTCGTTCTGTCACCCAGGCTGGAGTGCAGTGGCACGATCTCGGCTCACTGCAACCTCTGCCTCCCAGGTTCAAGTGATTCTCCTGTCTCAGCCTCCCAAGCAGCTGGGATTACAGGCGTGTGCCACCACGCCCAGCTAATTTTTGCATTTTTAGTAGAGACAAGGTTTCACCATGTTGGCCAGGCTGGTCTCGAACTCCTGCCCTCAGATGATCCACCCAGCTTGGCGCCTCCCAAAGTGCTGGGATTACAGGCGTGAGCCACCATGCCCGGCCTGCCTTTAATTCTTCAAACTTATGGAAGGGTTATTGTTTCAAGAATACTTACTGGCTGAAATGGCCATAAGTGCCTGAATGGGTCGCCAGGCCATCATACACACCATCATAGTAGGGAAGATGGAGATAGTATTGCCTGCCATGTACATGATGAAGAGATTCATGGGAATCTGTTTGAGGGGACCCAAGGCGATGTCCCAGCAGCGCTAAAACAAAACACACAATTTTAACCCTCTGATCACTACCCTTAGTCCCACATTTGCCATATCACTGATGCTAAATCACATGAACGGAATTCCCAACTCCCTGCTTCTAACTGAGCTGACTCCTCAATTCTACGACCTCTTCCCTTCTCCACGTTGCCACAGGAAGGCTCTCCTACTCAAGATAAAGTATCCTTACCATCTGTTATGCCTTTCCCTATAGGTTTTCCAGATGTCATTTTTTTCTCCTGATTTTGGAAAAAAGATCTCCCTGCTTTTGTCCTGGTACTTATGTATCTATCAATGTCCTATCTACAACTGAAGAAATAGATAAATCCACATAATGGGAGATTAGCACACCTCAGTCAATAACTAATAGAACCATCGAACTAATTTAGTTCCAGAAATAATAGAATTAGCAGGCAAATCAAGACATAGAAGATTTGAATGACATTAACAAACTTAACCCAACTGACATGTAACACTGCACTCAACAATTGCAGAATTCACATTCTTTTCAAACAAGATATTCACAAAAACTGACCACTCGCTGAGCCATGAAGAAAATGTCAATCTCAAAGAATGCAAATTGTACAAAACATATTCTTTGACTACAATGATATTAAACTAGAAATAATTTTATAGTAACTAGAAAATCTCTTATGTTTGGGAATTAACAATGATACATGAAGAAATTATAATGGAAAATAGATTTATATGATAGCAAAAGTACCACATTTTAAAACTCGTGGGACACAGCTAGAGTTCTGAGAAATTTATAACCTTAAATACATACTACCAGGTTGCTGCAAAAGTAACTGCGGTTGTTGCCATTAAAAGTAATGGCAATGTGGCCGGGCGCGGTGCCTCACACCTGTAATCCCAGCACTTTGGGAGGCCGAGCTTGGTGGATCACCTGAGGTCAGGAGTTTCAGACCAGCCTGGCCAACGTGGTGAAACCCCGTCTCTACTAAAAATACAAAAAAATTAGCTGGACGTGGTGGTGGGTGCCTATAATCCCAGCTACTCGGGAGGCTGAGGCAGGAGAATTGCTTGACCCTGGGAGGCAGAGGTTGCAGTGAGCCAAGGTCGTGCTATTGCATTCCAGCCTCGGCGACAACAGCAAGACTGTCTCAAAAGAAAAGAAAAAAAGTAATGGCAGTCTAAAAATAAACTAAGCATCCATTTCAAGAAACTAGAAAAAAACCCAAGTATTTTTGAAAAGATTAATAAAATCAATACTGGTGATGGGTACAGTGACCTGTAAAAATAAATGAAAATAATTTTTAAAAAATCAATACTGGTGAGCCTGATGAAGAAAGGAGAGGAGACAAAATATTCAATATCAGGAATGAAAAAATGAACATCACAGATCTTGCATATATGGAAGTGATCATATTATGAACAACTTTATATCAATACATTTGAAATTTTAGGAAATGGATAAGTTTCTAGAAAAAATGTAACAAAATGACAGGAGAAATTAGAAATATAAATAGCCCCGGGCCGAGCGCGGTGGCTCATGCCTGCAATCCCAGCACTTTGGAAGGCCAAGGCGGATGGATCACCTGAGGTCAGGAGTTCAAGACCAGCCTGGCAAACATGGTGATACCCTGTCTGTACTAAAAATACAAAAATTAGCCGGGCTACTGCAGAAATCTAGATGAAGGATGGTGGCTTGGATTAGGATGAGAGGTGAACACAGGAAAAAGTAGTAGGTAAAGCCAACAGAGTATCCTGACAGTTGGATATGTGGTGTAAGGGAACCAGAGTAGAAAAAGGATCACTTCAACTGGAAGATGTTGCCACCAAAAGATAGTTTTCAACCTACTTTCTTATACCTTATGTTCCAAACATCTTCTATTTTTCAAATTATTAAGCACTTTTGTAGCTGATATATAAAATACCGAAATACCAGCCTCAAGCAGTTTAGTTTCCAAATCTTCAGGATAAGAGCTATCTACGTTAACTCCACCTAGGAGAAGAGGATGAGTGTGTAACTCAGGACTGGCCCATGGGCTACGGTAACATCTATACCTCTGTACCTTCTCCACCAGGATCCGGTCTGTCTCTTGCACGCTGGTATCAGGCACTTGCTTGTCCAAGTAACCGACTGGGTAGAGCGAGTCTCCCTGGCCACTGCCCCGGTCACTTCGACCCCTAAAAAACCAAACCAAGAAACTAAAGCTGCAACCTCCGATACTTCTTATCCCACATTTCCTGATCTACCAATCATAGGAATAAAGATCTTCAGATGCACCTACTCAGATTAGACCAAGCCCCCTCGTATGTTCCTCAGTCCTTTGACTTATCAGGAGGACTGATGTAAGCATTGTTTGAGCAGAGAAACTTCCACGGCAGAAAAGCCGCTACCTCCCCAGGTGATGTCTGTGTGCCACCCATCTTTTTCAGAGTTATGCCTGAGGGCTCAGGTCTCATTACTCTGGTGCAGTTCTGGGATGAACAGTGATGTACAGCTTGCCCAGGTGCCTCACCTGCTGCCTCCTCCAGGCCCGCTTAGCTCAATGGCCCACTTGAAGCGCCGGCCTCGGTTAGCCACCAGGCCCCCCTGGGCCGTCATGGCAACAGCTGCGTCCTATAGCCTCGATGCTTCTCAGTCCAAAGCGTACTCCACAACAGGCCCACCAGCGTTCTCCGCTTTGTCTCACTCTGCAAATGCACTTCCGGCGCGTGAATACGACGTCATTTCCGCCCTGGAAATTGGTGGTGCTGTGGGTTGAGGAGTCCGGGTTTGGATTTAGAAAAGCAGGGAGGAAAAAAAACCAGGCAAGACTTAGTGCTTCCTAAAGCCACTTCCGCGCGCTCCCCTTTTGAATGTCCTTGTTATGTGTTCCCTGACCTCTGAGGTGCACTTTATGGGGCTGAAGGAAAGCCCATACTGACTCAGCGTTAAGAATTGGTGGGCGGATCACCTGAAGTCAGGAGTTCGAGACCAGCCTGGCTAACATGGTGAAACCCCGTCTCTACTAAAAATACAAAATATTAGCCGGGCTTAGTGGCGGGCGCCTGTAATCCCAGCTACTTAGGAGGCTGAGGCAGGAGAATCGCTTGGATCCGGGAGCCGGAGGTTGCAGTGAACTGAGACCGAGCGATTGCACGCCAGCCTGGGCAGCAAGAGCGAAACTCTGTCTCAAAAAAAAAAAAAAGGAAGCCAAGAAAAGCTTCTTAACCTCCTACGCGCTCCCTGGAACAAAAGATTCAAATCCTGGGTTTAAATCCTAGCTTGACCTTGAGCGAGTTACTTAGTAGTTTCTGAGTATTGAATGTCCACTGTGTCATGTGTTTATTTCATTTCACTTGCACAGTAACCTTGCGAGGTAAACAGTTCTAACCACATTCTGCACAAAGGCAAGGCAGCATTGTGGGCATGGAAGGGGACATGGGCTCGGTATTCAGTTAGCCTGCGTTTGTTGTTGTTTGTTTTGGGTTTGTTTTTTGAGACAGGGTTTCACTCCGTTGCCGAGGCTGTAGTGCAGTGGCGCTATCACGGCTCACTGCAGCCTCGACTTCCCCGGCTCAAGCGATCTTCCCACCTGAGCGTTCCTTCCAACCTGAGCGTTCCGAGGAGCTAGGACCACAGGGCGCGCCACCACGCCCCAGTCTTGTTTTGTTTTGTTTTGTTTTGTTTTGACAGGGTTTCGCTATGTTGCTCAGGCTGCTCTCAAACTCTTGGGTTCAAGTGATTCTCCTGCCTTGGCCTCCCAAAATGTTGAGATTACAAAGGCATGGGCCACTGCACCCAGCAGATGGCCTCCTTTTGAATCCTGGTTTCACCACTTAATAATTGTATGACCTTGGGCAAGTTGAATTTGTTTCAGCCTCTTCATGTAAAAGTTGGATAATCTACCTACTTTCAAGGCTTGTGAGATTAGTGCCCACCACATATCTGGTGTTTGGTTTGTTTGTGTTTTTGTTCGAGACGGAGTTTTGCTTTTGTTGCCCAGGCTGGAGTGCAATGGCACTATCTCGGCTCACTGCAACCTCCGTCTCCCGGGTTCAAGCAATTCTCCTGCCTCAGCCTCCCGAGTACCAGGGATTACAGGCGCACGCCACCACGTCCAGCTAATTTTGTATTTTTAGTAGAGATGGGATTTCACCGTGTTGGTCAGGCTGGTTTCGAACTCCCGACCTCAGGTGATCTGCCTGCCTCGGCCTCCCAAAGTGCTAGGTTATGTGGTGTTTTTAATGATGTATCACATCATTACCAAATAACACCATTGATGTGTTTTTAATGACGTGTCATTAAATAATGTATGTCATTCTTTAAAGTGATTGGGTTTTGTATGGTATACCTTTTTCATAATATAGCCTATTATTGGACATTTAAATTGTTTCCTGTTTTCCTTCCTTTTATAACCAGTGTTGCTGTGAACATATCTGTATGTCTTTTCTTATTTCCTAAAGTTATAGTCCTAGAAGTGAAATTGGAGTTGCTGGATCAAAGAGTATGCACATTTTTAAAGAATTTTCATTTTAAATGCCCACAGGAGCCAGGCGTGGTGGCTCACACCTGTCATCCCAGAACTTTGGGAGGCTGAGGCAGGAGGATTGCTTTAGCTCAGAAGTTCAAGACCAGCCTAGGCAACATAGTGAGACCTTGCCTCTGCAAACAACAACAAAAAAAATTAAAATGTCCACTAGGAAAAATGGCACCATTTACATTTCACAGTCTATAATTTTTTTAATAGTTTGAAATGGTACTGTATTATTTTTTAATTTGTATTTCTTTGACTCCAAGTTATTCGATATGGCTGGAGTTAGGGGGAAGGAGATGCTGTGGGAGGTAAGGTTGAAAAAGGCTTCCTTGGCCAACAAAAAAGTTGGGACTCTTGAAGATGATGATGATGTAAGAGAGGCTGAAGATTGCCACCTCCACTTTATTTTCTGATTTTAAAAATATGTGTTCATAGCAGACTACTTAAACAAGGCAGAAATGGAAGTCTTTTGCCTCTCCAATCCATCCTAAAATGTGTATCTATCTGATTGTAGGAAGACCTAACTATAGATTGTGTTTCTGCTCCTTTCTACTTTTTGTCTTTACCACGTTCTGTCTCATGAACCTTATATTTATCTCAAGCTTCTGACCCTATTGGGCATTCTTCTTTGTTGCATTATATGCTGCATAATAGCACTTACCACATTGCATTTTGTTTGTTAAAGTCCCCTGAGCACTTATTTCTACCCCTCTATAGGCAACCCTAAATCCCCCCAGGTCAGAAGCTATATATTATCTTTGAGCCTGTTGCCTAGAACATAGAAAGTACTGAATAAATGTTTAGCGAATGTGAGTAAATTAAATTGAAAGTAAACAAACACCAAGATGTGAATGTACTATAACTACACTTGTGCAAAATAAAACATAAAAATGGATATACATTCTATTGGGGCAATAATTTTCACGCAATTTTGTCTAATTTTCAAGATAATCTTATTACACTTTTCTTTTTTTTTTTTGAGACAGAGTCTCACTCTGTCACCGAGGCTGAAGTGCAGTGGCACGATCTTGGCTCACTGCATCCTCTGCCTCCCAGGTTCAAGCAATTTTCCTGTCTCAGCCTCCTGAGTAGCTGGGATTACAGGTGCCCGCCACCACGCCCTGTTCATTTTTGTATTTTTAGTAGAAATGGGGTTTCACTGTGTTGGCCAGGCTAGTCTCAAACTCCTGACCTCAGGTGATCCACCCACCTCGCCCACGCAAAGTGATGATTACAGGCATAAGCCACTACACCTGGCCTTCTTATTACATTTTAATACTTTTTTTTTTTTTTTTTTTTTTGAGATGGAGTCTTGCTCTGTTGCCAGGCTGGAGTGCAATGGCGCAATCTCGGCTCACTGCAACCTCCGCCTCCCAGGTTCAAGCAATTCTTCTGCCTCAGCCTCCCAAGTAGCTGAGACTACAGATGTGTGCCACTACGCCTGGCTAATTTTTGTATTTTCAGTGGAGACAGGGTGTCACCACATTGGCCAGGCTGATCTCGAACTCCTGACCTCGTGATCTGCCTGCCTCAGCCTCCCAAAGTGCTGGGATTACAGACGTGAGCCACTGCTCCTAGCCACATTTTAATAATTTTTTTTTACTTACTATTTTTTTGAGACAGGGTCTCACTGTGTTGCCCAGGCTTGTCTCAAACTCCTGAGCTTAAGCAGTCCTCCCGCCTTGGCCTCCCAAAGTGCTGGGATTACAGGCATGAGCCCACACCTGGCCCTGCTTTAATAAGTTTTAAATGAACACTTTTGAAAACATTAAGTTAGTCATTGGAATCATATATTCTTTCTACTTAAATACTCCCCTACTTGCTATAAAAATGTGTAAACTATAACCTAAATTAAAGTTGCTTTGGGCTGGGTGCTGTGGCTCACGCCTGTAATCCCAGCACTTTGGGAGGCCAAGGCAGGTGGATCACGAGGTCAGGAGTTCAAGACCAGCCTGGCCAAGATGGTGAAACCCCGTCCCTACTAAAAGTACAAAAAATTAGCTGGGCGTGATGGCAGTCATCTATAATCCCAGCTACTCAGGAGGCTGAGGCAGAGAATTTCTTGAACACAGGAGGTGGAGGTTGCAGTGAGCCAAGATTGTGCCACTGTACTCCAGCCTGGGGGACAGAGCAAGGCTCTGTCGCAAAAAAAATAAATAAACAAAAAATAAAAAGTTGCTTTGGCCTCAGTGGGAGTACTCTGGATCATTTATTTCTTTATCCTAGGAATCCTCATAGTATTATTTGTGAAACTCCGTTCCAAAAAATGAACACATCAGGACTAGGCTGAGGATGGTTCCAAGATTAGATAAATTTGAGAAATTCTACATATTATATTCTGCACACACACTCAAGAGAGTCTTAGTGCCGTTAGTATAACATATGAAAACAACAAGAAATGGTTTGGTAAAGAATCTCCTTTAATTTTGTTTCCCAATCTACTTGAGTAAGGAACCAGTTTTTTGTTGTTTTTTTTTCCTTAATACATTCGTTAACATCCAATAGAATCAGTGTTCCACAGAATACAGTGAGGGCAGCTGCTCTATATGCATGCTAGAATTCTTCAGGAGAAAGATGAAGGTCTCCCCTATAAAGCTTTGCTTGTTATTTTTAAAATATTAGAAGATCATTAGAAATAATAGGTTATTTATGGAAATGGAGCTTCAAGTTGGAATTAAAGTTTTAAAGTTTTTGCACAAATTTTGTTTCGCAAGGAAAAGAAAACTAGTGTAAGATTTTCCAGGCCTGGTGTGGTGGTTCACCCTTGTAATCCTTGTGCTTTGGAAGGCTAAGGTGGGCAGATCGCTTGAGGCCAGGAGTTTGAGACCAGCCTGGGCAATATGGTGAAACCCTGTCTCTACAAAAAATAAAAAATCAGGCTGGCAAAGTGGCTTGTGTCTATAGTCCCAGCTACTTGGGAGGCTTAGGTGGGAGGATCACTGGAGCCCAGGAGGTCAAGGCTGCAGTGAGCCTAGATCGTGCCACTGCACTCTAGCCTGAGAAACCTGGATTTTAATCCTGACTCCAAATGAACTACATGATTCACTTTGAATTAGGGACTCTCTTGACTTTAATTTCTTCATCTATAAAATAAGAGATTTATACTAGATGATTTCTAAGGGTGCCTTCTAGTTCTGAAATATATCATACTCGTTTTAAAAAAAAAACATATAAAGTGTACTATTCTTTCCATGCATATACACCCGAAAAAAAACACTCAGTAATAGACACTCAAAGGAGTAATGGGATTTCAGATAATTTTTTAAAATCGTGCCTTCCTACAGTTTTCCTAGGTCTCTGCATTGTGCAGGTACTACTTTTTAGTTAGAAAAACATAAATATTATTAATTATAACATGACATAATTCCAAACAGAAATGTAATGGTTCTCTGTTATGAATACACATGAGAATCAACTTGAGAGCTCTTAAAAATATTGATGCTTGCCGGGCACGGTGGCTCACGCCTGTAATTCCAGCACTTTGGGAGGCCAAGGCAGGCGGATCACCTGAGGTCAGGAGTTCGAGACCGGCCTGACCAACATGGAGAAACCCTGTCTCTACTAAAAGTACAAAATTAGCCAGGCGTGGTGGCGCATGCCTGTAATCCCAGCTTCTCGGGAGGCTGAGGGAGAAGAACCGCTTGAACTCGGGAGGCAGAGGTTGCAGTGAGCCGAGATCTTGCCATTGCACTCCAGCCTGGGCAACAAGAGCAAGAGCAAAACTCCGTCTCTCTCTGTCTCTCTCTCTATGTCTCTCTCTCTCTCTCTCTCTGTGTGTATATATATATATATATATATATATATATATATATATATATATATATATATATGCCTGGATGACACCTTTAGTGATTCTGATTCATTTGCTTTGGGTGAGGCCTGGGCATCAGTATTTCTTATGGCTCTCAAGGTGATTCTGCTGTGCAGTGAGGATTGAGAACAGCTGATTTAAAGCATTTTGTTGCTCTAAAATAACAAGGTTTGAATTTACACAACATAATCTAAGCAGACAATCCGATTTTAAGAAACTTCTTGTATGCATCCCACTGGACTAAACTTGAATTGGAAAATGATGGAATATTGAAATCATAAAATAAGTATTGCCGGGTGCGGTGGCTTACACCTGTAATCCCAGCACTTTGGGAGGCCAAGGTGGGCGAATCATGAGGTCACGAGATCGAGACCATCCTGGCTAATACGGTGAAACCCCATCTCTACTAAAAAAAAAAAAAAAAAAAAATTAGCCAAGCGTCGTGGCAGGTGCCTGTAGCCCCAGCTACTCGGGAGGCTGAGGCAGGAGAATGGCGTGAACCCAGGAGGCGGAGCTTGCAGTGAGCCGAGATCGTGCCACCGCACTCCAGCCTGGGCGACAGAGCGAGAGTCTCAAAAAAAATAAATAAAAATAATAAAATAAATATTAAAATTTTCCTTACTTTGTGCCTTTGAGCAAATATGATTTTAATTAAAGAAAGTATAAAAAGGCAAACCACAATTCTATAACTCATATGAGTTACCTTGTTTGACTTTGTATAATTTGTGCCACCTGCACAGTTGTTGTGTTTTTGTGTTTCATCCTTTACCTCTTCCTAAGACCCAAAGAAGCTATTTCATGCCATTCTTCTCTGAACAGTTGTATTTGGATTGAAACTTAATAAGAAAATTTTCTATTCAAACAAACAGGTTTGCAAGAATGGATCCCTCTGAGCGGGGGAGGGGGGTGATGGGGCTTTTATAGATATGTCTTAAGTTTTTGGCCTATACCATTTCACAATGTCTATATAATAATTCTATTTTGTCATCCTTCCTGGGACAACCAGTTTGCCTAGTGTGCTCTAAAAGCTCCTAAGATTCTTTGCAGCTTCAAAAAAACTCGTCTTCCATTGCAAATCCCAGTTATTTGTCTTAGTTTAACTCTACTATCATTATCTTCTAAAAAAGACCAACTTAAAACTATTTCATTCATGACACAATTTACTCTGCATCAGTTGTGCGGTCTAAAGAAGAAACTTTTTTTTTTATCCATTTTGACTGTTTGCATTTCGAACCCCTTTACTGAAAAAACACTTTGTATAAGATCTTACCTTGCTAGTTACTGTTGAGGTACCACATCATTTCTACACAGATTACATTCTTTTTCAATTTCTATTTCGTGGCTCTGCGGTGTCATGAAATGCCCTTGTCAGCAGCGACATGAACCAGTAGTATGGTGCTGGGAGAAGATGTTGGTAATACCACTCTTCCTTAGCAGTTACCTTTCCTTCATTTCAGGAGGCCTATTGTCCAATTCACATTTTAACAAGTTCTCATTATAGCAGCTTCCCTCCAGCACTTGGTTAGGAAGTTGGAAGGGTTGCCATTCCCACAGATCTCATTAATGGATAAGAATGACAACCATAGCATGAGTCATAATGATACATTACTAGTGGCGTGACAGGTCTCTCCAAGATCAGTTACTCTGGATTCTTTTTGGTGATTAATTTCAGCTATCCTGAAAGTGGGCTATACTGTCTGTACACAAAGTAACTAAACCACCAATAAAGGTCCTTTGGGGCATTTTTTCCTATGTGCTAATTTTAAAAGGCTTCAATCAGTTTCGATATAAAGCATTGTTTTATAACCTGAGTTTGTTTTGTTTCGTCTTTCTGAGATGGAGTTTTGCTCTTGTTGCCCAGGCTGGAGTGCAATGGCACCATCTTGACTCACTGCAACCTCCGCCTCCCAGGTTCAAGCCATTCTCCTGCCTCAGCCTCCTGAGTAGCTGGGATTACAGGCATTGCCACATGCCTGGCTAATTTTTTGTATTTTTAGTAGAGACAAGGTTTCACCATGTTAGCCAGGCTGGTCTTGAACTCCTGACCTCAGGTGATCCACCCACCTCGGCCTCCCAAAGTGCTGGGATTACAGGTGTGAGCCACCACACCTGGCCATAACCTGAGTCTTTTAAAGGAAGATTGTTATGGACTGATTGTTTGTGTCCTCCCAGAAATCATATGGGATGATCCTAATCCTCTATGGGATGGTATTTAGAGATAGAGCCTTTGGGAAGTAATTAGAGTTAAATGAGGTAATGAGGGTGGATGTCTCATGATAGCATTGCCCTTATAAGACACCCAAGAGCTCTCTGCCAAGGCCAGGGAGCATTACTGCCTGAGCTCTGCCTCCCATGAGATCAAGGAGGGGGCATTAGATTCTTTAGGAGCTCAAACCCTATTATGAACTGTGCATGTGAGGGATCTAGGTTGTGTATTCCTTATGTCTTAATGCCTGATGATCTGAGATGAAACAGTTTCATCCTGAAACCACCCTCCCTGCCCAGCTCACATTTGTGGAAAAATTGTCTTCCATAAAATTGGTCCTTGGTGCCAAAAATGTTCAGGACCACTGGTTTAAAGCACCCAGTATTTTGTTATGGCAACCCAAGCAGAATAATACAAGGATGAAATGAAATTCAGAAGAGTTGGAGAACAATAGGTATCTTTTAATGTTTGAAAGATAAATAAAGCTATTCCTTAAAACATGTACATAAATGTAGAGTTGTTTAATTTGCTCATTATGTAAATAGGAATGTACTAAACACTGTCTATTGACTTGCTTTTTTTACTTAATCTATTTTGGATATCTTCCATGTCTATCATGCAGATCTACCTTATTCTTTTTCAAGGCTGCAGAATGTAGATGTGAGATAATTTAATTAGTCCCAAATTGATAGACATTCAGCTTGTTCCCATTTTTCGCTATTACAAAAAAATGTTGCTGTGAACATCGTTGGGCACTTGTCAACACATTTCTGTAGGACAGTGATAAAATTAGGATCTCTTCCCACAGTTTTATACAGTTAAAATGTTGATGGGTTCAAATAATAGGCTCTCTAAAATGTACTGATTTACAGTTCTAAGGGTTTATTGATTAAATCATTGCTAGAGTCTTTCAGTGAATTGAATAATTTCCTCCCCACCCCCAAATTCGTATCCACCCAGAGTCTCACATCAGATCTTTGCAATGAAGGTCTTGGCTGATACATTGGTTAAGATGAGGTCATACTGGATTACAGTGAGACCTAAATCTGATGACTATAGCATCCTTATATGAAGAGGTCACACAGACACATAGGGAAGAAGGCCATGTGATGAATGGAGACAGATTGGAATGATGCAGCTACAAGCCGAGGAAGCTAGGAAGAGGAGGCAAAGGATTATTCCCTAGACCTTCAGAGGGCGCATGGTCCTGTTCCGGAGGCTGTTTGGACTTCTAGCCTCTGGAACTGTGAGATAATATACTTCTGTTGGTTTAAGCTATTCAGTTTGTGGTACTTTGTCACAGCGACCCTAAGAAACAAATACGTCTCTTTCTAAAAGAGAGTCCATTCAGATGTATTAAGGGTTAGCTTAAGGAGAAAATGATAACAATAAAATAATAACAGGTAAAATAATATTGCCATAGTTACAGAATTAAATCCTAAACTTTAAAACATTTACATGAAAAGTCGTTTTTTTTGTTTTTTTCCTGAGACAGAGTCTCGCTCTGTCGCCCAGGCTGCAGTGCAGCGGCACGATCTGAGCTCACTGCAACCTCCGCCTCCCGGGTTCACGCCATTCTCCTGCCTCAGCCTCCCAAGTAGCTGGGACTACAGGCGTCCACCACCACGCCCAGCTAATTTTTTGTATTTTCAGTAGAGACGGGGTTTCACCGTGTTAGCCAGGATGGTCTTGATCTCCTGACCTCGTGATCCGCCCGCCTCGGCCTCCCAAAGTGCTGGGATTACAGGCGTGAGCCACCACGCTCGGCCCACAAAAAGTTTTACTTAATTTCCTAATTGCTATGATTGGTTTCTTTAATAAAATGGTTTTAAAAAGTAACTTTAATTTAAAAGCAACACATTTATTATATAAATGAGAAATACAAATAGGCAAAAAAGATAACCAACAAATCCTATCATGCCAAAGAAAAAACCTTTCATGAGCATTTTGATTTAGATGTTTTCAGACTTTAAAAATTAATATTTAGACTTATTTAATACTGTATACTGTTTTATAAGATGCTATTTCATGAAGAGCGGTATTTTTACTTTTTAGAAAAGGCACAGGAAAAAGAATGAGTACATTTTTATTTCGGTTTTTTAAAATGTTTCTTATAGCTCTGCCAGATTTTCAGGCCTGTTGCTTTCATCCAGCCCTGATCATGAGGCACCATGCCTAATCCAGCTTCCACAGTCCTCTCCTCCCAGCCTACTGCTGCAGCCATACCCTATTCTCCAGGACCTGGACTAGTCCTGACACTCTTCTTAGATAAGAATAATTCTTAATAGTATTTGTGTTCTCCCATTTAAAGGATTAAGCGTTCAGATAAGTTTAGGAAACACTGCATGTATCTTTCTTTAAAAATTGACAACAAATGTTAGGTTTTTAAAGACCGAGAAGTGCTACAGTAAAGAAATATTTGTTTACTTCAGCAGTTACCAAACTTCTGTGGCCAAGGAAACCACTTTCTTCTTTTTCTCTTCTTTTTTGAACCTATCAACATCTCTTAGAACTGATGTCCTGAAGAACACAGAGCTAAGTTGGGGAAGTAACTCAAGCCAGTTTAGGTTCAGGCTCAATTGTGTTACTGCAAGAGCGGTTCTGCCTTTGTGTCTGGCTCCAAGAAGTGTCTTAGTAATCTTTCTACTGCTCCTGTCTCTTGAGGCTAGGGACCTGCTTTGCTCTTTTAAGTCCTCTTCCCAAGGACTTTCTGCTTCTGATGATTGTTGCCCTGCTAACTGCTAGCGCATTTTATTTCCTGCTTGCCTGCTCGCCAGGAACTCCTCTGTACTTCACCTGTTATGGGGTCCCAGTTGTACTGAACATCTCCCCTCCCCCCACCACCTCCACCAGCAACTGCATACATAATTGGATTTGTTTTGCATATGATAGGACTTTTCAGGTACCCTGTTCTGGTTACCAGGCCATCAGCATCACAGTGAGTCTGTTCCGTGCCTCCTGACCCCACCCCCAACATTGACACTTCACCCTCTCCTGCACCCTGACCCCCAGGTAGTCTAATTCCAGGACTTCCCTTTTCCAAGGCAGCAGTCAACCATATTGTATTCTTCTCTATCTTGGAAAAATCACTAAACTCAGTTTTTCAGAGAGAGACACAATCACTGCTCTAGGCATTGTTGTATATGTTTTATATAGGTTATCCCACTTCCCAACAGCCCCTGAGAGGAGAGTGTTATCCCCATTGCACATTAAGGTAAAAACCGGTGTAGAAACGGCCCAAAGGCAGCAATCTAGGTTTTAAATAGAGATGAGCCTTGCTCCAAGGCTAGTCTAACATGCTGCCCCCACCACGTTCCACCTGGTGACAGTATAGTCTAATTGCAGGAAATGTACTTGCAGGAGGAGAGAGATGGTTTCTTGAGATTCGGATTTGAAAGTCTATAAATACCAAATATTATCATAGTCATAAATGTTTTTGGGTCACCTGATCTCAGTTGTAGATTTACAATAGAGGGCTGTAGATGTAGCAGAAACAAGCTATCTTAAAAATAGGATCCCCCATCACTCAACACCTCCCTACCACCCACCCTTCACCCCGCAAAAAACACTACCAGGGGTTTTGTTTTGTTTTTTGGGTTTGTTTTTGTTTTTGTTTTTTTTGCTTACTGCTTCTGCCATTACTTCCTTCCACAGCCTGCAAAGGAAGGTAGGGAAGGGAGGAGCAGAAAAAAGGGATTGACTTCTCACTTTGACTGCTAAAGTCAACTGCCTAGAATTTTCCAAAGGTGCTGAGGCTGAGCAGTGTGGAATGGGTGAGCTGTTGCTGTCTTTTAGGTCCCTTCAGGCATTGTTCTCTGTCAGAATCGGCATTGGTCTCAATGAGAATGACATACAATGCAGTAAATGATATGGCTTCTAGGACCCTAGACGGAACTACACTTTTATACCTAATGTTATTGCTATCAGTCATTCCTCCCTACCCCTGGCCATCCAGCATCCTGGTAACAAATCAACTCTTCTTCTTCTTTTTCTTGCTTTTTTTTTGGTTGGTTTGTTTTTAAGAGACAGGGTCTTGCTCTCTTGCTGGACTACAGTGCCATAATCATAGCTTACTATAATCTTGAGCTCTTTGGCTCAAGTGATCCTCCCACCTCAGCCTCCCGAGTAGCTAGGACTACAGGTATGCACCACCATGCCCGACTATTTTTTAAATTTTTTGTAGAGTTGAGGTGTTGAAATGTTGCCCAGCCTGGTCTCAAACTCCTGGCCTTAAGCGATCCTTTCACCTTGGCCTCCCAAACAGATCAATCCTTCTAAAGAACTGACTTAGTCATTCCCCTGCTCAATTGTCTTTGCTGTCTCCTTGCACCTCAAACACTTTGCTTGATAATTCCAGGTCTTCGCAACCTATCAGGTGCCTTACGTACCTTTTCAGTCTTCACTCCTGTGACTCTTGCAAGCACTTTTCCCTCCACTCAAATCAGAATAGACTGCAGTACTAGAACTTACTTTGCATTTCCACCTCTCTGTCAGGAACATCCTGTCTGTCCTCTCCAGTTCATCAGGCCCAGCTCCACCATCCCTCCCCTGCTTGCCATCAAGCAGTGTACACAGGACTGCATGGCAGCTCTTTTCTCATGTGGGTCACTCTACACTGTGTCCTTGAATGATTCTGCACCCCGTAGAGAGGGGGATGTGAGGCAGGAAGGCTAACTTAGCTGCGTGTTCTCTCAGAAGGAAGGAATGAAGGAATGGCCAGAGGAGTAGACACCCTTGGAGACTGCCCACCACGAAGGCTATCAGTAAACCACCTTTTTGTACACAAACACTGATGTAGGGATTTTTTTAATGTATGGGCTGTACCTTTTTTTAGTAAGAATTCAAATTTTATTGAGCCCCAAGGGGGAAAAATTCAACTTTATTGATAGGAAAAGTATCAATGAAGAAAGTTGCCTTGCATTTTCATCACTAAAATGACAGTATTTGTATATATTCCAAAAGTAGCAATGCAAAGGCAGTTTTCCTTATTTTTATGTGAAATTATGAGATGTGAGGGCCTGGGCTGCCCATCACTGATACAAACTTTATAACTTGGCTCTGGAGATTAACCTGCCTGAGATCCTGTGCCCTAACAAGCTCCAGAAATGAGAATATCAAGGTTCTTCTCTGGCCTCCAGCAACTGGAGGCCTTGTATTAGCTGAGATTCTTCTGTGTTAACACAGCAGATTCCCTGAGTTCCAGGACTCCATTACTTGTCTTAATTCTTTAGCCTCCCTTGAGGATAACGATCATATAGTACACTCTTTTTACCCTATTCTTCTGATGAGAGGCCAGCACAGTGCCTTTTGCATAGTGGGTCATCAAGAAATTCCTGTTCATGATGATGAAGAAATGACTTGAGAGAAAGTGACTTCACCCATGTGTGTTGAATTTTTATTTTCTTTAAAACAACACATCTACTTAGTGGAAGTCATATTCAGGAAATATTCTTTATTGTACATACATGGAACCTAGGGCTCCAGCTTCCTTTACTCACCTAGCTGGACTCTCTCAACAGTACCACCTGTTAACAGATGTGGCCCCACACATAGGCATGTATGTGCCTTGCTTATGCTTGGTACAATCGAGAAGCTCTCAAAGGTGTTGCTTATGCCAAATATCCTAAAACTATTTTCCCACTGCCCTAAGGTCTTGCCTCAATTTTCAACATGACTTTTTTTTTTTTTTTGATTAAGTAAGGACTCTGTTACTAGGGAGGAAAAATACATAAAGTTATAACAACCTGATGACATCTTAGTTCTGATCAGTTTATCTGACAGGCCTCCCATTGCTCGGAACTCCCACGGCATTTAGGAGATACCTTTTATCACTGCAGTGTATTGGAATGATCTCTTTTCCTGTTTTTCAAGCCACTGAGAGCTGCTTCAGGCGATTTCCAGCACCAGGCACAATTTGCCTGGCACATGGCGGGCCTTCAAAAAGATTGTTAAACCAAACTTAAGCAGCCTGCTCCCTAGGCAAGCCTTGAGTTCCGAAATGAGTGCCTGAAAAAGCAAGCCAAGGGATGTAGTCTTGTGGTGAGGAAGTATTTCCACCAAAGGCACTGCTTGGTTGGTTTCTGCAAGGGGCGAGAGAACCACCATAGACAAACTTGCTCCTGTCACAGCTTGGCTAACCTTGACCGGTGGCTTATCTATGAAGGTGAGCAGCCTGGTTCTAATGAAGAGAACTGCCCTCAGTAATTAAAAGTTCATCATCTACAGACCCAACCCTAACCTCATAATCTAATTTAGTGTTCCCCATCCCAACAAGACCGAACCAGCTTCCTGAGGACAGGTTCTGCATCATGTACATTTCTTGTGTTCTTAAGAGTCTAGCACAAAGTTTGGCACATAATAGGAACTAAAAAAATGATGACTAACAAACACGAAGGGCTTACCATATGCCGGGCACTCCTCTAAGCATTTTATATGTATTAATTCATTTAATCCTCACAACACTAAGAGACAGATACTATTGTTATTGTCCCCATTTTACAGAAGGGGAAAGCAAAGCACCTAGGAGTTTATGTGACTTGCTCAAGGTCACATAGTTCCACAATCCATGCTTTTAGAAACTATGCCTTAGAGCGTTTATTAGTATCATTTTTATTTTTATAGAGACGGGGGCGGAGGTGGGGGGTGGGGGGTAGTTGTCCCCATGTCGTCCAGGCTGGTCTTGAATTCCTGGGCTTAGGTGAACCTCCTGCCTCGGCCTCCCAAAGTGCTGGGATTACAGGTGTGAGCCACTGTGCCCAGACTCTTAGTGTATTTAAATAGGTGTGAATGAATAAATCTCTCCCGGAACCATAACTTTATAGGAAATTGTTTGCACCTCCTGGTACACCACTAAGGCACGGTCTCCCACACTAGGTTGTTCCTAGCGCACGGTCGGTCATTCGTTGACCTTTACCCACCCTCAGTTCCTATCGCAGTATCACTTCTCGCGCCATAGCAAGGCTACCGTGCGAAGCTCTAGCCACCAGGGGGCACTGTGGCCACAGGTCCTTTTCCCCTCCGGCCCTTAGCGACCCCCAGAGGGGCGGAGCCAACGTTGGGCGGAGCCCGCGAGCCGCCCACAGCGCCAGCTATCCCGGCGGGCCGCGCGCGCGGCCGCGTTTGAATGGCCCTGAGTGGGACTCGGCCCAGAAGCCGAGGGACTCTCTAGGCTGCCGGGCGCTGGTCGTCAGCGCCGAGGCTGGGCTGAGGCGCCGCGGTACCATGAGGCGCCGGTAAGTGACTGCCGAGCCGGTGCGAGCCCCGCGCCCGCAGCTGCCCTGCCCTGGCAGGGCTACTCCAGCCGGGCTTGGCCGCGCCCTGGGCCCACCTGCAGGCCCCGCGGCGGCCTCGGCTCGGCCGGGCTCGCGGCAGCGCTGCCGGGTCCCGGGGCGGGGCGGCAAGGCCGGGGCGGAGCCCCTCTGCCGGTCCCTGCGGGGAGAGTCGGGCAGCGGGCGCTGGGGGGCTCCAGGGGACTGGGCCGGGAGAGGCGTGGACCGAACCTGTTGTCACTTATTTATCTTCGGGTGGAGTCGACAGCTGCACCTGGGGAAGGGGAAGGACAGAACGAGTGTGGGGCGAGCATTTTTGAGGACAGGTTTTCCGCAGAGCGCCTAGGCCCGGCCCAGGCATTTCCTTATTTTCCGACGGGTCCTCGGATTCCTGACGGATGAGCTTTTGTTTCGCAGGACAAAAACTTGACATAACTGCATAAGAATTGTCGATTGCAACTTTAAAAACCTTACTGTATTTTCTGAAAAGTTGTTCTGTAAAGTATCTAGGCTTTTACTACGCTCTTATATTGCTTAAATATGGAGATAACAAAGAGTTGGTTTGTTTTCTTGTGGCTTATAAAGTTCCTTGAAAACAGAGATACCTATGTCAGTTTCTTTGCTGATTTAAAAAAAATTGTAAGAGAAATTAGGTGTGTAATAATCATCAGTTCAGCACTTGCGAGAATTATGAGAAACTAGTCCACCTAATAGCTTAAATCTGCTGGGTTTTTTGGAGTTTCTTTGGATAGCCAGCTTCAGACTTGAATTGAAACGTCATCCATTGAGGCTTTTACTTGGCTAATAACTAATATTAGCCAATAATAATATTAGCCAGTGTGATCATAATGATGGGCAATATTTATTTTGTGCTTTCTATGCGCTGGGCGTATTAAGAGCTTTACTTTGGGATATATACTGTTGTCCCCATTTTGACAGTGAAGAAACTAAGGCACAGGAAATTTTAGTATTGTAACTTTTGTACCGTACAGGGTTACACAGCTAATATAATTAACACCCGAGCAGGCTGGCTCCACGCTTTTAACTCTGTTGCTCTACTACCTCCTTTATCTGTGGCTCTTTTTAGTTTACAAAGCCCTTTCATTTCATTTACTTAAACTTCGGAGACCTGAGTGTGCTTTTGTGTACACATACATTCATTCACACACCATTCATTCAAGTTTTCTGCTCTTGATGATTATACTTAAGGTTTGTGCCTGAGCAAAAAATCCATTGACTATTTTAAGATAAATGGAGTTCATAAGCTTTATGTGTGTTATAATTTATGTTTTCAATTCCTTTATATCCTTTCCTGAAAGTTTTGAAAGTGTTAGTCTTAGCAACTTATGTATTACTTTAAAATAAAAAATTACATGTTAAATGTTTTCATCCCTAAAACTTATTGAGTGGTTATTCTGTACTTGAAATGGTTATACTTAAACTAATACCTCCTTGACAAGGAATAAATTTCAAAAGCAAAATCACTTAGTAAGAAATCAGCAGTTTATACTTATCTATAGCAGAGCTTTTAAATGTCATTCATCAGTTACAAAGCTTTCGATTGCCTGTATGCCCAACAGGGTGGTAGACCCAATTGGCTATACAAAAGAAATGTGCCGCAAGAATGACACTATGGACTTTGGGGACTTGGTAGAAAGAGAGTGGGAGGGGGATGAAGGATAGAAGACTACACATTGGATACAGTGTTCACTGCTCAGGTAATGGGTGCACCAGAATCTCGGAAATCACCCCTGAAGAACTGATTCATGTAACCAAACACCACTTGTTCCCCAAAAACCTATTGAAATAAAAAATAATAAAAATAAAATAAAAAATGTGCCAGGACAACCAACCTTAGGGAGATTAATCTAGTTTGGGTTATGAGATTAACAACAAAAAATATATATGACACTCTTCGTTAGTACAGTGGATGAATGCAGAACTGAACTGGGTAAAGCTTCTGCGAAAAACTAACAATTGCAGGATTTATGTAGGGCACTGAACAGAAGGGTGGATGGTGGGGCTAGGCAGGGTTGGTAATCCCAACACTTTGGGAGGCCAAGACAGGAGGATCTCTGGAAGCCAGGAGTTCGAGAGCAGCCTAGGCAACATAGCGAGACCATATCTCTACAAAAAATTTAAAATATTTTGCCAGGCATGGTGGCATGTGTCTGTAGTCCCAGCTACTTGGGAGGCTGGGGTGGGAAGATCGCTTAAGCCCAAGAGGTCAAGGCTACAGTGAGCCGAGATTGTGCCACTGCACTTCAGTGCAGCCACAGAACTGGTGTGGCTCACACCTGTAATCCCAGCACTTTGGGAGGCCAACGGTAGGAGGAAAGCTTGAGCCCAGAAGTTTGAGACCAGCCTGGGCAACATACCAAGACTCCATCTCTACAAAACATTTTAAAATTAGGGCCAGTGGGTCATGCCTGTAATCCTAGCACTTTGGGAGGCTGAGGCAGGTGGATCACAAGGTCAGGAGATCGAGACCATCCTGGCTAACACGATGAAACCCTGTCTCTACTTAAAATACAAAAAATTAGCTGGGCGTGGTGTCACACGCCTGTAGTTCCAGCTACTTGGGAGGCTGAGGCAGGAGAATCGGTTGAACCCAGGAGGCAGAGGTTGCAGTGAGCCGAGATCGCACCACTGCCTTCCAGCCTGGGCGACAGAGTGAGACTCCATCTCAAAAATAAAATAAAATAAAATTAGGCAGGTGTAGTGGCATGCGCCTGTAGTCACAGCTGCTTGGGAGGCTGAGGTGAGAGGATTCCTTGAGTCCAGAAGTTGGAGGCTGCAGTGAGCCATGATCATATCACTGCACTCCAGCCTGGGTGACAAAGCAAGACCCTGTCTCAGGGAAAAAAAAAAAAAAAAGTATTGTCTAGTAACAACAAGATGCATCATAACATTACACTAGTCAGTATTATGTTGATGTTTTATCAATCATTATATTTGTTGATCCATGTTAGTTAATTTGGTGCTTTCTGGAAAATGTATTTAGGAATATAATGTTTTTTAATTAAACACCTTAAACCTAATACAAATGGTACTTTTACTGGGAGCATACACTTTTTAAATTGGAAGGGTGTAATTTGACTTTTCTTTTCTTTTTTTTTTTTTGAGACGGAGTCTTGCTCTTGTCTCCCAGGCTGGAGTACAGTGGCAAGATCTTGACTCACCACAACCTCCACCTCCCGGGTTCAAGCTATTCTCCTGCCTCAGCCTCCTGAGTAGCTGGGATTACAAGCACCCACCACCACGCCCGGGTAATTTTTGTATTTTTAGTTGAGACGGGGTTTCGCCATGTCGGCCAGGCTGGTCTTGAACTCCTGACCCAGGTGATCCGCCCACCTCGGCCTCCCAAAGTGCTGGGATTACAGGCGTGAGCCACCATGCCCGGCGTAATTTGACTTTTCTTTGCCAGGTTCAAATGCTGTGTTTACTATTTCTTGCTCATCTAAGTATTTTTTCACTACCAGCTTAATACCCCTTAACTTTGGAGACTTCTGCGTTATATTTACCATTCTTGTTCTTGGAGCATAATGAGGGTAGAAATGAGAGAAAAGGTATTTTGAAAGGACTCCCTTTTTTGCTTCCTGTAACTACCTCTCTCTCCTTCAGTTTTATATACTGTCTGAAATTCTTTTTGCCTTGAGCAAGTCACCCAGAAACCTACCACCTATGTATGAGTCATGAGATGCTCATTCTAGCATCTCCTCTGCCCACTAGCATACTCTTAAGATGCACAGCTTGGTGTTACAGTGGGAAAGGCACTATTACTGTAAGTCGCAACGCTAAGCCTGTTAGTAACTAAGGGTTTTTGGGCAAGTGATTTAATCTCATCTGAAATTATCTCCAAGGTCGAGAATCTATAAAATAGTTACTTATTGAGGGGTGTTCTTTGGTGAGGAGGGAGACCTGTGGGGAAGAGGCCTCTGGATAGTCTTTTACATCTTAGTGTGATTAATCATAGATTATTTCTCCTAAAGGCATTTTTAAAAGCTACTTATATGATAGGATTGAGGAAGAAATCTTAGGATGGAATTTAAAGGCCAGTAGAATATAAGCTTCAGTACAGCAGGGATTTTTGTTTGGTCCACTGATGTTTCCCTAGTGCGTAGAATAGTAATTAGTCTGTAACATGTACTTAATATTTGTTGAACGAGTGAAGAAATGAAGGAATGGGTTGCTGGGGAAAGATAAAATTTGTTGGAGTACTGCGCAGATGCTCTGAGTATCTTGAAGGAATTCAAAATGCAAACCAACCAGAGTACAACCCATCATTCCTACAATGTAAAAATACCTCCCAGCAGTAGCAAAGTGTCTATTGTTCACTTAATCGCCTTTCAGAACTATTAAGCGATTACTGCCCTGGCTGCCCCTCTTACTCACAGAGTAAGATTTTGACCATCACCACATACTTAAGTGCCAGCTTGACATTTCAGTATGCATTTTACTCTTACTTTCAAAAACCTATGTCCTAGCCATTCCCTGTGCTACACTTAATATAATCAATAACAGGACATTTACTGTTGTAGCAAAAATGAATTATATATATTGATTAAAATTTGGCCTTTCATCCATGGAGGATTCATGGCATAGCATTTAAAAACTGGCACTCTTCAGGCACAGTGGCTCATGCCTGTAATCCCAGCACTTTGGGAGGCCTACGTGGGCGGTTCACAAGGTCGAGAGATCGAGACCATCCTGGTCAACACAGTGAAACCCCGTCTTTACTAAAATACAAAAAATTAGTTGGGTGTGGTGGTGCACACCTGTAGCCCCAGCTACTCAGGAGGCTGAGGCAGGGGAGTCACTTGAACCCGGGAGGCGGAGGTTGCAGTGAGCCGATATTGCACCACTGCACTCCGGCCTGGCAACAGAGCGAGACTCCATCTTAAAGGAAAAAAAAAAAAAAAAAACTGTCCCTCTTTGCCTTCCTGTTCCACAACTGCCATATAAATAATCGTCAAGAATAGTTTTTTCACATATAATTCGTATACAAAGTTTCTCAGTAAGTCTATTTTGTCTACAAGATAAAGTCCAAATTCCTGACCTAGCATTCAGGGACTTCTGCATTTTAGCCAACTACCTTTTTATTCTTTTCCCTTACAGTGGCCTGTACTCAATAATTACTTAATTATTGAATAGTTGGTATAGAAAATAAGGAAACAAAAAGCAGTTATTCTTGCCTACAAAGTATGTTTCCAGTTGAAGAAAGTCTGGCAGATGGTTTTTCAAGAAGCCTGTATGGGTGGCATTCATTGTTTGAGTGAATTATCCATTTAGTGAAAAATAGCATTAGAGACAAGAATTCCTTAAAACTCCATGTAAACAGTTTTTTTGATCCTTGTTGACAGACCTGTTGGAAACTAGGTAATACAGTCTACCCTCAGCATCCATGGGTTCTCTGTATGGAAGCCATGAATACGGAAGGCTGACTAGGGGACATGAGTATCCACGAATTTTGGTATCTGAGGTGGTCCTGGAACCAGCCGTACTCAGATACTGAGGGACAACTGTAATAAGAAAAGAATTAAATATGTATATCTAGTGACATCAGTTTACATTGCAAGTAACCACTTAGTGGGACTGACTGAATCATTCTGTGCCCACAGCATTGCTTGAACAGTTCATCAGTCTGGATGGACTAGGTGATTTTGTAGTAACAAACAGCACCCAAATCTCAGTGGCTTATTTCAGAGGTTTATTTTTCCTCAGTTCATGTTACACATGAGCTGTCTGGGCCTGTGCTCCTAGTTTTCCTTGCTTAGCAATGTGGACAGGGGAGTCTTAACTTTCTGGCCTGTTGTTGGTTACCTGTTGATGGTTAGAGGTAAGGTAATGGGAGTGAATCACACACACTGGCTCTTTTTTTTTTTTTTTTTTAATTAAGTTCTGAGGTACGTGTGCAGAATGTGCTCTTTGTTACATAGGTATACACATACCATGGTGGTTTGCTGTACCCATTAACCCGTCATCTACATTAGGTGTTTCTCCTAATGCTATCCCTCCCCTAGCCCCCCACCCCCCAACAGGGCCCGGTGTGTGATGTTCCCCTCCCTGTATCCATGTGTTCTCATTGTTCAACTCCCACTTATGAGTGAGAACATGCAGTGTTTGGTTTTCTGTCCTTGAGTTAGTTGCAGTGAGCTGAGATCGTGCTACTGCACTCCAGCCTGGAGACAGAGCAAGACTCCATCTCAAAAAAAGAAAAAATAGATACCAGAATAAGTGTATCTATTCTAGGTACAATGAACATGGTTCCTGCTCTCATGGAGCTCACAGTCTAGTGAGAGGTCATGGGCAATAAGTGCATAAGCTAATTTCCAGATGGTGATAAATGTGGTGGGGGAAAAATACAGGGTACTGCTATAGAGAATGATTGTAAGTGAGGGTGGGGTTATTCTTGATTGGGTGGTGAGTGTGTGGGAGGAATATTTTAAGCAGAAAGAATGGCTCAGCCACAAAATGGAAATAAGTTTGAAATGTTGAAGGACAGAAGGCCAGTGTGGCTGAAGCATTTAGGAAGCTATTATATAGTCTAAAGGAGTTGGTGGTTTGGTCTAGAATGGTGGTAATGGAAATGGAAAGAAACGGACAGCTTGGGAATATATTATAAAGGCAAAGTCAACAAATTGGATGTAGGTTATTAAGGAAAAAAGAAATCAAGGATGAATCCTTTATTTCAGGCTTGAGAAATTGGAAGGAGGATGGTTCCGTTTACTGAGTTAGGGACTGTTGGGAGGAGCAGATTTGAGAGGGGGGATATTAAGGGTTCTATTTTTAATATGTTAAGTTCAAGAATAGATGACTATTGGATATCCATGTGGAGCTGGCTAGTAGGCAGTTGGAGATTTGAATCCAGAGTTTAGGTGAAACAGTATGATGAGAGATTTTATTTATTTATTTTTATTTTTTTTGAGACAGAGTCTTGCTGTCGCCCAGGCTGGAGTGCAATGGCGTGATCTTGGCTTACTGCAACCTCCGCCTTCCGGGCTCAAGCAATTCTTCTGCCTCAGCCTCCCCAGTGGCTGGGATTACAGGTGCCTGCCACCATGCCCAGCTAATTTTTGTATTTTTAGTAGAGATGGGTTTTCACCGTATTAGCCAGGCTGGTCTCGAACTCCGGACCTCAGGCAATCCGCCCACCTAGGCCTCCCAAAGTGCTGAGATTACAGGCGTGAACCACCGCGCCTGGCCGAGATTTTATTCTTAAATGAAAGTTAATATGTTAATTTTTGTTATAGTTAAGTCTTGGACACAGGAGTCATATTTTCTTGAGCCTGCAAGTGATTCTTCTGTTGGAGAAGAAAGTGTTCCCTGAGAGAGGAGGCATTTTCAAACCTTAATATACGTTCTGATTTCAGCCTAGGAGATATGGTGGTGCCCAACCACTGTAACTGTTGGGGATGTAATATAATCCTCACAAGTTTTGGAACATAAAGGTTTAAGAACCGTTGTTATAAAAAGATTTTGAATGTCTCTAGTATCATTTTTGTTAATTCTTAAAGGATGATCTACCCTTTTTTCCAAGGCTTAGGGTATACTTAACCCTGTTGACTTCTGGTACTGTAGAAATTAGGCACAAGTGTCGTAGGGTGGTGACATTAGTCCAAATAATGAAGATAGAGTTTTTTAATTAATTTATATTAGCTCATCATTTTGAGAGTTGAATACTACTTTATTGGTATATCCTCTCATATGTAGAGAGTCTATTGGTTTTGAAAGTATCAGAAATACCTTTAGTAGGCAAACAAGGGTCAAAAATGATCCTTAAAGTGACAATGTTTTATGTATGTATACATTCATCCCTCATTATCTATGGGCGATTGGTTCCAGGACCTCCCAATGATATCACAATCCGAGGATGCTCAAATCCCTGATATAAAGTGGTGTAGTATTTCCACATAACCTTTGCACATCCTCCCATACACCTTAAATAATTTCTAAATTATTTGTAATATCTAGTACAATGTAAATGCTATGTAAATAGTTGTTATACTGTATTATTGGGGGAATAGTGATGAGAAAAATAAGTCTACATATTCAGTAGAGATGTATTTTTTTTCTAAATAGTTTTGATTGGGAATTGATTGAATCCACAGATGCTGAACCCACGGATACAGAGGGCCAGTTGTATATATATTTTCCATTTCTGAGTCCAAGAAGACAATTAAAACAGAATCAAGTATTTTTTCCTCCCTGTTGAATATTTCCAGAAAATACTGGGTTATTCTAACAGGGAAAGTAAATTGGAATTTGGCGAATTCACCAAAACATGCTAGAATAATCATAACCATCTACTTCTAGGCGTAAGAAGTCCTAAGTCTTCCCAAAGATTCAGGTGTTTTATAGCCATTTAAGAAAATATGTATATAATACTCTAATACATTATAATTAAGTTAAAACATACTTGCACATTATACAAAATTCAAAAGGCCCAAAAGGGAAAAGTCTTCTCCCTTCACCCCCTAGCCACACATATCCTCTCACTAGAAGTGACTTTTGTCCCCAGTTTCTCTCATATCCTTCAAAAGATATTTAGTGAATATACAAGTAGTCCCTCACAGACACACACTTTTTAACCTAAGTGGTAACATAGTGTTTTGCTACCTTACTTTTTTCTCCCTACTTTCCAGTATAAGGCATAGTTATGTTTTTTAAAAAGCCTGTGTAGGTCCACAACTATGGATGGTGATAAACATCTACCTAGTTCTTTAATTTTATTTTCCCATTATTAGTCCCAGTTCCCTAATGTAGTAATCTAAGTGGACTTGATTAAAACTGAGGAAGAGGCCGGGTGTGGTGGCTCAAGCCTGTAATCCCAGCACTTTGGGAGGCCGAGGAGGGCAGATCACGAGGTCAGGAGATCGAGACCATTCTGGCCAACATGGTGAAACCCTGTCTTTACTAAAATACAAAAAATTAGCCAGGTGTGGTGGTGTGCACCTGTAATCCCAGCTACTTGGGAGGCTGAGGCAGGGGAATCGCTTGAACCTGGGAGGCAGAGGTTGCAGTGAGCTGAGATGGCGCCACTGCACTCCAGCCTGGCGACAGAGCAAGACGCTGTCTCAAAAAACAAAACAAAACAAAACAAAAACACTGAGGAAGAGGTAGTAGGAAAGCTAATTCCCACTTGGCATCTCTTTTGTAATTTTTATTTCAGGGTATCTCAGTCATAAGAGAGTTGGAATTCAGTTTGATCCAAATTGATTGAAATGATATAGTATTGTACCCACTGAATCTCCAGACATCTGTCTTTATTTTCATGCTTGATCTGCTTTCCCGAGTTTGACGTTATTTCTCAAATCAGCTTACTGTGGAAAACTGAATTAAGAGAAAGTGGTGGGCGGGGCGTGGTGGCTCACGCCTGTAATCCCAGCATTTTGGGAGGCTGAGGCAGGTGGATCAAGAGGTCAGGCGTTCGAGACCAGCCTGGCCAATATGGTGAAACCCCATCTCTACTAAAAATACAAAAAAAAAAAACAATTAGCTGGGCGTGGTGGCACGCACCTGTAATCCCAGCTACTCAGGAGGCTGAGGCACGAGAATCTCTTGAATGCGGGAGGCGAAGGTTGCAGTGAGCCGAGATGGCGCCACTGCACTCCAGCCTGGGAGACAGAGGAAGACTCCATCTCAAAAAAAAAAGAAGAGAGAGAGAGAAAGTGGTGTGATGAATCATCATTCAGGAAATATTAAACCCTTGAGATATCAACTTTGAGTTGTTCCGAGTAGGTGAGAGGTGAAGCCAGCTGGGTTTCTGGGTTGGGTGGGGACTTGGAGAACTTTTCTGTCTAGCCAGAGGATTGTAAATGCACCCATCAGTGCTCTGTGTCTAGCTAGAGGATTGTAAATGCACCAATCAGGATTCTGTAAAAATAGACCAGCACTCTGTAAAGTGGACCAATCAGCACTCTGTAAAGTGGACCAATCAGCACTCTGTAAAATGGGCCAATCAGCAGCACATGGGCGGGGTCAAATAAGGGAATAAAAGCTGGCCACCTAGCCCTAGTGGCAACCGGCTCGGGTCATCTTCCACACCGTGGAAACTTTGTTCTTTCCGTACTTTGTTCTTTCCGTCTTCACAATAAATCTTGCTGTTGCTCACTGTTTGGGTCCGCATCACCTTTAAGAGCTGGAACACTTGCCACGAAGGTCCTCCGGCTTCATTCTTGAATTCGGCCAGACTACGAACCCACCGGAAGGAAGAAACTCCGGACACATCGGAAGGAACAAACTCTGGACCACGAACCCACCAGAGGGAAGAAACTCTGGACACACCATTTTTGAGAGCTGTAACAGCGTGAAGGTCCACGACTTCATTCTTGAGGTCAGCAAGACCAAGAACTAACTGGAAGGAGCCAACTCGGGACACATGTGGAATCAGGATGACGGGATTTAGTTTTATGATTTGAATATTTAATAATGTCAGGCTCTGTTAATTTGGTAAATCTATAGTCTGTCATTTTCTGAGATGGGAGTCTTGCCCTGTCATCTAGGCTGGAGTGCAGTGGCACAGTCTAGGCTCATTGCAACCTCCACCTCCCGGGTTCAAGAGATTCTCCTGCCTTAGCCTCCAGAGTAGCTGGGACTCGAGGCTCATGCCACCACACCAGGCTAATTTTTGTATTTTTAGTAGAGACGGGGTTTTGCCATGTTGGCCAGACTGGTCTCAAACCCCTGACCTCGTGATCCGCCCACGTCAGCCTCCCAAAGTGCTGGGATTACAGGCCTGAGCCACTGCGCCTGGCCGGTAAATCTGTTTTCTTAATAGGAATAAACCTAACAAGTATAGTAGACAATACAGGTAACCTGATGGGGTACCCTTTTGCTGGACAGTACATGAGTAGCACTGCCTGTATTTGTCTCTATTTCTCTTTGTTCTTTTTCCAGTGTTCACCTCCTCCCCAGAATCCATGCCCCGTTTAATTGCCACATTCTTTCAAAATGGTAACCTTCAATCAGATTAAATGGGATTAAACGAGTGCAAAACAAAACTAGCAAGGTCAACAGAATGTATCATTGCTGTACCTATATAATAGTTTCTCATATTTTATAAAAAGTACAGTTTAACATTCCATTTACCTTGTTACTTTTTGACTACAAGTCTTTGCTTCCCTTGCCAGTCCCTCTTCCCAGTTCTTGACCAAATACACCTAAAAAAGGAATGTCACATTTATGGAACTGTGTGATCTTTCTTTGAATCTGGTTTAACATTAAACTATGGGTTTTTTGTTGTTGTTCTTTGTGATAAGTTCCACCTGCTATACACTGTTAGCGCAAAGTATTTTTTTGGAACACTTTTGTATTAGTTATGGAAATAAATTTTACACATTGATTAAAATGTAGAGAAACATTCATTGAGATTACTCAGCAAGTCCTGCTGGACTAGAAGCTGTTACTTTCTGTAAAATGACTCTAAATATCTTTGCTTTAAACCACTATCTACTGTTTCATAGTTTAACTCCAAGAGCAGTTTTTGTTTGTTTTCCCTAAGCTCTTAGATAAATCCTCAGGGATATCTCAGTGCTTGACATATTGTATTATAATTGCTTGTTTGTCTATTTCTCCCACTAGAAACTATGGGATGATGGTGAGAATTTCACAGCAGGAAAGATTGGGAAGTTTAAGGATCTGAACAGGAGTTAGGTAGGAAAGTATTACATGCTATGATGTAGCTGTATATACCACCAAAAATTCTACCTTAGAATGGTTTAGGTCACTGAATTTCATAATTTTACAATTATTTCATATTCCTTTACATAAGAATTTGTATGTTGCAAGGCTTAAGAAGCTTTAATTTATCAGTTCCTATTAGCGTATCGTCCTCTTTTTGTGTCAAGAAAAGAAACTCGGCTGGGTGCGGTGGCTCACACTTATAATCCCAGCACTTTGTGTGGGAGGCCGAGGCAGCGAATGGATTACCTGAGGTCAGGAGTTTGAGACCAGCCTGGCTAACATGGTGAAACCCTGTCTCTACTAAAAATAAAAAAATTAGGTGGGTGTGGTGGCGTGTGCCTGTAATCCCAGCTACTAGGGAGGCTGAGGCAGGAGACTCTCTTGAACCTGGGAGGCAGAGGTTGCAGTAAGCCGAGATCATGCCACTGCACTCCAGCCTGGGCAACAGAGCGAGACTCCGTCTCAAAAAAAATAAAATAAACCTCATTCTTTTATTTAAAAGGTAATATTTTTTACTGGTAAAAATTGATAAAAATAAGCCAAAGACAACGATTCAATCTTAATCTCATAGAAAAATAAACAGAAAAAAGGAATGTAATACCACTATTTAGAAATAACCCTTATCCTTTCATTCTTTTCTCTGTGCTACATATGCACATATAGAAACATACAACAAATTTAGGAACTGATATTAAAGTTTGCTAATACCACGAATCATGTTTCTTACACCAAAGGCAACTTGCCTCATAGGTGATGTTTGTGTATAACTTGATAATAGCTAACATTTACGGAGTGATTTACAGACATTGTGGTAAGTGGATTATTTAATCCTCACAGCATTATTCTGAAAATAGGAGATTAGGTAACTTGCCTAAGATGGTACATAACTAATAAATGGTTAAAACAGGACTTAAACCCAGGTAGTCTGACTCTAGGACTTATATTTCTCTGTCACACCATACTGCCTAGTCTTTTCAGTTTAAACGTAAGAAAAATACAACTTCACATTAAATTTTTCAAAAGCAAACTAAAACATGACATTGTTCATCGTTTGTCAGATTTTCAAAGGTAAAAACGTTGACAAGACAGAATCTTGTGTTATCATGGATGCAAATAGTGGTTGTTCTCCACCTCTAGTAGCAGGAGTCTAAGTTGGAAAAACCTTTGTAGAGAGCAGCAGTCTATCTCTGCCACATTTGCCAAGCTTCTTAGTTCCCAATTTAGTGAAGACAGCAATTGGAAATAGGAATTTAAAATATATTGTTTCCATGAAATTAATTGTAATGCTTTGGGTAGTCTGGACAAAGGCAAATGCCTGAAAAACTGTATATCAAATAAGGTGTAGATTAGAAAGCTAAACATAAATGAAGTAAAACTGTAACAGTTTAGGATTTTGTACTGATAATGTATCAAGTTCTTGAGCCACTTTAAGCCCAAACTATAAATTATAGATGATGCATCATACATTATGTTTAGATTTCTTTCTTTCTTTCTTTCTTTTTGAGACGGAGTCTGGTTTTGTTACCCAGGGTGGAGTGCAGTGGTGCAATCTCAGCTCACTGCAGCCTCTGCTTCCTGGGTTCAAGTGATTCTCCTGCATCAGCCTCCCGAGTAGCTGGGATTACAGGTGCCTGCCGCCACGCCTGGCAGGTTTTCGTATTTTTAATAGAGACTGGGTTTCGCCATGTTGGCTAGGTTGGTCTTGAACTCCTGACCTCAAGTGATCCACCCACCTTGGCCTCCTAAAGTGCTGGGATTGACAGGCATGAGGCACCGCGCCCAGTCATTTAAAAATTATTTTATTTTATTTTTGAGACAAAGTCTCGCTCTGTTGCCCAGGCTGGAGTGCAGTCATGCAGTCTCGACTCACTGCAGCCTCCACCTCCCGGGTTCACGCGATTCTCCTGCCTCAGCCTCCCAAGCAGCTGGGATTACAGGCAGGCGCCACCATGCGTGGCTAATTTTTGTATTTTTAGTAGAGATGGGGTTTCACCATGTTGGCCAGGCTGGTCTTGAATTCCTGACCTCAGGTGATCCATCCCACTTGGCCTCCCAAAGTGCTGGGATTACAGGTGTGAGCCACCACGCCTGGCTGATTTTTAGATTTTAAATTGAAATGTTTAAGATACATGTGTAACATCTTTTTTTAATGAATCTTTTTATTTTATTTTTTCTCTGAAGCCAGAATGTGCTTACCCCTTTCCAGTTTTTATTATTTTGAGACACATTTTAGATAAGCATGCACACGTAGTTTAAAAAATCAGACACACATTGATTTCTCATATAGCAAGTAAGGTAAAGATTTATAAATCAAATGTTCATAAATCACAAAGTTACTTTTAGGACCCTAAATTTATTTGCATTTATCATCAATTTCCATGTCGCCATAACTATTTTGTATATTCCACAAAATAGAATTGCTTTTGAGGAATGCAGTGTGGTTTGCAGAATTCCCAATACATAGTCATTTGACAGTTACAATTAAAAAAATTATTTGTGGGTTTTTTGTTTGTTTGTTTTTTGGGTTTTTTTTTTTTTTGAGATGGCGTCTCTCTCTGTTGCCCAGGCTGGAGTGCAGTCATGGGATCTCGGCTCACTGCAACCTCCACCTCCCAGGTTCAAGCAGTTCTCCTGCCTCAGCGTCCTGAGTATCTGGGATTATAGGATACAAGTGCAATTTTGCTACATTGATATATTGCATGTGGTGAAGTCAGGAGGTTCAGTACATGGATCATTAGAGCAACACGCATTTTACCCATCAAGCAAGCTTTCATCATCCACCTTTCTCCCACCCCTACCTCTCTGAGTCTCCATTCTCTATTATTCCACACTGCTTTCATATGTACACATTACTATAAGTGAGGACATGCAGTATTTGTCTTTGTGTCTGAGTTGTTTTACTTGAGATAATGGCCTCCAGTTCCATCTATGTTGCTACAAAAGACATTATTTCATTCTTTTTTAAGGCTGAATAGTATCCCATATTGTATATGTACCACATTTTCTTTATCCAGTCCTCTGTTGATAAGACACGGGTTGATTCCATATCTTTCCTATTATAAATTGGTGCTGCAATAAACATATGAGTGCAGGTGTCTTTTGGATATAATGATTTATTTTCCTTTGGGTAGATACCCAGTAGTGGGATTGCTGGATCATATAGTGGTTCCGTTTTTAGTTCTTTGAGAAATCTCTGTGCTGTTTTCCATAGAGGTTGTACTAATTTACATTCCCACAAATAGTATATGAGTTTGTTTTCTCCACACCCTTGTTATCTGTTACTTTTTGTCTTTTTAATAATAGCCATTCTGATTGGTGTAAGATGATATTTCATTGTAGTTGTAATTTGCATTTCTGTGATTAGTGATATTGAACATTTGTTCACATGCTTCTTGGCCATTTGTCTTCTTTTGAAGAATGTCTATTTGTGTTCTTACCCTGTTTTTTAATGGGATTATTTGGGGGTTTTTGTTCAGTTGTCTGATTGTCTGAGATCCTTATAAATTCTGGATATCGGTCCACTGTCAGATATATAGTTTGTAGATACTGTCTGTTCACTTTGTTGATTCTTTGGTTATGCAGAGGCTTTCCCTTCCCAACCCCACCTCCACACGGTCCTGCTCTGTTTTCTAGGCTGGAGTGCAGTGGCACAATCTCAGCTTAACTGCAGCCTCCACCTCCCAGGCTCAAGCTGTCCTCCCACCTCAGCCTCCCAAGTAGCTGGAACTACAGGCGCGTGCCACCATGCTCATGTAATTTTTAAAGTTTTTTTTTCTTATTTTTTATAGAGACAGGGTCTCAGTATGTTGCCCAGGCTGGCCTCAAACTCATGGGCTCAAGTGCTACTCCCGCCTTGGCCTTTCAAAGTGCTAGAATTACAGGTATGACCCACTGCACCTGGCCCTAAATCATATTTTCAAAAAAAAATCTTTTAACATGTAGGAAAATATAATATTAATGACAAAATGCAGCATATAAAACTAAACTGCAGGCTGGGTGCAGTGGCTCACGCCTATAATCCCACCACTTTGTGAGCCCAAGGCAGGTGGATCATGAGGACAGGAGTTCGAGACCAGCCTGGCCAATATGGAGAAACCCCGTCTCTACTAAAAATACAAAAATAAGCCAGGCATGGTGGCGTGCACCTGTAGTCCCAGCTGCTCGGGAGGCCAAGGCAGAAGAATCGCTTGAAGCCAGGAGGCGGACGTTGTGGTGAGCCGAGATCGTGCCACTGCATTCCAGTCTGGGCAACAGAGCAAGACTCCATCTCAAAAAAATAAAAAACGACAAAGAAAAACTAAACTGCATGGGAGGAAAAGTGGTTGAATTACTGGTGATTTTGCTGGTGATTTTTTTTTTTTTTTTTTTTTTTTTTTTTGAGACAGGGCCTTTCTCTGTCACCCACGCTGGAGTACAGTGGTGCAATTTTGGCTCACTGCAGCCTCAACCTCCTGGGCTCAAGCGACCCTCCTGCCTCAGCGTCCTGAGTAGCTGGGACTACTGGTGTGCACCACTATGCCCGGCTAATTTTTGTATGTTTTGTAGAGACAGGGTTTCACCACGTTGCCCAGGCAGGTCTCAAACTCCTGGGCTCAAGCGACCCAACTGCATTTGTCTCCCAAATTGCTAGGATTACAGGAATGAGTTATCATGCCCAGCCTACTGGTGATATTTTAATTAATTAATTTATTTTTTGAGACAAGAGTCTTGCTCTGTTTCCCAGGCTGGAGTGCAGTGGCGCCATCTCTGTTCACTGCAACCTCCGCATCCCAGGTTCAGGCGATTCTTGTGTCTCAGCCTCCTGAATAGCTGAGATTACAGACGTATGCCACCACGCCTGCCTAATTTTTGTATTTTTAGTAGAGATGGGATTTTGCCATATTGGCCAGGCTGGTTTCAAACTCCTGGCCTCAAGTGATATGCCTGCCTCAGCCTCCCAAAGTGCTGGGATTACAGGCATGATCCACTGCATCTGGCCTTAAGTTTTTTTTTTGTTTTTTTTTTTTTTTTTTTGAGACGGAGTCTCGCTCTGTCGCCCAGGCTGGAGTGCAGTGGCGCGATCTCGGTTCACTGCAAGCTCCGCCTCCCGGGTTGACGCCATTCTCCTGCCTCAGCCTCCCGAGTAGCTGGGACCACAGGCGCCCGCCACTACGCCCGGCTAATTTTTTGTATTTTTAATAGAGGCGGGGTTTCACTGTGTTAGCCAGGATGGTCTCGATCTCCTGACCTCATGATCCGCCCGCCTCTGCCTCCCAAAGTGCTGGGATTACAGGCGTGAGCCACCGCGCCCGGCAAGCCTTAAGTTATTTTTAAAGTAATACTTATGAGATGCAAAATTTGGTATAAAGAGGACATAAAGTAAAAACGTTTAATACTGTTGATCCCCAGCTCCCAGGTTCACCTTTGTGGAAGCATTCAGTGATTGCTGGGGGATATTCTAAAAGGAGAGAGATTATTTTTTCCATATTTATTCCTGATTTTTTCTTCTTCTATGCATCCTTCTCCCTATACCCAAATCCAGGAGTATGGAGTGGGAAGGAGGGACAGCACGTAGTCTTTCTACACACGTCTGTTTTTGTTTCTGTCTCTTCTCCCTCCCCGGACTTTCACATTACTTACTGAAACAAAGTCGATTTCGTATACAGTCATTGAAGAGACCACCACCCTCTAGGCCTAAAAGCAAGAGACATGCCATTTTCTCTGTATCATTGCAGAGCATTGCCGTAAATATGTATGTCTCCCATGAATTGGCTTTGTTCACTGAAATAGTCTGGTATCCTATTTCTTGTAACTTACAGGAATTGTTTTTGTTTTTTTTTTTTTTTTGAGATGGAGTCTCACTCTGTCGCCCAGGCTTGAGTGCAGTGGCGCCATCTCTGCTCACTGCAACCTCTGCCTCCTGGGTTCAAGCAATTCTCCTGCTTCAGCCTCCTGAGTAGCAGGGATTACAGGCACGTGCCACCACACCTGTCTCATTTTTTGTACTTTTAGTAGAGACAGGGTTTCACCGTGTTAGCTGGGATGGTCTCGATCTCCTGACCTGGTGATCCACCTGCCTCGGCCTCCAAAAGTGCTGGGATTACAGGCTTGAGCCACTGCGCCTGACTGAATTTTTAATCATATAAAAAAGCAGAGAGGATAGTATAATAAACTTTACAATTACCCAGCTTCAGCAATTATCAACATATCTTACTTCGTTGATACTCCCTATTCTGTGCAAATCCTAAATGTAATCTCATTTTATCTGTAGGATGGATTTTTTTTTTTTTTTTTTTTGAGATGGAGTCTCACTGTGTGCTCTGTGGCCCAGGCTGGAGTGTAGTGGTGCAATCTCGGCTCACTGCAAGCTCTGCCTCCCAGGTTCACTCCATTCTCCTGCCTCAGCCTCTCAAGTAGCTGGGACTACAGGCGCCCGCCACCACGCCCAGCTAATTTTTTGTGTTTTTAATAGAAACGGGGTTTCACCGTGTTAGCCAGGATGGTCTTGATCTCCTGACCTCGTGATCCGCCCACCTCGGCCTCCCAAAGTGTTAGGATTACAGGTGTGAGCCACTGCGCCCAGCCAGGATGGATTTCTAAAAGACTCTCAACAACAACAATAAAAAAACACATAACCACACTACCATTCAACTAAAAATAATTAACAATGATTAATAATAATTCTTCTATCTCATACACGGCTGATCAGAATGTAAAATTGTATAATCACTGTAAAAACAGTTGGGCAATTTTCTTTAAAAGTTTAACATACACCTACCATAAAACCCAGCCATTTCACTTCTGGGTATTTACCCATGAGAAATGAAAGCATATGTTCATACAAGTTTACATGACTTACAGTAATTTTACTAATAATAGTGAAAAATGGAAACAACCCAAATGTCCATCAGTAGGTGAATAAACAAATTGTGGTATAGCCACCTAATAGACTGTTATGTTAACAGTCTGTTAACAATAAAAAGGAATAGACCATTGATACATGCATGCAACAGCATGGATGATTCTCAAACTAGTTATGCTAAGTGAAAGAAGCCCTACCAAATATATATATATATATATATATATATATATATATGGTCTATGATTTATATGAAATTTTTGAAAAGGCAAACTATAGTGACAGAAATACATTCAAGTGGTTGGGGAGGATATACATTTTAAGTTTTGTTTTTTTTAAACTAGGATCTAAGCAACATCCAAACATTGCATTTAGTTGATATAGTCCTGAAGTGTCTTTTAATATGTAGCCTCATCCTCTTATTTTATTTTCTTGCAAAGCGTTTGTTGAGAACACTGAGTCATCTATCCCAAAGAAAGTTTTCTGGATTTTTCTAATTGCATCCTCATGGTCGCATTAACAGGTTCCTGTGTCTTCTGTATTTCCATTAAACTGGTAGTTGGTAACAGGCAGTTGAAGCTTGATTATGTTCAGGTTTGATTTTTTTTGGCAAGAATATTTATTAGTAGTGTTGTTAATATTTCCTGTTGTATCATATCAGGATTCATATAATGTCTGGTTGTCTCTTTTTTTGATGCTAAAATTGATTAGTGTCTTAGATGTTGTCAACCTGATTTATCCATTGTAAAGTTTCCCATTACCTTCTTTAACTGTTTTTGCTTTCTATTGATGCTCAAATTGAGGAACCATATCTGGAGAAGAACTGGAAATTCGGAAATGTGGAAAGCTCTGGATTCTGAATTTTGAGTATACAAGAGTTTTACTGTGGTTGCTTAACTAGACAGCTTTCCTTTATTTCATGTTTACAATTTCCTGTTTGTCTTCGGGACCAGTGTGTCTACTGTGACCCAAGGTGTATTCTGGGATGCTTCATTGCCTCTTAAATTAGATGAACTGCTTCTGCGTTTTTAGTAACCTGTTTAGTAATCTGTTCCTCTTTTATAGCACTCATTATTCATATTCATTGGCTTCCTTGTTATTCGTCCCCACTAGATTGTAAGCTTCTTAGAAATAAGAATGTACTTCCAGGCCGGGCGCGGTGGCTCACGCCTGTAATCCCAGCACTTTGGGAGGCCGAGGCTGGGGGATCACGAGGTCAGGAGATCGAGACCATCCTGGCTAACATGGTGAAACCCTGTCTCTACTAAAAATACAAAAAATTAGCCAGGTGTGGTGGCGGGCGCCTGTAGTCCCAGCTACTCAGGAGGCTGAGGCAGAAGAATGGCATGAACCCGGGAGGCGGAGCTTGCAGTGAGCCGAGATCGTGCCACTGCACTCCAGCCTGGGAGACAGAGCAAGATTCTGTCTCAAAAAAAAAAAAAAAGAATGTACTTCTTATTCATCTCTTGACACATAGTAGTGCTGAATCAGTACATGCTGGATTGAATACATACACTTCCTTTTAATTGTTTAAGAAATGAACCCTAAAATAGCAGTACTGAAACATACAAAGGTAACATTTGATTTTCTCTTTTGAACAGAATTTGTGTGTAATATTAATAAGAGATAATAAAATATTTTTGTTTACTTTTTGAGTAAACTGCAGGGAACAAAGGAGAGGGAAGAGACAGATTTAGTTAGCTTTGTGCCGTCTTTATAGTCTTTTTGTTTAGGAAACTGTCTCCTCTCTATCAAAGAGTAAACATTTTTGTTTTTTCATTTTGGTTAAATGAATGACTATTTTATAGTGACCTATGATCATATTTTGTGATATCAAGTTTTTTAAACCTTTGATATTTGACAAACTTTCCGAAAGCAAAATTGCAAGTTCTAAGTTCAGTCTTTTTGCCTCAAACTTTTTTGGATATTGGGTTCCCTGAAGTCCAAGAGAGACTTATTAGACTTATTTGATGTTAGATTTATACAAGGAGGCATTATCAAATGCGAGGTGGTGTTTAACTTTCTTTGGATTATACTTACATAGATGTGGTATTAATATGTGTTCCAGGGCCAGGTGCAGTGGCTCACGCCTGTAATCCCAGCACTTTGGGAGGCTGAGGCGGGCGGATAACCTGAGGTTGGGACTTCGAGACCAGCCTGGCCAGCATGGCAAAACCCCATCTCTACTAAAAATACAAAATTAGCTGGGCGTGGTGGCGCATGCCTGTAATCCCACCGGAGGCAGAGGCAGGAAAATCACTTGAACCCGGGAGGCAGAGGTTGTGGTGAGCCGAGATCACACCACTGCACTCCAGCCTGGCGACAGAGCGAGACTCTGTCTCAAAAAAAAATGTGTTCCAGGTTGTATGAAATTCCTAAAATTCTGATGTCTTGATTATTATTAATATGTCAGTAATGACGTCTTTGTTACATTTTTGTATGCCACAAAAGTAACCAAATGTCCTTGTCAATTGTGTCTGTCCTGAGATTTTTGTCATTAATTGTTTTGCTTTGATTCTTTCCAAAAAGCAGCTGACAGTCAGTTATAATGCTGGGCTTACTTCTTTGGGGAGTTCATGAAAAGGACTCTTGAATGCAGGCCTCTGATAACTTTGGAAATTGTGCCATGAGACTAGAGAGAAAACTTCCAGGACTAACCAAAAGGCTGATGCGTTCATAAGAATTACTAACCCAATATGAAGCAGAGCAGGAGCTGATTGCATGGACAGAACTAATGGAGAACTGAAATAATTTTGTACGGCTTTTTGTTTGAAACACTGCTACTTTTTTGTTTTGTTTTTCAGAGTCTGGAAAACTTTTTTTCTTCCCCCTTTTTGAGACAGAATCTTGCTCTGTTGCCCAACCTGGAGTACAGTGGCACAATCTTGACTCACTGCAACCTCCACCTCCCAGGTTCAAGCAATTCTCATGCCTCAGCCTCCCAAGTAGCTGGGATTACAGGCATGTGCCATTATGCCTGGCTAATTTTTGTATTTTTAGTACAGACGGGTTTTCATCATGTTGGCCAGGCTGATCTCGAACTCCTGGCCTCAACTGATCTGTCCGCCTCAACCTCCCAAAGTGCTGGGATTACAGATGTGAGCCACCACACCCAGCTCATTTGCGCTATTTATAGCCTTTAACAGCTGAGTAGAGTGTACAGAATTTGAGGTGTATTTCTCTCTGCCCAGTTTCTTCAGAATTCATAAATTATTTGTGAATTTTCTTTTTTTTTTTTTTTTTTTTTTTTTTTTACATGGCGTCTTCCTCTGTCACCCAGGCTGGAAGGCAGTGGCATGATCTTGGGTCACTGCAACCTCCACTTCCCAGGTTCAAGCGATTCTCTTGCCCCAACCTACCGAGCAGCTGGGATTACAGGCACTTGCTACCACACCTGGCTGATTTTTGTATTTTTAGTAGATACGGGGTTTCACCATGTTGGCCAGGCTGGTCTCAGACTCCTGACTTCAAGTGATCCACCTACCTTGGCCTCCCAAAGTGCTAGGATTACAAGTGTGAGCCACCGTGCCTGGCCTATTTGTGAATATTCTTAATTTGTGGCAATGTGGTTGTTTGCATAAGTTCAGTAAGAATCTGTTTTCTTTTATAATGGGACAGCGATGGAGGAACTGGTTATTTTTCCAGGACTTTGACTGAAATGGCCTTATGATAGGTTCCAACAAAACCATTTTAGGAGAGGCTATGTGGACAATGATGTTTGCTGTACTTTGTATGGGTAATCAGGCCAAGTATAGTTGGACTGAAGCTTATTTTACAGGTGGCTTGGTCCTGCTGTGATTTATGTTAGGTGGAAGTGGGGGACTGGAGAGAGAAATATTGTATTTCAGATGAAAACTATAGTATTAGATTAACCTTTGATTCCTGGGTGGCCATGTTGTTATGGGATCTCTGGGGTGTCGATTTTTCTGGCCAGAACCTCTGTGGCTGCAGTGCCTTTGCCCAAGTTCTTGTCCTGTGTCCAGGAAGAATGAGGTACACAGACAAGTGAAGGGTGAAGAAGAATTTTATTTAGTGTTAGAACAGCTCAGAGGAGTGTGTAGCTCCTCTCTGTAGGCAGGTCGTCCAGTTGAGTGTTCAGCTCTTAGCAGAGAAGAGGCCCTGGAGAGAGTGGCTCCTCTCTGCAGTTAAGTCATTCTGATATCTCTGCAGGTCTCTGAAGCGCTCAGCAGATAGGGCAGCTTCTCTCTTCCGCCTGGTCGTCTGCAGCATTCAGCGGAGCGGGTACTCCTCTCTGCAGCTGGTGGTCCCATCTTCTCCAACTATCAGCAGAGAGGATACTCCACTCTGCAGCTGATTGTCCTCTTCTGTCATCATCTCTCTGCCATCTTTGTCCTCTGGCATCCTCCGCCCTGCTGTGGCTGAGCCCAGGGCTTTTGTGGACCTCAGAGAGGAGGAAGTGCATGCCAGTTGATCCATGGGCTGTCATGGGTGGGCCCGGAAGAGGCACCACGAGTCCCCATTCTTGTCCTTGGGACTGGCAGCCCAGCCCCCTTCCTTCAGGTCCTCCCTGGCCTGAGGGTGGGGCCTTACTGGGGACCCTGCCCCCTTCCATCCAGGACTCTTGTCTGTCTCCCGCTGCCATTCATGGCCCTGGGGCTTGGCCCCAACCCTGCTCTCAGATCAGAGCAGGTGCTGGGAGCAGAGAGAGGCCAGGCAGTGGGAGCAGACACCCCTGAGCCTGCAGGGACAGTGGGGAGGGGGATCCTTCCTGGGGCGCCCAAGGGTGTAGACTGCAGAGACGCCCTGGTCCTGTGCCTGGGAGGGCAGCCACAGCTGCACAGGGGAGCTCCCACCCCACCAATTTGGAAGAGGCAGGGCTCCCGCCTGTCCCCACCTCCTGCCTGCTTCCTGGAGAAGGAGGCCCAGGTCTGCAGCCATAGGTAAGGTGGCTGCAGCTGCACCCTGGAAGGCAGATCCTGCCTGTTCCTGGCTCCCCAAAGAGCACAGGGAGGCTGGGATCCACAGCTGCAGTTTGGGTGGCTGTAGCCCACCTGGGCAGGGCTCCTGCTTGCTCAGTAAAGCAGGAGACCTGGGTCTACAACTGCAGCGGCATGGGGACCTCCTGTCCCAACTCAGAAGGGGCGGGGCTCCCACTGGCTTCATGGATTGTGCAGACCCAACTGGTCTTCCCTGCTGCAACTGGCATGATGGTGGCAGCCACTGTCATCAGTGTGGTCACTCATGGTACCTAGTTGCCCACAATGCCCCTCCTCAGCATGAAGCAGCCAGAAAGATCAATGACCAGACTCCCCATGATCGAGGGACTAATAAATAGAAAGGAGGGTACTGAAATGGCCCAATTGTCCCATAGAAGTGATGTTTATGGTTTCTTTGAATAAACATAGAAATTGACCCTCCCGATCTTAAAACTTTGAGAAAGTAACTCTTGTCTTATATGAATTCCTT